>NC_000020.11:44496537-44799567 GCF_000001405.40 Homo sapiens | reverse complement strand
AAATTAATTAGTTCCTCAGCAAATGTCTTGAGCAGCATCTTTCATCAGCCTGGGCCCAACACCAAGACTGGACCAGGTGCCTCCGGGGCCCATCCAAGCCCTGGCCGAGCCACCCCCGAGCCATCTGGCCTCAGGAAACTTACCATTTGTGCCCAGCTTCTACTGGGCATGCTAAGTCCTCGCAGAGGGACCCCCAAACTGGGCAGCTGGGCCCTGAGGGGAGTCAGGTGTGTGGCTCTAGCAAGGGATAATTTTTTTTTTTTCTGAGATGGAGTCTTGCTCTGTTGCCCAGTCTAGAGTGCAGTGGCATGATCTCAGGTCACTGTAACCTCTGCCTCCTGGGTTCATGTAATTCTCCTGCCTCAGCCTCCTGAGTGGCTGGGACTACAGGCGCGTGCCACCATGCCCAGCTAATTTTTATATTTTTAGTAGAGATGGAGTTTCACCATATTGGGCAGGCTGGTCTCGAACTCCTGACCTCAGGTGATCTGCCCACCTCAGCCTCCCAAAGGGCGGGGATTACAGGCATGAGCCACCACACCCGGCTCAAGGGAGAATTTAACATGTACCTTCTTCTCTGGACTTTCCCCAGAAGTCACTTGATTTTGTAACGAATACAGAAAATCAGGAGAACTCTTCACTCCTGTTTCCACTGTCTTAGCCTGAGAAGTGGATTTTTGTGCAAGTGCTCTGTGGGAGTGCTCGCAGGTGAAACCTGCAAGAGAGGGAGAGGGAGACGCAGCATGGGGCAGGAGAAGAAGCAGCCAGACATGGGCACTTGGCTGCAGGCTAACTTCAGCCAGATCCTGGGGAGCTCTGGAGAATGGATGGCATGGCAGGGTTGACTAGGCTTCGGTACTCCTATAGCAGGGTAGTCCCCCGAGGGCATAACTGTTGGGGCAAGGCAGCTCCTATGAGCTAAGGGCAGTTGTCCAAAGATGGGGCAGCTGTGAGCCGGCACCAGCAGATACTCATGGCAGCTGAGTGATGGGGGACCTGCTTAGCATGGGGGATCTGGCCAGGATACCAGTGGGGTCCACTCACCCACTGTCTGGGAACCCCTGACTACAGAGTGGGGAGAGTGGGTGTGCTCAGCTCTGTGCTCAGCAGTGTCCAACCCTCGTTTCAGGTCACCCTCCACAAGGTGGGCATAGTCATTACATTCGGCCATATGGAGAAATTGAGCATCTGGATGGACTTCTGACTTGGCCAAGGTCATACAGCTAGTGAGGGGCAGAACAGGACTTCAAACCCAGGCCTATTCCAACACTTGTGTTCTTTCCAGCATTCTGTACTGTATTTAATGTTTTTCATGAATATATACATGTATCTCATGCTTCTTTGTGGGCCTCTTTCCAAGTCCCTCTTTGGAGGGTGCCTGTCCTGACTTTCTACTTTGCACCTTGCAGACATGAAGTCTTTTGTGTCTGACAAAGGATTTTAATATATTTGAGCCTGCCTGATCCTCATGAAAAGTTGGCCGTGTATCCAGAGAGGAGGGCAGAGGCCCTAATAGGTGGCCTGAGGTGAAAGCAGAAGGGGTAGTTGATTTGTCGTGGGATGAGCCCTGGATTTGTCATAAAGAAACCTGGGTTTGAGATCTCATTTCTGCCAGTTTGCCAACTGACCCTGGGCAAGTCATTCCCCTCTTTGAACTTTGATTTCCTCATTAGATGAACAGGTTCACAGCTATAAGCAGGAGGTAACCTACAGGTGGTTTAATGATACTGCACATATCAAAGACACATGGCAAGGCTCTGACTGGGGAGTGCGGGAAGGGTCTCAAACCAAGGCTGACCTCTGCCTTTGCTGAGGAGACAATGTGTGTGCAGGGAACAGCTTTAAATTAGGGCTCGTCTGTAAAATGGGCATGATGACACTTGCCCTGCTCTCCTAGTTTAGGTTTTCCCAGAACAGAGCCTGACACAAGGAATCAAGTACAAGTATTAGGGCAAACCACCTGAAACTGCCATTTTATTAGTGGAAGCAGTCTAATAGAATTTTGTATGCTTCATATGGTTCACAAAGGTGATGGATGAAACCCCAGGATGGGAGTGAGAAAGTGAGGCAGAGAAAGAAGTCAGGAGACTGTGTATTATCAGGCAGGTTAACCCAAGCAAGGGCAACTGGAGTTTAGTCTTGCTGGGGACTTCTGGGGAGACAGTGTAGCACAGAACTCAGCAAGCTGCTTCTGTAAAGGGCCAGACAGTAGATATTTTAGTCTTTGCAGGATTACAGTCTCTGTTGTAACTGCTCAATCATGAAGTTGTAGTGAGAAAGCAGCCCCAGACAATATGTAAATGAAAGGGTGAGCTGTGTTCTAATAAAACTTTATTTACAAAAATAGGCAGCAAGATGGATTTAGTCCGAGGCCCATAGTTTGCAGACTCCTGGGGTAGAACACGCGCTTTAGTTATCCCACCCAGGAAAGAGGGAGCTCAGGTATTTATACAGCAGTTCCCATCAGTAATTGGTTAAGAGCTGCTAGGGAAGATCAGAGAGTTGGTTATTGCCTGTTTATTTCCAGCCTGCCATGGGTGGTAGCCCTCAGGCAGAGAAATGCAGGTGCTGGCAATAGGAGACTGGGCTAGGACAAGGGGTTAGGACATGAGGAATGACAGCATTGCTCACTCCAGCTCAGAGGAATGGCTTGTTTGACTATTTGGAGAATGTACTAGAAAGGCACAGGATGAACACAGGAAACAAGTGTTGTATAGAGCCAGATTAGTTGACTTCATATTTACAGCTCTTCCAAGCATTTGTTCCTTCCAGGCAAAACCCAGCTTCTTCATATTTGACAGTCTTGTTTGAGTTTTCTCCCTCCATGCCTCACTTAGGCCATTTCCTCAGCTGGGGTGCCTGATGTCTCCTTCTCCAGGGCTCCAGGGTCACCTCCTCCAGGAAGCACACCCTTCTTCTCTAGGGTGGAGGTGACCATTCCTGGGAGCCCCTGTGGTACTTTGCTTTTCTCCTTCTCCTGTGCTTGCACAGTCTGGCTTTTCACTTTTTCACTGTCACACTGTGAGCCCCTGCAGGGCAGGGACTGTGTGATTCCCATCTGCATCCCACCAATGGGCACTGACTTGGGAAAGGCAGAGTTGAATCCCAAGCCCCTCCCTTCCTCCCCTTCTCTCTCCTCTCCTTCCTCCCCACTCTATTTCCTTCTTTCTTCTCCAGTAGTTGCTCATGGCCAAGCTGTGTTCTGGTGACCTAAGGCAAGTCCAGTCTTTGTTGTCATGGAATTACATTCTGGTTCCTGGGGTGAGGGGGGTTGTTGGACATTACACAGCTTGAAGAAGCAACTAATAATCCGATCATGCCTGTGATAAAGAGGCATATAAGACAAGTACAGGGTGCTGGGAAAGGCCATAGCAGGGAGAACTGACATGTTGGGTGGGGGGCACAGGGAGGGGGACAGCTCAGCAGAGACCTGAGGTGTGAGTAGCGTTGGCCAAGTGAAGGCACGGCAGGGGAGGGGAGGGGGTGAGACAGGATGCTGTGAACACAGACTTGATAGTGATGGGAAGGGGGATGGAATCCTGGACTCTCTGGCTGTCTCTCCCGCTCCCGCTCCCCTCTCCCCACAGATGGAAATAACTATAATTGCTTCTGCATGACAGAATTATGGATAGTTTTTGCTTTCTAGTTTGTGCTTTTTTTGTATTTTCCAGATTTTCTACAATGGGCATATCATGGTAAAAATTAAGGGCTTCAGAGTCTGGAGACCACACTCTGCTTAGCTGCTGCGTGACCTGTTCCACATTATTTTTCACTTGGTGGTGCTTCTGTTTCTCTCTGTGTAAAAGGCCGATACAGATAATTACCATGGCTCACATGGCACCCCTTGCATTCTGACACTTCACTTCCATTCACTCATTCGAGCCCCAAAACTACTCTGTGAGGTTGTTTTGGGGGCTATCCCTATTTTTTTTTTTGGAGATGGAGTCTCGCTCTGTCTCCCAGGCTGGAGTGCAGTGGCACGATCTTGGCTCACTTCAAGCTCTGCCTCCCAGGTTCACTCCATTCTCCTGCCTCAGCCTCCCAAGTAGCTGGGACTGCAGGCGCCCGCCATCACACCTGGCTAATTTTTTGTTTTAGTGGAGATGGGGTTTCACTGTATTAGCCAGGATGGTCTCGATCTCCTGACTTCATGATCCGCCTGCCTCAGCCTCCCAAAGTGCTGGGATTACAGGCGTGAGCCACTGCGCCTGGCTGGCTATCCCTATTTTATAGATGAGGAAACTGAGGCACAGAAACATTAGGTAAGTTGCCCAAGATCACACAGGGTCCAAGGCAGAATTCAAGTCCAGCTCTTTGGGCTCTGGAGCTTCGCCACTTGGCTCCATTGCCTACCTTACAGGGTAGGGGTGAGAGGACACCTGTGAAGCCCTTAGCACAGTGCGTGGTACATAATTAGTGCTCAATAAATGTTAGCTCTTGTTAGTATTAGCAGTTGTGCAGGGGCCCTGAGGCAGGAGTGGGCCATGGTCTTTTGAAAGCCCAGGGAAAGGGGTATGTTGTTGGGAGGTAGCAGAACTGGATGATACTAGGCCTTTAAAGGTGAGGCTCTTGGGCTTGAGCTTAAGGTCAGTTGGAACCCCTCTTGGGTTTTTAGCAGGGATGTGACAAACTCAGATTTGGGGTTTGCCAATCTTTAAATACCTCTCTGGCCGCAGGCAAGGAGTGAAGCCAAGAGACCCAGAGATGGCTCCCTTTGGTTATAGTGGCTCTCCCCAGACAGATCTGACCATCTATCCCTAGTTCTCAGGCCAGGATAGTGATATCTCCTGGTGTCTGGGCTGGCCACGTGGGCCAGTGCGCAAGAGACAAAAAAAGTCAGCAGTGTGGCACCAGGCTGGTCTGGTGATGCCGGGAGGCTGGGAAGTGCCGGTTTGAAGGCAGGAACAAATTACTCTCCTGGAGACAAGGCCAGGCCAGTTCCTGCCGTGTTACATTATTAAATTTGTAATCTTCATTCTAATACTTTCCAGCAGTGAATAAGAACCAAATTTAAAATGCCGGCTTTATATTTCTGGAACGAAGCTCTTTGTCAAGAACTCTTGAAGCCCATAATTTCTCTCCAGAGGTAAATGTCTAAGTCTTTAAAAAATTAAAATAAAAAAATACAGGAAAACCGCTCTTTAGTTAAGGCTAAGTTTGAATGGTTGACGAACTCAACCCTGGTCAGGAATTGGGAGTGGGGTCTGAATGTCTCCAGCCCCAGAAAAGGCCCAGGCTGGGATGGGGCCTACAGATGCGACTCCTCAATCTGAGCCTTGCTGGGGAAGAAAGCGAGAGAAGCTTCATGCCTACCTCACCCCCAAGTGGTTGGTACATCTGTTGATTTGGGAAAGGCTTTGGTAAAAATTGGAGACCACAGTTCCCAAAGGAATCACCCCTTATAAACCTCTTGTGAGTTTTCTCATGACCCATTTGGTGAATATCAGACCTGGCTGGCGGTAGAATTGGGTACTGTCTCATTCCTGCCTTTATTTTTAGAGACAGGGTCTCACTCTGTCACCCAGGCTTGGAGTGCACTGGCTCAGTCATGGCCCACTGAAGCCGCAAACTCTTGGGCTCAAGTGATCCTCCTGCCTCAGCGTCCCAAAAAGCTGGGACTACAGGTACATGCCAGCCTGCCCAGCTAATTTTATTTTTTTTGTAGAGACAGAATCTCGCTATGTTGCCCAGGCTGGTCTTGAACTCTTGGGCTGAAGCAATCCTCTCACCTTGGTCTCCCAATACACTGGGATTACAAGCATGAGCCACCATGCCCAGCCTTCATTTCTACCTTTAGACCTGGGCAAGGAGGGCCCTGATCTCAGGTCGCCAGCATTACTGGAATGTTCTCTGACCCTCCTCCAGTCAGGCCTCTGGCTTCACTCTTATTACCCACCTGAACTCCTCCTTCTAGGCCTGTTCTAGACGTGGGGACCCTGAAATTCCCTGCCCAAATGGCCCTGAGTCAGCTTTCAGGGTCTGTCTCAACCCCTTCCCTGGCTTCATTCTCCTGAGGATGGATGCATCCATCAGCAGTATCCTGAGGGTGGCCCTGAAGGTGCTGTTTGTGGAGGCGACAGCCGGCACAGATGTGCAGAGTGAGCCCTCTGGATATGGGAGCAGAGGGAGAAAGGGTGGACCATGGCTGAGGGTTGGCTCCCTCCCCCTCCGCATTCATCTGTGGCACTTGGAGGATTCTAAATTTGAGCTGTCCTGGCCTTGAAGGTCATTATGAAGACATATTTGTCAGAATGAAAAGATAGAACATATTTTATTTAATAGCCTGATTTAAACTTTTACATATTTAGAATAAGTATGAAGTCCTCCATTTGTACTCCTGCCCTGGGCCGCACAATCTTGGAGGGGCCTTTGTGTTATCCTTAGAACTGAGAGTGAGCACAGCCCAGGGTGGCCCTTCCTCTCGTGGCCCCATAATGAGGACCTGGTCCAGACACAGCGCTTATATGGCATCCTTATGCAAGTTAGAGGAAGGCACTTCTCTCCCTACCCCCATCCTGGTGGTTGAATTTTAAAAACGCTGCCTCCTCTAGGAGGATGAATCAGAACAAGGTTCCCCTTTCTCCAGTGCCAGCAGGGTGCACGGCTGGGTAAGGGAAAACAGGCTGTACCTCTGCTTGTGCCCCTTCTCAGTCGGGCATTTTTGTGCAGGGAGCACTCTGTCCGGGAGTTCTTCTGACCCCACAGACCCGAACCAGATCTGAAAGGAAAGTGCTGAAACTGGTTTCTGGAGATAGCCACCAAGTCATTTTACATTTTTAATAATCATTCTCATTATGATAGTAATATTTATTATTTCATATATGCCAGGTATTCTGAATACTTTACCTGGATAATCTTACTGAAATGTCAGACTATGAGGGGTATACCATTGTCATACCCATTGTGCAGATGAGGAAACTAAAGCTCAGAAAGGACAGGCCCATCTTTGGCCCAGGGCCATTCAATAGTAAGTTCAGGCCGGGCACGGTGGCTCATGCCTGCAATCCCAGCACTTTGGGAGGCTGAGGTGGGTGGATCTCCTAAGGTCAAGAGTTCAAGACCAGCCTGACCAACATGGAGAAACCCTGTCTCTACTAAAAATACAAAATTAGCTGTGCATGGTGGCACATGCCTCTAATCCCAGCTACTCAGGAGGCTGAGGCAGGAGAATCACTTGAATCTAGGAGGTGGAGGTTGCAGTGAGCCGAGATCACACCACTGTACTCCAGCCTGGGCAACAAGAGCGAAACTCTGTCTCAAAAAAAAAAAAAATTATAATAATAAATTCAAACACTGACCTGCCTGACACTCGAGTCTGTGAGCCCACCCACTGCTCGGCACTGCCCTGGATCATATTTTACAGCATTCTTTATGCAGTCAACAGATATCACTGGCCCACTCCAGTGTGCTGGGCACTGAAGTTATGGTGCTAAATAGGACCAGGACTTTCTCAGCCCAGGAGGAAAGACAAGCAGAGCAGATAACGGTGATTCCATTTAGCAGAGAGTGCTGAGTCCCACCTTGAAGGGTGAGAGGCTGATTACTAGGCTGGATGTGGGGAAGGTGCCCCAGATCACTGGGGTCCTGTGTGATTAGGAAGAAGGTTCCTGGGGTTTATTTACGTCTCAGTGGGGCAAAGCAGGTACATTAGGAAGTGGACACAGGGAAGAAATGGAGCTAGGAAAGGGGGTGGGTGGGACCACGATCAGCTCCTTCTTGGAGATCTGAGTTATAGCATCATCGTCAGGCCTCTGGGGCCTCTGCTTAGAGGAGCAGGACTTAACATCCACCCCTTACCACCATCCTTTTCAAAGTCAGAAAACTGATCAAGAGGAGAAGGAGTCATTTGTGCATTTTCAGGCAGGTCGAGTTGGAACTCAGGCCTCTCAGCCCTCCTCAGCCAGCCATGATCCAGTCCCTTCTCAGGGCTCCTTCCACACCCGGGAGTGGGAGAGTCGCCATTTGTGGTTTTAATTTTTAAAAACGGTATCATGCTTTCACGAGTTACAAATGCTTGTCCAGTTATACTAGCTGGCATTTCCTGAGCACATGCCACATTCCAGATGCCGTGCTAGGATTTCACATATGTTACCTTATACAATCCTTGGAGCAAACCTCTAAGAAAGGTTCTGTCGCTATTCCCACTTTACAGATGAAGAAATTAGGTAATTCCCCCAAGGTCAGACAGCTAGCAAGTGGCAGAGCTGGTTTCCTTGAGTCTAACATCCTCATAACACCGTATATGCTATGTGCACCCATGGTGGCAATTTTGGGAAAATGCAGAGAAAGCACACCAAAAGAAAATTAAAATGTCTCAAATTCTATAATCCAAAAGTAGAATGCTTCACCACTAGGGCTATTTCTCTCTAGGGGGTGTGTGCGCGTGCGCGTGCACACACACAACACATATTTAAACCAAAGCAGGGTCATGCTGTAATACTAGTTTGTAAGCTGAAGCTACCATTTAAAAATCACCTTAAAAGGACCTTCACAGGCCAGTCTCCACAGGGATACTCTGATTTCTAGGATCAGGTCTAGAACTGCGTGCAACTCTTCTGTCAACAGACTTGGCAAGGCAGACCTAGGGACAGCACGAGGCAGCGCACCCTAATAGGCATGGTTCATTTTTGTCCCTGCTTTCTGCTCCCGTTCTTATAGAAAATAAATAAATAAATTTGAAAACTGACAGACCTCCCCAGGATTTTATTCTATGCCTGGCCCTGCATTTAAATGCAAGAAGCAGAAGGCTTGTGAGCTATAAATAGCCCAGGCCTCTTCTGAACAGTGGCGGGGAGAATTTGTAGGTTCTGTCTCCTTCCAACCTGGTGACCTGGATTACTTCCTTCCTGCAGCGGCTGCTTTCTTCACTGCCTCCTCTGTCCATCCTTCATGGAGCAGAGCAAGTCCTCTCTGCAGATGTTTAGTGAGCACCTGCACTGGGCCAGGCCCTAGGTGCTGGGCACAAGGACTTGAGTGAGACACTAGCATTGTCACAGCCTGGAGTGGCAGCGGGTAAACATAGACGCGGACATTCACAAGTGAGAATCATATCTGTTGTGGGACCCCAAGGAGAGGTCCCCAGCTCTGGGAATCAGGGGAGGCTTCCTGGAAGAGAGGATGCTGGAGTTGAAAAATGGAAGGAGGGTAGAGGAGCCTGGGGAGGAGGTAGCCTGGGAGGAGGGGTCTATGGGACCACAGGTGTCATGCTTGGCACAGTGCCTGGCCAGAGCATGCCTTCATTATTATTGGGCAAATCATATGTTTTTTAACAGTGTGTCCTGAGTTCCTTTAGTGGCTCCGTGGCCTGTAATCCAGTGATCTTGGGTAAGAAGGACACTCAGCATTTTGCTAGTCCATGACTCTCAACCTGCGCTGCATGTGCCTTTCGTCAGCAGCCAGGATCCTGATCCCCAACCCAGACCACTCAATTAAAAATCAGGCGTGCAGCCTGGACTCTGTTGCTTCACAAGCTCCCAGGCGATTCTGATGTTCAACCACATTTGGGATTCTCTGTGCTGATCCAGTGTCCCACCTGGGGACCACAGCTCAGTTCCCATCCCAGTCTCCCTGCTGGGTAGGAGTTTATTCTCCCTTGGGTGCCTCTAGCAACAGGAAAGAGAGCTCACAATCTCCCCATTCTGTTGACAGGCAGCTCAACTGTGGAAAATCCTTCTTCTCCCTGGGCCCATTAATCTTCACATGTTGGGCTGGGCACAGTGGCTCATCTCATGACTGTAATCCCGGCACTTTGGAAAGCTGAGGTGGCAGGAGGATTGCTTGAGGCCAGGAGTTCCAGCCCAGGCTGGGCAACATAGCAAGACCACCATCTCTATAATAAATAAAACTCAGCCAGATGTGGTGGCGTGTGCTTATAGTCCTAGCTGCTCAGGAGGCTGACGTACGACGATTGCTGAGCCCAGAAGTTTAAGGTTAAAGTGAGCTGCGATTGTGTCATAGCACTCCAACCTGGACAACAGCAAGGCCCTATCTCTCAAAAAAATAAGAAATTCTCATATTGTGATGACGGGCGGATCACGAGGCCAGGAGATTGAGACCATCCTGGCTAACATGGTGAAACCCTGTCTCTACTAAAAATACAAAAAATTAGCCGGGTGTGGTGGCGGGTGCCTGCCGTCCCAGCTACTCAGGAGGCGGAGGCAGGAGAATGGTGTGAACTGGGAGGCGGAGCTTGCAGTGAGCCGAGATCGCTCCACTGCACTCCAGCCTGGGTGACAGAGAGAGACTCCGTCTCAAAAAAATTATAATAATAAAAAGAAATTCTCATACTGTGATGATACTGGTAAGTGACATTTGTACAGACCTTTGTTGTACACAAAATGCTCTCTTGATTTGGGAGGTAAAAAATATAGAGATTTTAAATTCAGACAGACCCGGATTTAAACCACCCTCTCCCTTTTTTTCTTCTACCCTGTTAGCTGTGTCTTTAAACACATGACATAACCTTGCTGTGTCTCGGTGTCCTCATTTGTAAATAGAGACAATAACAGTGCTTACCCCTCAGGTTATTGGAAGGCTTATGACACTAAGTGTGGTTGGGTGCAGTGCAGCCGTAAGGCATTCACTTCATAGTAATTTATTATTATTACTGTTCTGTAAGACATTTTCATGGTAAATTCAACATCCAAGACATTTTTATTGAGTGCTTAATACATGCCCAGCCCTGCTCCAGTTGATGGAGTACATTGTGAAAAAGTTATTACTAAATGGCAGTCACTGTTATCAGCATCATCAGTATCATTTTTTTTAAGTGGGTAGTAAAATCACCCACTTAAAAAATTATTTTTAGAGACAGGGTCTTTCTCTGTCACCCAGATTTTAGTGCAGTGGTGTGATCATAGCTCACTGCAGCCTTGAATTCCTGGGCTCAAACCTCAGCCTCCCAAGTAGCTTGTACAGCAGGCACAAGCCGCCTTGACTGGCTAGTTTTCAAAATTTTTTGAGAGACAGGGTCTCGCTATGTTGCCCAGGCTGGTCTCGAACTCCTGGGCTGAAATGACCCTCCTGCTTTGGCCTTCTAAACTGCTGGGATTATAAGTATGGACCACTGCACCCACCTCCTGTCTCCTCTTCATGGTCAACTTCATTTATCAAGCAAATCTAATTTCTAGTAGCCCCTGACAGTGGAAAAACTAAAATTGGCAGTCAAGAGACCAAGTTCTAGCCCAGCGCTGCCCAATAGACATTTCTGCAATGATGAAAATGTTCTGTGCCTGCACTGTGCGATACTGTAGCCACTAGTCACAGGTGGCTACTCAGCACTTGAAATGTGATCCCTGCAACTGAGGACTGAATTCTTAATTTTTTTTTAAAGTTTAAGTGTTCACATGTGGCTAATGGCTACTCCAGATGTGCTGAGCTGTGAGACCTTGAGCAAGTTTCTTCCCCTGTCTGGGAAGATGAAGAAATGCCATTGGAGAAGCCAGAAGAGAATGTCTGGAATAGAGACTGAGGTCTGGAGCCAGCTAGATCTGTGGTTAATTTCAATTCTGCCAGATACCACCTCTGTGAGCCTGGGCAAGTTACTTAAACTTTGTGTGTCTCAGTTTCCTAGTTTGTAAAGGGATCCTAATTATAATCACCTCACAGGACTAAAATGAGGTTTAAATGAGATACGATTCTACAAGTGCCTTATTCCTGATAGGCTCTTGACAAATTGTATGGAAGTGGTTTTAGCTGGTATTGCAGACACTTGTGTTCCCCTATTGCATCTTTGGAAAACTCTGAAAATTCTTGTTTTTGTTATAAATGCTTATAAAATGCTTACTTTTAGGGCTGGAGTTTATAACCTTGAACCTCTTGAAATTACGTTCAAGTTGTATCATTGTGCATCTCTATTTTTTTTTTTTTTTCCTGGAGAAAACCAAAACTTTTCTCTGGGGAAAAGCAGCTCCCAGCAGATTTTCAAAGGAGTCCAAAAGATTTAGGAACTCTGGGAGGGGAGGAAACTGGTGTTCATGGTGCATGTGGAACAGGACAGGGTGTGATCAGCAAGCCAGTGGACTTTGGCTCCAGGCGGCCGGTGTTCCCGTCCCAGCCCTGCCACCTCCAGGCTGCGTAAATTTTGTTGAACCTCAGCTTCCCTATCTATAAAATGGGTATAATATAAGACATATTTCACAGATTGTTGTGGGGATTAGATAAACAAATCCATGTTAATTGAGTAGCATAGCACCTGTCACCCGTGCCCAATGAATGCTAGCTGCTTTTATCATCACATCGTCATTGTCATTATCATCATCGCCACCATCTCTTCCATCAATTGTATGCCAGCTTGGTGTGAGGTGTGTCAGTTTTTCAGTCTGCCCTCTCCTCCTGCCCCATCATCTCAAACCTCATCTCACACCACTCCCCCTTGCTCTGTCTGCTCCAGCCACTCTCGTCTCCTTCGAACATACCAGACATGTCTGCCACGGGCCTTTACGTTTCTGTTCCCTGTGTTGGGAATGCTTTCTCTGATCACTCTGTTTCAGAGAGAAACTCCTATCCCTGCCCTTATTGCCTTCTAGCATCCTCTCTATCTTTCTGTATTTGTCTGGCTTGATGTTTGCTTGCCTCTCCTAGCATGGAGATTCAGGAGGACAGTTCGTTTTTCCTTGTCTTGTTTCCTGCTCTAGGTCCAGTGCCTAGAACCGTGTTGGACATGTAGAAAGTGCTCAAAAAAAATACTTTGTGAGTGAATGAGTGAATGAATGAATGAATCTCATCTAGTCTGAGACAGGCTCCTGTAGGGCTCTCAAACTTCACATGATGTCTCTTGTGTAATATTTTCAATCAACAAATAATCTCTGAACCCTCCTTTCTGCCAGCTTAGGCCTTAGGTTCCAGGGATAGAAAGATGAGTGAGAGAATTCCAGTTCTTGAGGAGTGTACAGGCACATGGGGTGACCATGGTACAGTTCTCTTCTAAGCACTTAGACTATAGTTGTAACTACAGAATTATGCTGCCATCCTGTTTGCTGTCTGTCTTCCACCCTAGACTAGAAGAGCTCAGTGGGTGAGGACCCCCATCTGTCTTGTTCAATGCTGCGTCCTCGGCACTAGTATGAAGGCTGGCACATATATGTAAATGGGGTGCATGAATGAACAAATACAGGGTGCAGCAGGATAGGGACTAGCAGAGAGGTCTGTGGGTGTACCAAGGAGGGGTGACTGGCCCTGCCTGGGGAAGGATGGGATGGGGCTGTGAGAGATTCACACGGGAGGTGAGGAACCTTCTGTCCCTTGCCTCGACTCTCACTTGGCCAACCATGGAGCAGTTTGGGAATGATGGTGGGGGTGTGGTTCCCCTCCCTCAGAGGCTGGGTGGCCCTTCCATATTTCAGCTTCTGCCTGAGCTGCTGTCCTTGGAGTTAAAAATAGGGAAGGATGGGAGCACAAGGACATGCTGTCCTCTGCCACTGAGCAGGGATTCTGCTACCTCTTCTCAAAGGGGGCTGTAGGGCAGCAGGTTTGAGAAGCCAGAAGCTTAAAGAATTATCCCTTCCTGCCCCCTTGAGGACAGGCACAGACTTCTCTTTGCCCAGTGTGGCATGACTCTGAATGAGCTGTGTGGAATGTCACAGCTGGAAGGGCTCTCTGGGGTAGGCGGACATCTGGCAGGAAGCCCATCACCCTCCAGGCCTGGGATCTTGGCAGACAACACCAATCAATCAAGGCCCCCTTTCCTGGGACCATGGCAGGCATCACCAATCAATCATGGCATCCTTTTCTGCCAAGTCCAGGCACAGTCTAAGAATTCTTAGCACAGGGTATTTCAGGCAACAGCTACCAGAGTTGGCAAAAAAAAAAAAAAAAAAGAAAACCTATGTATCATCCCCAATCTAGTCCACTTCTCTCATGGTGGGAAAACTGAAGCTCAAGAGAGGAGCAGAAAGTTGTCTGATGTCACACCGGAAGTCAGTAGTGGAGCTGGGACAAGACCCAGGAGTTCTCACTCCCTGCCAAGGCTTTTTCTTTTTCTATCCCCTGTTGCATCCTCTTTTCTGCAGGAACTAAGATTTGCAGGTTTGTGTATGCGAAAGAATGGCTTTTAGGCTAGGCATGGTAGGTAGTTCATGCTTGTAATCCAAGCTCTTTGGAAGGCCAAGGCAGGAGGATCCCTTGAGCCCAGGAGTTGGAGACCAGCTTGGGCAACATGGCGAGACCCTGTCTCTACAAAAAATAAAGTAATTATCCAGGCTTGGTGGTGTGTAGTACCGGCTGAGATGGGAGGATCACTTGAGCCTGGGAAGTCAAGGCTGCAGTGAGCTGTGATTGTGCCACTGCACTCCAGCCTGGGTGACAGCCTATCTCTTATAAAAGAAAAAAAAAAAAAAAGAAGAAGAATGGCTTTTAATCCAGGGATTGCAGGCTCCCAAACTTTATGCAACATACTGTGTGTATGTGCTGGCAGGTCCTTTTCTAAGAGAGAGTAGCTTTTATCCACTCCCAAGAGGCTCCTTGAACAATGAAGAAGGCAGAGAAATCAGAAAAGAGTGAATGGAATGGGCTAGAATCTTGCTACTCAATGTGTGGGCCACAGACCAGCAGCATTGACCTCACCTAGGAGTTGTGAGAAGTGCTGAATCTCAGGCCCCACCTGAGACCTGCTGAATTAGAATCTGCATTTTAACAAGATTCCTGTGTGATCCATTTGCACATTAAAGTTGAGAAGCCATGAGCTGGAATTCCTTCAGCCTTTGGTGTCTGTGTGGAGGACCTGCTGAGTGCCAGCCAGTGTCCCTGCCCTCATTTGAGAGAGAGAAAAGCAACCAAGGGAGGTGCCTTAGCCAAGGTGGGGCCCAGCTTCTCTGCAACTCTGCTAAGGCCAAATCAAGGAAGAGATTTGTTTAAACTGCTTCAAGATAAAGGATAGCGCTGCTCATCCAAGGAGTAGGAGACCCAGCGTGCGTTAAGCATGTATGTGGGAGGTTCTTGAGAAGCCTTAGTGGACACTGGGTTAGCTGCTATCCTGCAGAACAGTCTGGAGAGAGACGGATTTTAAGCAGTTTTGGGACGTGGATGAGCCAAGCTGGAGCAACAGGGGATGTGCTGCCTAAGGCCAACATCACTACAGCCTCAGTGCTGAGAACAGCTAGTCCAAGGTGGGTTTGCTCTGGTGAGTGCTGGTGCCAGGTGGTTTCAGGTGGTCTTAACTAAGCCTTGCTAGCTCTAGTCTTGGAGGCTCTGGAGGAAGCTGGCCATCTGTTGATTGAGGAAGGTGGTGATGGGGAGCCTGAGGCTTGCCCTGGTGGGACTGGAAGGAAGGAATTCCCTCATTTCCAACCCCACCCCATCCCCTACATCTCTGCTTCCCATGTACCCACTGCACGTTTTCATCCGTGGGCCTTTGTGGGGATACATGTGCACATGTGTTATCTGAAGATGACATCCGAGGGGACAGACTGTACAAGTTGGCCTTGTCTGGCCTTTGCAGCAGGTTTTCCACACTGCTTCTGGCTTAGGGGGAGCCTCCCTGCCTGTGGGCTCCTTGACCCTCTTGGGGTCAGTGTAGAATAGGGTTAACAGCCTGGCCTGGGAGATGAGATGAAGTGGAAGGAGATTTATATAAGCTTTATTGAGATATAATTCATATACCATACAGTTTACTAGTTTAAAGTGAACAATTCAGTGGGTTTTAATATTTAATTTATTCACAGAGTTGTGCAACCATCACCACAGTCAATTGTAGAATATTATCGTCAACCCTATACCCGTGAGCATTCACATCCCATTTGCCCCTCCCTCTGGTCCTTGGCAACCACTAGTCTGCTTTCTAGTTCTATGGATTTACCTATCTTGGACATTTCAAATACGTAGAGTCATAGAAGAGATGATCTTTTATGACCAGCTTCTTTCACTTGCATAATGTCAAGGTTCATATATGTTGAAGCATGTATAGGTAATGCTTTGTTGTTTTTTTTTTGTTTTTGTTTTTGTTTTTTTTGAGACAGGGTCTCCCTGTCAACCAGGCTGGAGTGCAGTGGTGCCATCTCAGCTCACTGCAACCTCAGCCTCCTGGGTTCAAGTGATTCTCCTGCCTCAGCCTCCTGAGTAGCTAGGATTACAGACACACACCACCACAGCCCAGCTAATTTTTGTATTTTTAGTAGAGACAGTGTTTCACCATATTGGTCAGGGTGATCTCAAACTCCCGACCTCAGGTGATCCACCCACCTTGGCCTCCCAAAGTGCTGGGATTATAGGCGTGAGCCACCATGCCCGGCCCAGTACTGCATGCTTTTTATGGCTGAATAATACTTAATTGCATGGATATACCACAGTTTGTTCATTCGTCCATGGATGGCCATTCAGGCTGTGTCCACTTTTTGACTGTTACAGTTAATGCTACTGTGAACATTTGTGTGCAGCTTTGTTTGAATGGAGCGGATTTGTTTTGCATTCTTCCTCTCCAACCTTTACTTGCTGTGGGACCTTGGGCAAACTGCTTCAGTTCTCAGAGCCTCAGTTTTCTGAGAGTTTCTGAGAATCAGGGACACTACTCTCTATCTCAGAGTATTGTTTATAATAGTAGCTGCAATTTACTGAGTGCCTGTATCTTACTGTGACAGTCGTTGTGCACATGTTATGTCATTGAGTTCAGTCCCACAAGGGGTATGAGAGATCTATTTCACAGTTAACATGGATCTGTGCTATCATGGGCTAATATGCTACCTTGTTGGAACAAACCATTTGGTGTCTTGAGGAGTTCTCTTTCCAGTGTTTGTGGAGAGGAGGGAGCTTCCTTGCCTCCCCTACATGTTTGGCAGCATCTGTCTGTTAGAGGCCATATTTCTTTCCCTTCCTTTTCTTTTAAAAGTTTTGAAATACACATAGAGAAAAGTGCAGCAGCTGGAAGAATTCCCTCATGGTTCCATCATTCCTCTGCCATGAGACCAGCTTGTCCCAGATAGGGCCTGCCCCTTCACCCTGGGTCCCAGATGAGTTCGTGGGATAGAACCATAGCTAACTCGTAAAGTATGTTAAGTATGGCTGGGCATGGTGGTTCATGCCTGTAATCCCAGCACTTTTGGGAGGCTGAGGCAGGCAGATCATTTGAGGTTAGGAGTTTGAGACCAAACTGGCCAACATGGTGAAACCCCATCTCTACTAAAAATACAAAAAGGAAAAAAAAAATTAGCCAGGCATGGTGGTGCATGCATGTAACCCCAGCTACTTGGGAGGCTAAGGCAGGAGAATCACTTGAACCTGGGAGACGGGTTGCAGTGAGCCAAGGTTGTGCCACTGCACTCCAGTATAGGCCACAGAGCAAAAGTCCATCTCAGAAAAATAAGGTATGTTAAGTATGAACAAGAACTTTGTTCTGTAAGCCACTGAAATTTGGGGGTAACTTGTTATTGCAGCATAACCTAATAAGAGCTTACTAGTACATTTAATCCTTACAACAATAGGTGGAGTGGATTCTATCATTTTTCCTGTTTTGCAGGGGAACTTAGACTCAGATTAGTTCAGTAAGTTTATTTAGTTTACTCAGAAAGTGGCAGAGGCATGCTTCAAGTCCCAAACTCAGTTTTTCTGGCTCCAGAGCCTGTTCTCCTAAGAAGACGGAAGTACGTGGGCTGTATTTGGTGAATGATGAGTAATTCCGTGTGGATAGAACACCTGGTATGTGCATCATGGCAGACTTGTAGTATAGGTTTGGGGCAAATCCTGGAAGTCTTGAATGCTGTGTGGATTGTGTAGCTTCCCAGTGCCATATGGGGCCATAGACTCTACCTTTTGCCCACAACCCAGTTCCTTCCAAGGCTTGTTTAGCTTGTCCCAAATGCTGATGGAAATAGCTTCCTGAGGAAAAACAGCTTTTTGTGGGACTGTGAATTGTCTTCCTTCCAATGATTGTGGAAATGCCTCTTCTTTAGAAAGTCTTTCCACATTGGCTCGAGGAGAGTAAATGACTTTCCCCTGACCACCCCTGCTCAGCATAGGACCTCCCCAACCCCAAATGCATTTACTCTGCATCTGGAACTTTTTGCCTTCAGTTTTCATTTGGTTCCACATTTTCCTCTTCACTCTATCTCCATGTTTTTATTTGTCAGTATAACCTTCAGTTGTACTGGAAGGTAGTGCTTGCATGTACAATGAAATCTTCTGATTTTATTTGCAATCAAGTATAATTCAGCATTGAATCAATTCTGCTTACAACCCAGACCGTGCCTCTAACTCCAGTGCTGCATTAATTACCCTTCTCCTCAGCTCCCATAATACTCTGTGTATATCTCTGCCCTTACATTATGCTACGTTGTAATTATTGCACAATTGCCCCTTTACTTGCCTATCTATTCTGGTAGACTGGGAGTTTCAGCAAGGTCTGGGTTTAATTCATCTATGTTATGAGTCTACCGCACAGGATCTGGCCCTGAATAGGCAATTAGTAAAGAGTGTGTTGAATGAATAATAATTACTTATCTGTTTCATGTCCCCCCCACACTCTACTACCTGTAAGTTTCTTAAGGTCAAAGACTGTATCTTATTCAAATCCCCAGAGACAAGAACAGCATGGCATAGGAAATGAACTCAATAAATGTATATTTTGTTGGATAAGTGAGAGTAACGTTTCCTTCCAGGGGCATAACCCTTTAGAGTTACAAAGCACATTCCATATTTATTACCCAGTTGATTCTCACAAAATCTTTCCCCTCCCTCTCTAGGGTTCTCAAATCCTTATCATGTGCCTTTTGCCCCTCTTGCTTTCACTCACTTCATCTCTGTGTCTTTATGATCTCTCCTCTTTCCTCTTCAAATCCTCTTGGAAAAAGGTCTGAGGCACTTATCCCTCCCTCCAGTGTAGAGCAGCGTAAAGGGCAAAAATTGCACTCTGGCCTGCGTTGAACCAGGATCACATCCCACATGCCAGCTTTGTAATTATGGGCAGGTTCATTAACCCCTGAGCTTCAGCTTTCCCTTCTGAAAATGAAGACAATACTTACCTTCACTGGTGGTTGTGAAGATTACATGAAATGATGAGTGCTGAGCACCTCTCATAGGCTCTGGTTCAACTCGATAAATGGAAATTCCTGTCTTTATGTGGGAAGATGATTCTTTGAGGGTGGAATTTCAGGCACCAGCAAGCCAGTGGGAAGGAATTGTGGTTTGAAAACAACCACAGATAGGGATGCTTCGTAGTTCTAAAATCTCCCTTGTGAGCCCCACCTCTGCCCTAGGCAGGCCCAGTCCTCTGTGCTCAGTCAGCACCACGGACAGTTCCTGCACACGCCAGTTCTTTGCTGTGGACTTAATCGCATTTTAGAGGCCTTCAGTTGCAAGTCACAACTTTATATACCACCAAGGGAGCTAAAACATGTCAGAATTTAACTCTGACATGCCACTGGTTGCCATTCACATCTTAATTTTGGAGATGTTGAAAAAATGCTTGTCTTAGAATCGATGAAATAATGAGTTTACTAGAGGTGGTATCAGTGAGCAGTTGACCATTGACCTTTAGAGAGGTTAATAGTAATAGCCAGTATTTATTGAATGTCAACTGTATTACAGGCCTTTTCCCCTCCTTCCTGTCCTGTTCTGGGTGCTGTTTGCCCTGTATACACATTCTCTTAACAAAGATTACATTTGGGGAATATAAATGTGAGCCAGATATACAGTAAATCAACAGGCTTTCCACCATCTTTTTCCTCAAAATCTTCCAATCTTTAGCCTCACTTCTTCAGAACATTGCTTCCTGCTGAATGATAGTCTAACGTGTTAACCTTTCCAGTTCACACCGTGGTTAATCCACCTAAAAGGCATTTCAAATGCATACCCTGTAACCCAGCAGCTGCACTCCTAGGTATGTGCCCTGAAGAACTGCACAGAAATGGTCACCAAAAGACACATACAAGAATGTTTTTGGCAGAGCTATTTGTAATATCTCATTACTGGAGGCTACCCACCCAGATGCTCATCAGCAATAGAATAGATGAAAATTATTTTGATATATTCACACAATGTACTACAATAAGTCATGAGAATGAATGAACTGCAATGAAACAATCAACATGGATGAACCCCACAAACGTCGTGTTGGGTAAAAGAAGCCAGATGCTAAAGAATATACACTAGGTGATTTTATGTAGTGAAAACTACAAAATAAGCAAAACCAGTCTGTGCTGTTAGAAGTTAGGGTAATGCTACTTTTGGTGGAAAGTAACTGGAAGTGGCATGTGGGCCTTCTGTAGGGCACTGGTAATGTTCTGCTTCTTGATCTGGGTGCTGGTTCCGTAGAACTTTGTAATAGTCATCAAGGTATACACTTACAACTGTGCGATATATAATTGTACAGTTTTCTTTATGTATATTATCCTGCAACAAACAGTTGTCTTAAAAAGCACCTTTCTCCAGAAGATAAGAGAATGCTAAGACTTTTGTATGCAGGATGATGGGTAAGAAATTTGAGGGGCAGCTGGTCACATGGAAGATTTGGAATAATTCATTGTGAATAGAATGTAGAGAACACTAGGGAAATGGAAATGTAAATTGGGACCAGGTCAGAAAGACAGTGTGTGTTAGATTGGAATTTATTCTGCAAGCAATGGGGTGCCATTGAAGGGTTTTAATCAAAGGGATGGTGTGTTCAGGATTGAGATTTGGGAAGCTCAGGCAGGCCACTGAGTAGAGAAGAAACTGGCAGAAGAGGACACTCTGGTGGTGTGGACACCAGTTAGCATAGAGGAGGAAACTGAGCCACAGAGAGGTTGAGTAACTTTCTCAAAATCACACAACTAATAGAGTGACTGGGGCCAGGTTTACAACCCAGGCATTCAGGCTCCATTGTCCATGCTTTTAACCATTAGGCCATGCTGCCTCCTGAAGATGCTCTAGAAATAGTGAAAGGCTGTTGACTGAAAAGGAGCAGGGAGGTTAGCAATTAGGAGACCAGAATTTATTTTTCCTGAAACAGGTTCTCTGTCACCCAGGCTGTAGTGCAGCAATGTGATCATAGCTCACTGCAGCCTCAAACTCCTGGGCTCCAGCAATCCTCCCACCACAGCCTCCTGAGTAGCTGGGACTACAGTGTGGGCTAGTAATTTTCAAATTTTTTATAGAGGCAGGGTCTCACTATGTTGCCCAGGCTGGTCTTGAACTCCTGGGCTCAAGCAGTCCTCCCATCTTGGCCTCCCAAAGTGTTGGGATTACAGCCATGAGCCACTGTACCCAGCCTGAATTCTAATACCAACATGGCCTTTAACTCCTGCCCCTCTTTGGGCTTCAGTTGCCCTCTGTACAATAAAGGCATTGATCTGGATGATCCCTAAGTTCCCTCCAGATGAAACCATCTCTTATTTTAAGGTAGGGCAGATTCCTATAGCTCCAGGGAGAAGGGAAAGGTTAGGGCCCTCACAGAAGTAATCAGGGTTGTGCTTCCTCCACCCATCCTTGGAGACACAGCCAGAGGCAACATCAGTGCTCTGGAGGCCTGAGTATCTGCAGATGGCTCTCAGCCCTTGATTTTCAGATGGACTTCAAGACCTGGACAAGGGAGGCATGTGAGGCCCAAGTCACTGGGAATAACTAGGCCAGGGAGAGGCTGACCATGGAGGAAGAAGAGGCAGCAGTCTCCAGGGTATTTATCTCAGAGATACAGGAAGAGTAGTGGCTGTGGGAAGGGGAAGCAGTGAGCCAGGGGCCTTGGTGCCTTTCGCATCCTGGTTTAAAATAACCCAGTCACCCAGAGCTCTTGTGTCTGGGGGAACTTCACAGGCTTCTCTATGGACTTGGAGTGGACACTCACACTGACCAGGATGTGGTTAGTGGTTTTAGAGCCTGGGGACCTGGAACAGGTCATGGAGCCTCTCTTGGCTTGAGGCTTTTCATCTGGAAGTCAAAGCTGATAATGCCCATCTTCAATAAAATGTCAAAGTGGGGACTGGTTGAGTTCTCTCCTTCTCCCTCCCCCCAACACATCCCTGAGGTCTCGTGGTTAAGAGTATATGATGATCTGTTTTCACACAGACCTGGTTTCAAGCCTAGCTCTGTCTTATCTGGTATAACCTTGGACAAGTTGCTGAACTGCTCTGAGCCTGTTTCCTTATTGTAAAATTAGGATAATAATACTTGTCTTTCAGTGTTATGGTGGGGTTAAATTATATATGTGTATATAATTTGTACATGGTACAGGGTAAATGCTAAAAACAATAGAATCTGTTTTCATAATTTATCATCGTTTTATTATCCTGTTCCTTATGAATACTTGCTTTTGGGAGAACGTACATTAAACACATTCATATTCAAGTATAAACAGCAGAGTGACATCTACTTGTTTTCTTTACCAGAGAGAATTTCCATTTTTCTTGGGGACACATCCTAAAGCCAATTCAATTTAACACACTTTCAGTGGGGATGGGCAGTGTGGGCGCTATCCCTGGTGCTGAATGGAAGTAAATGACGAATGAGCTCACGCTGTAAACACTGACATCGACTAGGTGGATGAGAACTGTGTTTCAAGGTGCCATGGAATAGTTACCCCAAGAGAAGTGAAGATTGAAGTGCCCCGGGACTCAAGGAGTCTGATGAGGGACGTCTTTGTGGAAGACATGGCATTTGAGTTCTGGGATGGAGCTTGGAGAGTTTACTTTAGGGTGCATTTAAAACATGGCTTTGGAGCCAGAATAGCCTGGGTTTGAAGTCCAGCTCCACCATTAGTAGTCGTGCATGTCCTTGGGAAAGTTACTTAACCTTCTCGATCCTCATTTTCTTTCTCTGTAAAGGGGGGCAGTAGCTATCTCATGGTTTATTGTGAGAATTAAGTGGGAGATACCTTTGTAAAACGCTTGGCATGGCATCTAGCACAATGGTAATAACCATATTAATAATAGTCAACTTTGTTGAGGGCTGACCGTGTGTCCCAGCCCACCTAGGCCATCCTGAGGGTTATATGTTATTACATTTTTACGTTGCTTGCTTGTTAACATTTAGTGCTCACATAGCCCTGAGATTCTGGTGCTTTTATCCCTATTATATGATGAAGAAACTGAAGTACAGAGTGCCTGATAAGTTATAGGTGTTATTTAAAGCTAAACTCTGGAGGATGGTTAGAAATTTGATAAGGAGGAAAGGAGAGGAGTGAGAACCAGGATGAGGAAGTTATTGAGGATGTACAGTATTTCTCAGGATGGAGCACTGAGGTGTCTGGCTGGGCTAGGATATAGAGACTGCGAGGGAGAGCAGTAGCTGATGGGGAGGGAGTCAGAAAATGGAGAGTCTTGGATGCCTGGGTGCAAAAACTGAACCTAATTCAGCAGGCAGTGAAGAAACATTCTGAGGTTTTTGTTTTTGTTTTTGTTTTTGTTTTGAGATAGGATTTTACTCTGTTACCCAGGCTGGAGTGCAACCAGCCTCAACCTCCCAAGCTCAAGCGATCCTCCTACCTCAGCCTCTCTAGTAGCTGAGACTACAGGTGCCCACCACCATGCCCGGCTAATTTTTGTATTTTTTCTTTGTAGAGGTGGGGTTTCGCTATGTTGCCCAGGCTGGTCTGAAACTCCTGGGCTCAAGTGATCCACCTGCCTGGGTCTTTCAAAGTGCTGGGATTACGGGCATGAGCCACCACGCCTGGCTAAGGTTTTAAATAAGATGGTGGCATGACTGAAGCTGTGATTTATTTATGAATTTGTTTGTATTTACTTTCATTTGCATTATAGAATTAATTAAAATTCAAATGACATAGAAGCATACAAAAGAGAAATAAATTTCCTTCCCAATGTGCTGGTTGGGTGTAAATGGGTACAACTACAGTTATGATGCGGGAGCCCACCTGTGTGAAGATTTTTGAACTTTTACTTGCTTAGGGTGCCAGCCTGTCTTAGGTCAGGTGTCCCCAAACCAGACCCTGAGATGAGATTCGTGTGGAGGCAGTAATGAAGGAAGTGCCCCCAGAACAGACCCAGGGAAGCAGAACAAGACAGGGCAGGAGACACGCAATGGTGTGCTCTCAGGCAGGTCCCGAAAGGGTGGCCCCAGCCCCGCTGTGGGGTTACTCTGGGGGCTGCGTGAAGCCTCAGAGTTGTTCTGACCCAGGGCAGAGGAGGTGAGGGTTCATCCTCCCATTTCATTTAGTCTTTGATGAAGGGGCAGGGCAAGGGCAGGTTAAGGGTCATACATTTCCAGACACTTCTAGCTCTGCCTGTGTGGGGGCAACATGGGCTCAGTAGCCCAAAGAAAGACACCCCCACACCCCACCCCAGAAAAAGGTGCCAGGTACTGGCTGTGGGAAGCCACAGCACATAGCATGCTACAGTGGGGAGGGGCTCACAGAAGTGGTAAAAAGGGGGTCTTGGAGGAGGATCACATTGTTCACTACAGTGGGTCAAGTGAGGGTCTATTTCTGGGTCCTGATGGACGACAAGCAGAGGCTGTTCATTTCTCCCTGGCTCCCGTCAGTGTGTTTTATCAGCAGGTGCAGCACTTAGAAGCGTGTTTAACATCTCAGGGGCTTCCACCTCACAAAAGGGTGTTCAATAGATGTCTGTTGAGAGAATGAAAGGGCCATGCTTCAGGGCCCGGGAGCTGGGTTGAGACCTGGTGGTGAGCAGTCACTAGAGAATGGTTTAGTAAGCCGCCCTGATGGATCGATGGGCTGGAGCCACACTGAGAGATCAGAGAGGGTGTGGTGGGTGACTTGGTGGCCAGAGGCTGTTCTCCGAGGAAGTTAGTTGGTGAAAGAGGTGGGAGAACTAGAAAGGGCCCGAGGATGGAGAGGCAGCAGACGCAAGGCCCAGAGAGGACAAATGGGGGAGGAGGTCATGGTGAGTGATGGAGATGGATCAGCCACAGCCAGGAGAAGGACGGCCCCTTCCTTTCAGAAAGGAGGGGAGGGCCAGGCAGGGTGAAAGGTCAGGATGGTGACTATTAGTCAGGGTTCTCTGGAAGGACAGAACTAATAGGATAGATGTATATATAAAGGAGAGTTTATTAAGGAGTGTTGATTCACACGATTACAAGGCAAGGTCCCACAATAGG
This sequence comes from Homo sapiens, assembly GCF_000001405.40. NCBI lineage: Eukaryota > Metazoa > Chordata > Mammalia > Primates > Hominidae > Homo > Homo sapiens. The sequence continues at coordinate 44,774,595 of NC_000020.11, read as the reverse complement.
CAGTCTGCAAGCTGAGGAGCAAGGAAGCCAGTCTGAGTCCCAAAGCTGAAGAACTTGGAGCCCAGTGTTTGAGAGCAGGAAGCATCCAGCATGGGAGGAAGATGCACGCTGGGAGGCTAAGCCAGTCTAGTCTTTCCACATTCTGCTTGCTTTTATTCTGGCCATGCTGGCAGCCGATTAGATGATGCCACCCAGATTGAGGGTGGGTCTGCCTTTCCCAGTCCACTGACTCAAATGTTAATCTCCTTTGGCAACACCCTCACAGAGACACCCAGGAATGATACTTTGCATCCTTCAATCCAATCGAGTTGACACTCGCTATTAACAATCACAGTGACATTTGGAAGTGAGGAAGAGCAGAACAAAGGGAACACATCTCAGCCACGTGGGATGGATGGATCTTGGTGGGGGTAGTTGGGAAAGCACTGGAACAGTCACTTTGGGGGCCATGGCCCAGTTAGCAAGAGAGGATGCACAGGAGGGGTAGGTGGTAGAGGTTGGATGGTGGACATTGCTGTGGTTGGGTCCAGTCGTGGTCCCTAGCTTGGGGAAGGTGGTGTGTCAAGGGAAAAAAATGAGTCTACAAGGGTGTCAGCAAGACAGTTGGCAAGGGCAGGTGTGGGGGCATTGGAAGGTCTTTCTCCCTCTGCAGTGGTTTGGCTTTTTATGTTTGGCACCTACTTTGTGCCCGCACTATGGGAAACGTCTGTCATTTAAGCCTCTCAACAGCTCCGTGGGAAGATGCCGTCCAGCTTGCCCCGGGTCTCCATACCTGGGCCTTCTGACTGCAAAGGCATGCTCACCTGTGTGGGGAGCCAGGGCTGCTGGGAGGCAGATCCTAGGGCCTGGTTGGGAACTGCTTTGAGGGCTGTAGGATGCCACACAGATGCAAGGCACAGCTCTGGGGGACTGAGTTGTTTGTCATGCTCTGCTCCTCCCTCTTCCGGGAGAAATGTGTCAGACCCAGGTAGGTGGAGATGGATCCGGGGTGGGGGCACCTGAACAGCGCTCAGCAGAGAGGGAGGGAGCCGAGGCAGGTGTGTGCTGCCTGCCTGCAGGGTGCCCAGTCATGGGTCTGTATCCCTAGTGTGGGGTGTGGGGGGGGTGTTTGTTCCTGCACGTCTGACAGGGACATATGTACAGTGCTGTGTGTGTGTGTGTACAGGGACATCTCTGTCTGAGTCTGTTTCTGAATGTGCATGTGAGTGGTTCTTTCTTTCTCTGTGTCACTGTACCTGCTGTACACAGAGAAATAACAGAAACAGTGGAGATAGAGGGTCGGGGGAGGCTGCAGATGCAAGCTAGGGAAAGAACAGATGATGGAATGGAGTAGAAACACAGATATAGGGGCACACACGCTCTCCCACGTGTTCAGAAACACGCAGGGAAGATGTGTATACACCTACCCACTTAGCCTCAAACACACAGAGCGACAGGCATGTGGAGACCCCTGGGAGCACACTCAGACCTGCATTAACACACTGTCTTTGCATGCATCTTACTGTGTGTGTGTGTTGCTGTGTTTTTCTGAGTGTGGGTGTCTGTGTGTCTGAATAACAAAGACACGTGGGAGACAGAAATACGAGGCTACACGTTCTGAGAAACAGAGTGTTTGTATCTACGCATGCATGTGTGTGTGTACACGTGTGTGTGATTCTTAGAGGCAGGGAGGAAGGAGAGACCATCCTGGAGCTGGGAGGAGGAGGGAGGCCAGGAGAAGGCCGGCGGGAGCTGTCCTGGCTTGCCCTGCTCCTGTACGCAGGCCCAGCTCTCTTGTCCTCTGGCAGGAGGAGGATGACTGGGTGTGATTGGGGCTGCTTTTCCCCAGTGGGTCAATCAGCAAGCATTGAAGGATCCTCTTGGGAATCAGCCCATGTCTGGACTTTGTGGGACCATGAAAAAGATCCCACTAATGATCTACCCCACCTCTAGCAAGCCTACAGTCCCTTGAATCACTAGGCCATGGAGCAGGGAGCAGACACCCTCCCGGGGCTGTGTCCTGGCTCCCCACCTTACTAGCTCTATGGGCGTGGACAAGTCCTGACCTCTCCGTGCCTCCTGTTTTGGGTACTGGATGGGGGTGAACAGCAGCATCCACCTTACGGTTGGTTGTGAGGATTAAGGCTGCTCTCAAGGCAGCCACAGTTATTAGTTGAGCTCTACAATGGTCTAGACCCTGTTCTTGGTGCTGAGGCTTCAAGAGTGAACAAAATTCCCTGTCCTCATGGAGTTTATGGTCTTCGCAGAGGAAGCTGGCCAAAACACCAATATTGTTTAACGCATTTGGGTGGTAAGTGTTAGGAGGAAAACCAAAGCAGGAGTCAGGGCAGAGAGGGGCAGGGGGTGGGAGAAGGCTGCTGTTTTGGAGGGGCCAGGAGAGGTCAAGAAAGATCTTGGATAAGATGATGTTTGACCACAGAATGGAAGGAGTGGGCGGCTGATGGGGGCCATTTAGCCTCATAAGAGCCTGTTATTCTCCCACTTGACAGTTGTGCAAATAGAGGCACACAGAGGCTGAGTAATTTGCCTTAAGTCTCCCAGCCACTGAGATAGATATCCAGGATTTGAACCCATGCCATCTGGTTTCAGTGCGAGTAGTCCTCAATCAAGGGTGATTTTTGCTGCCTAGGGGCTATTTGGCAATGTCTGGAGATATTTTTTATTGCTGCAACTGGACTGCAGCGGGGTGGGGTGAGGGTTGCTATTAGTATCTAGTGGGCAAAGGCCAGGGATACTGTTAGACATTCTGTGATGCCCAGGGCAGCCCCTACTGCAAAGCAATATGCCATCCACACAGCCAGTCTGCTGAGGTCAAGAAACCCTGGTCAAAATCCATGCAAAGCACTTGACACAGTAGGACACATAGTAGGTGCTCAATAAATAGTAGCTGAAGAGGAGGAAGAGAAATGATTTGGAGAAGATTTCAGGGGAGAAATGAATTCAAGGGGGAGAAAAAGCACATGTAAATGAATCTATCGTTTAACAGAACTCATGCAATACTGTTTGTTGGTGGAGTGGTTACTGGTGAGGCCAGGAGTCTGAGGAGGTTGATGGGCTGAGGGTGGAGGCTGAAGCTGGACAGCCCCCAGCTGCTGAAACACTGCTAACCAGATGACTCTTCTCTCTGTCCCCCTCCCACCTGTGTCTCTCTTCCCATCTCTCTTGGCCGCTTTGCCCAGAAGGGGACAGCCGGAGGCTGAAGGGGGCCATCCAGAGGAGCACGGAGACGGGCCTGGCAGTGGAGATGCCCAGCCGGACACTGCGCCAGGCCAGCCACGAGTCCATTGAGGACAGCATGAACAGCTATGGCTCAGAGGGCAAGTAAGTGTGGGGCCACCAGCCCTCCTGGTTCTTGCAGTCTTTTGTGGTGGGGCACGGGAGGGACTGAGCAACCCCTCTGGGAGCCCTAGGGCAGCTCCAGGCTGTGAAAGCGCCAGCTCAGGGCTCCAGGTTCATCCCCCATCTTCAGAAGGGAGGCAGTGTAACAGCAAAGCCCCGAGGGAGAGCGAGCCCCGCTGCTTGGATTTGAATCCTGGCTCCACCCCCTTCCTGCTGTGTGACCTTGGGCAAGGTCTCTAAGCCACAGTTTCCTCATCTGTAAAATGGGATTAACAGCATCAGCTTCATAGGGGTGTTATGAGGATTAGACGTTTACAATCCATATAATGCAGGGGTGATATTTATACACAGCATAAAGCAGTGTTTGGCACTAAGTGCTGTATATTAGTGCTGCTTAAGAAATAAAGGAGGGGTAGAAAGGGGTTTTATTATCATCATTATTTCCTCTTTACTTTTTTAGTTTCCTAAATCCCGTTGGTTTTGAAAAATGTATACTACTGCTTTATAAAGGCATTTCTTGAGCATCAGCTCACTAGACAGTAGTGTGGCTGGCTCCTTGCCAGCGTTTCCCTCTGTGGGCTCCGCGTCAGAATCACGGGAACACGTTACCAGTGCAGCTTGCAGGACCCCACATCCAGGCTGCTGACTTAGTCTCTGGGAGTGTGGCCTGAGAACTCCACTGTTAAAAAGCTTTTACCCTAGAGCAACTCACCTAGACTAGGGGTTTCTCATTTTCACAGACCCCTTTAAGAATTTCAGGAAAGCATTGGGCCCAGTTTCCCCCAATACACACAGCCCTCAGTGCATGTACACCCTCATTCTCCCACACACAGTCCTGCGAACATGCTTTTCTCATAACTGTAGGGGTTATCAGAGTCCCCTAAAACCATCCATGGATCCCTAGATCAAAGAAACTTTGATCCAAAGCAACTTCCTTATCATACAGATGACCAGGGCACTCAGAGAGGTTAAAGAGCTCACTCTGCATCATGAAGTGTGTTACCAGGTCTGGAACCCAGGAGTCTTGACTCCCAGCCAGGGGTTATTTCCCAGCACTGCATCGCTTCATGGTCCTAGCTATCGTCTAAAGTCAGGGAAGTGGGGTGGGATATCATGATTCTTGTGCACATGGGAAGACTGAGGCTTAGAAAAGTTAAATTCCACAACTGTCCAGAAAAGTAGCCACTAGAAGCATGTGGCTAATTAAATAAGATGAAACTTTCTGTTCTTCTATTGCACTAGCCATATTTCAAGTGCTCGCTAGCAACTTGTGGCTAGCGACAACCATATTGGGTGGTGCAGAAAATAGAACATTTCCATCATCATAGAAAATTCGTTTGAACAGTACTGGCTAAGTGACTTGTGCAAGGACAGACACACAGCCACTGAGAGGTGGGGCTGGGGCTTGGCCTCCACTTTTGCTTCCCTTCATTCTGGCCCTGCCCCTCAGCTGGGGGCTTCTGCTGGCTAAAAGCCTTCCCCACCCCCAGCCCCTCCTAAACTGGGCATCTTCAGCCTCGTGAATGGCCTTGCCTTAGCAGATGCTGCTGTTCCACCCACCTCCTAGCGAGACTTTCCCGTGGGCGAGAACAGGAGGAGGACAGCGGAAGGGAGAGGAGGAGGAGGAGGAGGAAGGGAGCCAGTGTTTTCTTTAACCTGAGAAACATGGCAAGGCAGCAGAACTTGGAGGAAGATATTCTCAGCATCTGGGGAGCAGTGGGGCCCTGCTGACAGGTGTGAGTCTCAGGGAGTCAGGAAGCTCAGGTCCTAATCCTGGCTCTGCCACTCATGCCCCTGGGTGGGCTTGAGCACATCAGTGGACCTCTCTCATGTTTGAGGCCAGTAAATATCTGTCAGCCTCACGGGCAGGTCTGGAGGACTAGATTGTGGGAAGGGCAACGTGCTTCAGTGAGCAGCAGCAGAGAAGTCAAACCTGCATTTCCGTTTTATAGAAGAGGAGATGAAGGCTCAGAAAGGCCACATGACCAAGGGGAGCATTATCAGAGTGTGTTATGAGGAAGAAACGAGGTGATGCCTGCAGGTGATAGGTGTTTGGAACATGGCTCTTGTTACTGTTTGCTGTAATGGGTTTTAAGGGACCAGAGAGTCTAATTACAGACAGGTTCAAAGCCAGGACTCAAAAACGAGACTGCCCTGGTATGTGGTTCATTTCAGCTTCTTAGTAGCTGTGTGGCTTTGGGGAAGTTACTTCACCTCTCTGAGCCCAGTTTCTTCATCTATAGAAAGGGGACATAACAGTGCAGACACTTACAGAGTTGTGAGGGTTCAATATGTTAATACATGTAAAAGAACTTAGCACAGTGACCAGCTCTGTAATTGTTAGCTATTATTGTTTGTTGTTCATTAAGCCACTGTTTGTTGGCTATTTTGCTGTTTTGGTCAGTTGCATTCTAACGGATATAGTGAGCCACCCCAAATACAGTTGTGTCTATAAAGTGCTTAGCACAGAGTAAGCACTGAGTAAGTGTTGGCTGTGAGGATTACGATTACTAAAAGGCTTGAGGTGGGTGTTCTGAGCCCAACTGAGGAGGTATCAGGTGGGTTGGAGGGTGACGGGTCCAGCAGCAGGGGACAGTCTTGGCCTCCTGAAAAGAGCTGAGTGTTGGTGGATCCCAGCCAGGCGAGGCGCTGCCACCTGCCCAACACCTGGGCGAGGTAGGGACACAGAAGGAATGGGTGGGGACATTGAGCTGTGGTCAGACTTCTTGTTCTGTAGGCATTTTGGGCACTGGTTTGGCCCAAATGCCGGGCTCTGAAACAGGAAGGGACTGTTCTCCCTTCTCCCCACCCCTTGGGCTTCTGCCAGCCCAGCTGAGGCTTACAGGGAGCCAGCCCCACTTGAGCACCCCCGCAAGGCTGCAGCCCCTGGCACCGCTGGGTCTGTCTGACTGCGCTGGATCACCAGGCGTATGTATTCCTGCAGGTAGGCACAGGATTTTCATTTCAGCAGATGTGATTGAGCACTTAGAATGTGCCAGGCAGTTGGGTCAGGCACCTCAGATACCTTGTCCTCCATGAGCTTCCACTCTTGGGCACTGACTAAGCAACTAGCAGTGTGGGGAGAGCTGCAAAGGACAGGTATAGAAAACTTGGGAAATGTTGTGTTCCCAGCAAGGTGTCAGGGATGGGGAAGGGGTGCCTGTGGGTTGGGTCGCTCTGTCAGTGAGGATGCCTTGAGTCCCGGGTTATGTAATACCAATGGACAATGGCTTCAGCCCTTGCTATTCGAAGTGTGATCCACAGCCCAGAAACACTGGCATGGGAGCTTGTTAAATATGCAGAATCTCAGCCTCTACCCCAGACCCACTGAATCAGAATCTGTATTTTAATGAGACCCCCAGCTGGTTTGTATGCACATTAAGGTAGAGAAGCCCTGGCTTAATGGTAATAATGGCCGTGGCTAACTCTTGCAGAGAACACTTACTATGTGCAGACACTGTGCTGGGCTTTTACTTATATTGACTCATTTAATTGTCACAACAACCTGACAATGGGACTGTTAATATTCCCATTTTACAGATGAGGAAATGGAAGCTCAGAGAGGGTAAATAAGTTGCCCCACGTCACACAGCCAGTCAGTGGCTGAGCTGGGATTCAAATCCGGGCATTGGGTATCTGCCCTTAATGTTTACACTCTTTTTCTCTTTAATGGTTGCATTTATTAAGTTTTTTGGAAGTAGAGGCTTCCAGGATGGTTTGGTAGTTCAAGGATGCCATCAAGGACCCAGAGCCCCTCTCTCTTTCCACACCATGGGCCTCATGCTGGGCCAGTTGTGGTTGATCCCCTGGGGCTGGGGAAGGGCTTTCTTTCCTTGAGCCTGTTTCTGCCTGATCAGAAATTGGAGCTCTGTGGGTTAAGGATGCAGAGTCAACCAGCCATGCCACCAGGCCAGGCCCATCTCACCCAGGAAAAGGGCAGGAGCTAGAGCTCAAGCCCTCTGAGATGGGGCCGTGAGAACAGAACCTTCCAGACATACCATACTCCCCACCTGCCCTAATCCTGAGATACTCCCTATTGACGTGTGTTCTAGTTTGGGTTTTCCCAGAACCAGACCTGAGACATGGGTTCAAGTGCAAGTGATTCACCTGGGAGGTGATTCTAGAAAATAATAGCAGAGGAGCATGTGGGAGAGAGGTGATGCACCCAACAAAGCATGCTTTAAGAAGCCAGCTTTCCTGGTGGGCAACCAGAGCCAATCCTGATGGGGAACTCTCGGAACCCATGTGAAACATGCACCTGGGAGTTATCTCCTCAGGAAGTGAGGGAGCTGAGGTATTTATATTCCAGCTCTTAACGAGTTACTGAGCAGTGGCTGCTCCCTGTTAACTCTGGCTCTTCCTGTGGTAACATAGGCTCTTGAGGCTAGAGAAGCTCTTCAGGGGCCAGAGAAGCCTGGGCAAAGGCATGCAGACTCTGGCGGTTAGAAGTCAGCAAGCACTGACATAATAAGGGGTGGGGGGATGGCCCAGCAGAGCCTGCTACACTGCCTGGGTGCACAGGGCTACCATCTCCCCAGCTGCCCAAACCAGAAATCTGGGGTTCTTGCAGACAGTTCCCCCTCTCCAATCCATAATCCATTCCCAATCCATAATCATGCTGTGCCATTTTATTCTTAATGATCTCTTGAATCCATCCATTCCTCCCCACTTCCATCTCCTGGTCAAGGCCATACATCGCTCTTGCCTGGACACCTACAGGTCTCCTTTTTGGTTGAACACCACAGTTTGCCACCCAGCACTTATTCTTCTGACTTTTCCCAGCCTCTCCCAGTCCCCATCCATGTGGGGACTCCACCACCCTGAACCTTTACCCTTCACTTTTCTCACCTCCAGGTCTTTGCATCCATTGCACCCTCTACCTGGCACTTCCTTCTCTACCCCTGCTCCCCCTTCACCCTCTGACTCATTCCTTCTCCAGACCTCAGCTGAGAACTGGCACAAAGGCTGTATCTCATGTGCCAACACCAGTAATTGATAGTGGTTCCCTGGAGTGCTGTGTTGAGAAGGATTCTGGAGCCAAGTCCAGGCTTGGCAGGAGAGCTGAGGTTGATTAGCAATGTCTGTCCTGGGCGTGGGCAGAAGTGGAATGGAACGGGTAGGGCCTACCGTTCCTCTGGCTGTATCAGCAGCTCTCACAGTCCCCTGTCCCTCCCCCACCACAGTGCCCTCCACTCTCTATCTTGTCACATGTGTGTCTGTCTGTCCCACTAGACACTGAGTTCAATGCCTGTCTAGCTGGCCCACAGTTGGTGCTCTGCACATTCTGATGAATAATAGGTGGGTGTGTGTGAGCAGAAGCATGCATACATTTCACTCCTTCCCGCCCCTTCAGCACACAGAATCCAGGGCCTTGGCATCCTCTCTGTTGACCCAGAAGCGCTCCAGGCTGGCTCCCAGCACCCACCTGCTTCTTCCCTCTGTTCTTTGTTGTCCCGAGATGTCTGGGTCATCGGCATCCAGGTCTCTGAGTGTCTGGGTCACTGTGTCCACAGCCCAGGGAAGCAGAGTGTAAGGCAGTGGCAGGGCCACTGAACCCGGGCTCAGGGTCACGGTTCTACCAAGGCTGTTTCCTAATCACCAAAGGCTCAGGAGCCTGGGTGGGTGGTCAGAACCCCCTTTTCTTCCCCACCTCTACTATTTAGCAGCATTCCCGTGCCCAAAGGACAAAGCAGAGCTGGATGCATCTGTGGCTAGGAGACAGGGATTTGTTTTGTTTTGTTTTGTTTTATAAGCACTAGTATTTCTTGAGCATTTGAGTATGCCAGACTCTGTTCTAAGGCGTTTATCTCATTTAATACTCACAACAGCACTGGGATTATCCTATTGTTCTTTATTCCTGTTTTCCTGGGGAGTAAACCAAGGCTCTGAGAAGTGAAGAATGTGCCTCCACGACTAGTGAGTGGTGGAGTCAGGATTCAGTTCCAGGCCTGCCTGACCCCGTAGCTTTGACCTGCAAATCCCTGTGCTTTGCTCTGGGCAAGGCTGAGGTCCCCTCAGGGCAAATAGAGACAGTATAACGCAGTGCTTAGGAGGGTGAATCCTGGAGCCAGACTCTCCAGGTTCAAGTCCTAGGTCTGCCACTCCTAGCAGAGTGATTTTGGTTCAATTACTTAACAATTCTGTGCCTCAGTTTCCCATTTTATAAAATGGGTATTAATTACAAATACCTAGCTTTTATAGAGTTGTTAAGAGGATTAAATGGATCAACATTGATAAATAGTACTATCAGTGCTTGGCTCAAGATGAGTTTTTGACAAATAAAAAAATAAATCCTTGGCTTTGCACCCATGAGCCACACACAGTCTCATAGAGGTGGTCAGGCTTGGAAATACCTTGAATGGTTGAGAAGTCGGGGTCAGGATTGTATGATATGGTATATCCTGGCACAGGGCAATTCTGCTACAGTACTTGTTTTGAAAACGAGAATTTGTTCCAACATGATTCAAGTATTAGGGAACAATTTGAGCATAACATAAATTTTGCATTTGTTCAGGTGCAATTTCATCCACGAGGAGCACTGGGTGAATGAAGAAAACTGCACCCACATAAGAATACACAAAACACATGCGCCTCAGACATCCACGGCACCCTCAGTTTACTATTATAAGCCACACCTGTCCACACCTGGTGGTACAACTTTCCATTGACTTCAGTTTTTCCCTCACCACCTCACAATCACTCACAGGCTGCACCTCTTCCGACACCCACTTCCACAAGCAAACTGCAGGTCATTTTCAAGGTCAAATGCCATTTTTATTGTAGTATTTGTGCATTTCTAAAGCATTTAACATATTTAAAACCATGCTTTCATTTTTACTGCATTCTTGCCTTTTTCTGTTTTTGATGTGACACTGACCCCATTTTCCCATAAGCTGTGTGATTTTTATAGCAAGATTTTGCGTTGCACAGTAATTTTTAGAAATGTATATTTCATGTTACAGCAGAATTGATTGCATTGTAGGCTTGGTGAGTTTGTGGGAGGATGGATGGATGGATGAATGGATGGACGGATGGATGGATGGGTGGATGGATGGATGGATGGATAAATGGATGGATGGATGGATGGATGGATGGATGGATGGATAAATGGATGCATAAATGGATGGATGGATGGATGGATAAATGGATGGACGGATGGATGGGTGGATGGATGGATGGATGGATGGATAAATGGATGGATGGATGGATAAATGGATGGATGGATGGATAAATGGATGGATGGATAAATGGATGGATGGATGAAGTGATAGGTGGATGGATGGATGGATAAATGGATGGATGGATGGATAGGTGAGCATGTAGTGAATGGATGGACAGGGAACCCGTAAACTCCTAAACCTTTGAGAATCACATAACCTATAATCACCACAAGGGCTGTGCAACCTTTTAATTTCTGATGCTGTTGAGACGAGTGATCCATCTGGAAAAGAGAATGGAGTCAAACCCCTGCGTGAGCCAGTTACTTCTTTCACCATCAAGAACACAGAAAATCCAGGGGCCAAACCAAGCTCAGAGGTTAATAATAAAAGACCAATGGGTTTCAGCTCCACAAACAAAAGTAATAGGATTTGAAATGCAGGGAATCTCATTTCACCATTAACACAAAATAAAAGGCCAGCAGAACATGGGTTGTAATCCTGTTACAGGGCTTTGCGCCTGTCCAAGTGGCACACGTCCCTGGAAGGGACCCGCTGCTGCAGTACTCCCCAGAATGGCTTGGGCTTATTCTCAGGCATCCAGATGCTGTACTTACTAACAGGTCTAGAATCTGAAATGCCATGAAAATGCCAAGAATGTGGCAAGGAGGCTCTCCCAGGCCAGGCAGCAGGCCCAGCAGGCCATGGTATCTCACCCTTTGATTCACTCAGCAGGTCCTCTGTGCTAAAGCACCTTGCCTACACTAGCTCTCTGACTCTCCCCAACAACTCGGCAAGGTAATTACTATTTATTCCCATTTTCTACATGAGGAAACTGCAGCTCAGAGAGGTTAAGACACTTGCCACAGGTTGTACAGTACTGGCATCCAGGGTCTGCGTTATGCCAAATCCAGTCTTCACTCCATCCTTTATTTTCCCAGTGTAAGTCCTGCTGTAGGGTTTGGCAGTGAACATCTATTGAGCTCCTGTTGCATACAAGGACTTGTCAAAGTTGTAGCACATATGCAGCACTTAATGCAATAAGCTCTTTTATACCCCTGTGCTCATGGATGCCGTAAGCAGAAATTTTGAAAAACATTTGAAACTGAGACAGCACAGGCACTGGCCAACAAAAAGGCCAGACACTGTCCATGAGGCAGTGTGATTTCATTTGCAGATAAGAACATTGAAATGCAGAGACAATAACAACTTGTCAGAGGTCACACAGCAAGCAGTTGGCTAGTGAGTTGTAGAGGCAGATTTGATTTTGCGGCCTCTGCCTTCTTGTGTACTCCAGGGAAGACCCGCAGTTGGATTTCTGGCCTAGTAGGGCCCAGCCACCACTTTATTCCTCCTTCCTCCAGCCCCCAGGAGGACGTGATAACCTATTCAGGGTTTCTGGGGCGTCAGCCGGGTTCCTTGGCAGCTAGCAAGGCTCCCTGGGATAGGAAATCAGGCAGCCGCCCAGATATTATAAACAATTACCGCTAATTACCAGGCCTGCCAGTTCCCCATTGTCTGCTCACAATCCCACCAGGAACTGAGAAGCAGACAATGATGACGTTGGAGGAAACTTTCAATTTCAGGCTGCAGAGGGCCTCCCTCTGCCTGGGAGGCTGCGCTCCTTCCATGCCTGGAATCCGTGAGACCCCCACCATTTCTCAGGCTTTTGGAGCCCAGACACTCCTTACAAAATGGAGGCTGGCCCCCTAGATGGCTGGGAGGGTAGGGTGGAAAAGAGACCCAGGGGCATGGAGGAAAGGCCATGTCACCAGTGTGAAAGAGGTCAGGGGTCCCCAACCCCAGGGGCCTCCCCCAGGGGTACTGGTCCCTGGCCTCTTAGGAACCAGGCTGCAGAGCAGGTGAGCGGTGGGCGAGCGAGCGTTACCGCCTGAGCTCTGCCTCCTGTCAGATCAGTGATGACATTAGATTCTCATAGGAGCATGAACCCTGCTGTGAACTGTGCATGAGAGGGATCTAGGTTGCAAGCTCCTTGTGAGAATCTAACTAATGCCTGATGATCTGAGGTGGAGCAGTTTCATCCCAAAACCATCCCCCACTCCCTGCCCCAGTCCATGGAAAAATTGTCTTCCACAAAACTGGTCCCTGGTGCTAAAAAGGTTAGGGACCCCTGGTCTAGACCATAGCCTCTGTGCTGTTAATTAAGGGTCTTTGGTTTTGCAAGAATAGTGGGTATACCTTTCAGTCCCCAGACACTTACGTGACTTTATTTTTTCATACTTTCTGTCTATAAAAAAACCATTGTTGCATAATTGTTAAGATAATAGACTTGGAAGCCTCACTCTCTGGGTTCAGATACCACTCAGCTTCTGTCTTGGTTTGGCTTCTTCCAGAGCAGACCCTGATTCAAAGATTCAAGTGGAAACTGGTTATTTGGCAGGCCATCCCAGGCAACCCGAGTGTGGGAGCTGCAAGGAATGGGATGGGAAGGGAGGGGAGCTAATAACGGATGCGTCATCAAGCCTGCTACCACTAAGGGCAGCTGGAGCTCAGGCCCACTGGGGAGCCTTGGGAGGCTGGGTGAACATTCACCTGCATTATCCCCCCTGCAGACTCCCAGTTTGTCACTGGGTGGGGGCTGCTTCTGAGGCATGAACCCTCAGGTGCTTCCAGCCTGCCCTGTGCCACAGGCTGAATTTGCTTCCCCAGCAAAATTCAGAATTCTCACAGCCAGAAAATAAGCCCTCAGACCTAGTGGCAGGTGTGAGAGCAGGTAGCTTCAAAGTATAGAGGTGAGTGCTGAGGGATAGGGTGGGGCCATGCAGTACCTGTGTCATTTGGGTAGGTTTCTTAACTCTCCGGCTCATCTATAAAATGGGCCCAGTAACAGTATTGACCTCATGGGGTTGTTGTGAGGCTGAAATGAATTAATAAGTATAGAGCACTTTGACATTTGTGGCATTTAGTGAGCACTGGGAGTTCGCTGTTGCTAATCTCTGTATCAAGTCCCGCTGTGTCCTCTGTTTGCTGGAAACTTAGACCCACTTGGTTCAGGATTTTCCCAAATGTTATGCCTGTGTCCTGGGGAAGTTTATGTGGAGAGAATCTGTGTAAATTTCTAGAACAGGCCCAGGGTAACTATCAAAGTATTTAATAAGAAGCACAAGTCACAGCTACTGATCACACTATTTTGTATTGCCGCCCACATCCCCCCCTGCCCACATTAATTCTCTACTTATTTATTACTAAGATTTCTATCATTTACCACCTTCTAACATACTGTAATGTTTATGATATTAATTGTGTGTAATATGTCACTAGAATCTAAGCACCTGAAGGGCAGAAATCACTGTTCACTAACATATTCCAAGTGTCCAGAATAGTGCCTGGACACAATAGAGTGCATAGTATGTGCTCAGTAAACATTTGTTGGTTGAATGAATGGATCAAATGGACGCCGGCCATAACACCTGGTGTACCAGCTGAATGTCAGTGAGGGCTCGTGTCCAGTAGCATTGGCTGCTATTATTGTGGTGCTCAGACACTGGGGACAGAGTGTGTGGTCTGCAATCATCATCCATCATCCTGGTGTCTCCTGGAACGTGATCTTACTGTCTGCTCCTTGGTCATTGTTTCTCATTGGTCTCAGCTACTTCTCTTTGCCCAGACCACCAGGCCTCTATGGATCTGCCCTTCTCTCCAGTGCACCTGGATCATATGTTCCTCTCTAGGGTATGGAGGGATGTACAGAGAGCCTCAGAGATCTCCCAGGGGGTTACTTGACAAGAAGCCCAAGTAGCCATTTCTGTAAAGTGTTCTGCCCTTTTCTTAGCTCCACCCAATAAGAAGAGTAAGTGCAAGTCTCCTCTGCTTTCAGATCCCCCCAGCCTATCTGGAGTTTTCTGTCATCCCCCAGCACTCACCAGCTGCAGACTACAGACCGTCCTCAAGGATCCTGCAGCATCTCAGCTCTGTTCCCTCCTTGCCTGACTTCCTCTGCTCTCCCAGGCTGAGGGTTTGTCTGTTTCGGGGCAGGATAGCCTAGTTTTGTACCTATTCTTTCAAGTCTGTTTCTTAGATTTGGAACTGAAAAGTCAAGAGCCCAAGTCTCTTGCTCTCTACCTCCTGCTGGGTCATTCCTTCTCTGAGGCAGCCAACATAGGACACCCTGGCTACTGTCTGAATGGGGAAAGCAAGCCAGGGGTAGTAGGAAATCAGGAAAAGGGAAAGCACTCAGGCTGAATATTCTGCCATTAACTCTGCAGATAACTTAAGTAAAAACAGAACACTGGGGGACTTCAAATGGTTCAGGGAAGAATCGGGCAGCCAAGACTGGGTAGCTAGTAGAGTTTATGGGTTTTGCCTGAGGGCAGGCCATTTATATGGCTCAGTTCTTGTGACTTTTAGTCTCCAGGATTCTCTTTTTTATTTCCCAGAGAGAGGTTTTGATTGGCCTGGCTTGGGTTAAGCCTCTGACTCTGTATGCCTCATCTCTGGCCAGGGAATAGGGTCACCCTTTTGCTGGGCAAATGTGTTTCTTATTTAAAAGATGGTGATAAAGATCAAAAGCCAACCTCTTGGGCTAGGCGTGGTGGCTCACCCCTGTAATCCCAGCACTTTGGGAGGTCGAGGTGGGTGGATCACGTGAGGCCAGGGGTTGGAGACCAGCCTGGCCAATGTGATGAAACTCTGTCTCTACTAAAAAACACAAAAATTGGCCGGGCGTGGTGGTACACGTCTGTATTCCCAGCTACTTGGGAGGCTGAGGCATGAGAATTGCTTAAACGCTTAAACCCAGGAGTTCGAAGCTGCAATGAGCCAAGACCGTGCCACTGCACTCCAGACTGGGCAACAGAGGGAAACTCTGTCTCAAAAAAAAAACAAAAACCAGAACAACAACAAAAAAAACCTCCTGTGGTTGTGGTGAGGATCAGATGAGAAAATGGGTTGCAAGTGCTTTGGTGCTCAGGATAACAGAGGCACATCAGGCATGGTACTTAGTGCCTCATCGCACTTAATACAACAGACCTAGGAGATGGGAACATTATTATTCCCATTTCACAGATGGGAAAGAGATACTTAGAGAAGTGAAGGGAGTGGGGAGAACTGACTAAAGCTGTCTTAGGCAAAATAATAAAATTATCTTTGTTGTTGCTGTTGATATTGACTTAACGTAACCAAAAGATGAAGTAGCTTGCTTCAGGCAGAGCTTGATCCAGGAGCTCACACAATGCTGTCATTTTGATGGTTTCATTCTCGGGATCCAGATGGTAGCTACATAGCACCAGAAGCTCCAGTCCTGCATCTCAGGCTCAAGTCTGGTGGGAAAGAGAGCGTCTCACTCCCCATAGTTCAAACAAAGCTTCCAGGCCTGATTCTTGTTGGCTGAACTGGGCTACATGCCTGTCTCTGAGCTGATCACTGGCCGAGGGGAAGGGATGCCCTGATTGGCCAGGCTGAGCTGGAGGCCCAGTCTCAGGAGCTGTTCCCTCCACCCCACTGTGATCATGTGCCACGGGGAGGGGGTTCCGTAAAGAAAATTTGAGATCTTGTTACCAGAGGAAGGGGAAGTGGATATTAGGTAGCCAAGCAGCCGCAAGAAATGCACCCCTCAGAGTCTAGAGCCGTTTGCAGTGCAGCTCACACTTTCACGTGCAAGGGCATCATCTGGGGCTCGCATTAAAATTCAGATTCTGATTCAGCAGCTGGGGGTGGAGTGGGCTGCAGTTCTATGTATCTAATTAGTTCCCAGGTGATGCTGATGCTGCTGGTCTCTGAACCACACTTTGAGTATCAAGGCACTAAACCACATGAGCCAGATACTGGGTAAACCTTATCTCCATCCCAAGAGGGAAGTTTCAGCATATCCATTGCATGGAGGTTGACTGCTTGAGTCCAGAGTTGTTGGTAAACCACTGGGAATGTGTGCTTTGTCTCACCTTTTCCTCTTGCAGCCTTAACTATGGAGGAGTTTGCCTGGCGTCGGACGCCCAGTTCAGTGACTTCCTGGGAAGCATGGGGCCGGCACAGTTTGTGGGCCGCCAGACCCTGGCCACCACACCCATGGGTGAGTGCCCCAAGGCTGGTTTCAAATGGACTAGGGGAGTTGGGTGTCACACCAGAAGCTCAGCGTCTCTCCCTCCTTCCCCTTTGCCTGTTGATCCATCCTCTGCGCATGCCGCCTAGAGCCCAGGGCACACTCTCAAGCCCTCAGCAGAGCCTAGGCACTTGGTGGGAGTTGGTTCTGGTCTTATTCTGGGCTGGGAGCAGGGGAAGGGGGTTTCAGCCCTAAGTAAAGGAGAAGAGCTGAGTCCAAGCTTGAGCTTCTGAACCATTTCCCAGTCTCATCTCTTGGTGCCTCTTCCAGGGGATGTGGAGATCGGTCTGCAGGAGCGGAACGGTCAGTTGGAGGTGGACATTATCCAGGCTCGGGGACTGACAGCCAAGCCAGGCTCCAAGACACTGCCAGGTCTGGGGCCTACCTTCCCCTGCAAGGTGGGGGTGGAGGTCAGGGAGGATATCCTGATGGGTACTGAGGGCCTTGAAGAGAGAAAATTGGGCCCAACTGTGGGGACCCCCTGTCCCAACTCTGATGTCTTATGTGGAATTGGTAGTTTAGGGTTTGTTTGAAGAGCCAGTTGAGATTGTCTGTTGACCTTGTTCCTCTCCTCCACTGGACTGAGCTCCTGGAAGGCAGGGACCATCTTTCCAGCTTATCATTATACCCCAGTGCCTAGCAGGGTTCTTGGCATGCAGTAGGTGCTCAGGCTTGGTGAGTGAGGGGGTCAGCAGATAGATGCATAAGCCAGGGAGGGGGTGGGCACATTATGGACTGAGAGAGGAAACAGGTGAGCACAGAGTGAGCAAAGGAAGGGTGGAGACAGTGAGGACCACCAGAGGAGGTGGGGCAGGCTGCACCCAAGCCCAGCTGTACCTGCTGCCCCCAAATGCCCACCCCCCATGTGTCCTGGTGCGTCCTCCCCAGACCCCATGGGGGCACACCTATCTCCAGCAGAGGGTGGGCAGCCTCCCTCTGTTGCACCCTTTGCCCACCATTTGAGGGCCAAACTAGAACTCACCCCTGCTGGCCTCTATCCCCAGCGGCCTACATCAAGGCCTACCTGCTAGAGAATGGCATCTGCATTGCCAAGAAGAAGACCAAAGTCGCTCGCAAGTCGCTGGACCCACTGTATAACCAGGTGCTGCTGTTTCCTGAGAGTCCCCAGGGCAAAGTCCTCCAGGTGAGGGGCATTGACGCGCTCACGTGTGTGTGTGTGCACGAGCACACATGCACAGTACCAGAATGAGAGGAGGGCACCCCTGGCGGGGGGTGTCTCTGGAGGGCCTCGCCTGGAGGAAACAGGCGAGGCCCTCAGTTCACTGTGGCTGAACTGAGCTCCACAACTTACTGCACAACTTTGAACAAGTTCCCTTCTGACCCTCAGTTCCTTCATCTGTAAAGCGGGGACCCTAATAGTACCTACCTGATAACATTCTGGTGCCAGTGGAATGTGTGCTGTGTGCAGGAAAAGTATTTGCAGTTTTGCCTACAGCAAGTGTTCTACCCATTACCATCGTCACCGTCACCATTACCATCAACAGCCTCTGGAGGCCAGGGGCTTGGTGTGATGCCCCGTGATAAGAAAGGCCTGTTGAGGAATTGCAGTTTTAAGGAGGTAGAAATCACAGGACTGAGCTGGATTGGGCATGGGGCGACCCAGGTTCTGCTTCTGGGCCTGTGAGTGGCACTGGCAGGATTTGAACCACTGTGTCTCTTGCCCCACAGGTGATCGTGTGGGGGAACTACGGGCGGATGGAGCGGAAGCAGTTCATGGGTGTGGCTCGCGTGCTGCTGGAGGAGCTGGACTTGACCACCCTGGCCGTGGGCTGGTACAAGCTCTTCCCCACCTCCTCCATGGTGGACCCAGCCACAGGCCCCCTGCTCCGGCAGGCATCCCAGTTGTCCCTCGAGAGCACCGTGGGGCCCTGCGGAGAACGATCTTAGTGCTGGAATGGGGAGGGGCTCCCCAAGATGGCCTGGAGACCACCCAGCCCTGACCTGGGACCCCAGGCCCAGGGGCACATTGAACAGGAGGACGGGGCTCTCCCCCACAGTGGGGAAGCAGAACGGGGAGACCTGCCCCCCCTTGGGCCCCTCCTCACCCCTTCTTTGCCTCCTACCCCCGAGACCTCCCCTCTCCCAACGGGATTGGCTACACTTTTGACTTGGCCGGTTCTTGACCTGGTGGATGTGGCTGCAGTCCAGAGAAAGGAAAGATTGAGGTGGCAGAGCAGACCACTCTCCCTTCCCAAACTGTCCAACTTCTCCCCCTTTTTGCCTCCTCGGAAGCTCGCTGCCCAGAGCCATGTCCAGAACCCAGCCGGCCATCTCCATGGTGCCAATTACCAGCAAGTGTCTTTCCTGCGGCACCGGGTTCAGGCAGCTACTCCTGCCCCAGAGATGAAGGGGCAGCTTTGCAAGGATCCGGAGCCAGCTCCCAGGGGCCCAGAGCCCCCCACTTGAAGAGGAGCTTGAGCTTCCCTCTGCCTGCCCGTGGAAGGAGCTTTGCCGCAGCCTGTCCGAGTCCATCCGTCCGTCCCCTCCTGCCTGCCCCTCTTCTGGTGGCTCTAGGAATTGGGGTTCAGCAGGGACCAAAGGAAAGGAGGAGGTGCCGGGGGCCTGGCACAGACCCCTAGGTGCCTCGCTCCATGGGATTGCAACAAGCTAGTTTAGGAACCGCTGGCGGACTAGAAAGAATGTTGTCGTCTGTGTTCCGGTGGAGGAGCTGTGGAACCTGAGTTTCCAGAACCCCAACCCTAGAGAGCATTTGGGGGTGCTGTATTGGAGGGGGAGGCTAAGGAAAGTTGGGATTGGGACTGGTGGTGCCAAGATAAGGGTTTCTCAAATTGGAGAACCCCTCCTTGTTGCATGAGGTCAATGGTCATCCTGTCTACCCACCCTGCCTCCAGGCCAGGGGGCTGGGGAGGCAAATAGAGCCCCCCTATTTTAGTCTTTTTAAAAAAAACATCCTATACTAAGGGCAGAACCCACTGCCCCGGCCTCAATTACCTTGGCTGAAGGAAAGATGGCGGTAGGAGAGAAAAGTGAAGAGGCGTGAGTGTAAGAACTGGGAGATTCCTTTTCCAGCAGGCCTGGGTAGCTGCCTTCCCAGCCCAGCCCTCCCTGGGGCCTGCGGGAGCCCTTTTGCATGCAAGGGAGGATGGAGGCTGGCCCCTCTTTATAGAAGCACATTTCTGCCACCTCCCCTGGGAGGCACCCAGAAGCCTGCCACTCTTTACCTAGTCCCTGCTGTGTAGGGCGTAGTCCAGGTTAGCTAGGTAGAGTTAGTGCTCCAAGCCCTGGGGCCTGTTCTTAGCTCATGCATAGTCCTTACAGAGTCCCAGGACCGGGGGTGGAGAGGAGCCTCAAGTACATTCCAGGAGACCACTGTCTCCTCGCTGGCCTGGGCCTAGATGGGGCAGCCTGGCTCACAGGAGGCCAGCCCCTCCTCCTCCGCCCCCTTCCTTCCCTTGTCCCCGTAGGGTTATAGCTGGAGCTGCCTGTTATACTCGGCTGTTCTGATTTATTATTCTTGGTACTGACTTTCTTTATGAGGGACTCCTAAGGGTTGTAGGACCTTGGCAGAGGGGGCCTGGTCTCCATTAGAGGGTGTTGTTTTCTCCTGAGGACACCCAGGCTGCCTTTGGTCCCACCCTGTTCCTGGTCCCGGTCCCGGTCCCAGTCCCACCAGGCAACTCCTTCCACCCGGAAATTCTTCCCTTCCCTTAGCCTGTGGAAACCCTGGGTATTCTTTAAAGTTCTGGTCAATGTATATCACCTCCACAGAGCTGCTTACCCTGCACTGGGAAGGGGAGATGGAGACGCCCCCTTTACCCAGGAGGTCTTCAGAGTTTCCTGGGACCGCGGTGGGTGGAATCCCAAGGCTGGGGGTGGAAGGAGCAGGGCTCTGGAGGGATTCGCATTCAAGGCACAGAATTGGCCCCTTGCCTGTTTGTTTTTCTAACCAGTGTGATTTCTCTGCTGTTCGTTTATTACTTACCATTGGAATATTTTGAGCCAGGAGAGCGCCTTCTCTCTCCAGCCATCACCGCTGTGGTTGTTCAGGGGTAGCTTTTCAAAAACAGGGCAGAGCCTGGCTGTCCCAACCAGGGGGAGCAGGGGCTTGGCCCTGACAGCCTGAGCCCTTCCCCTGGTGTCTGCACAGCCTTTATAAAGAGAGAGAGAGCTCCGAAGCAATAACAACACCTGGGGGTGGTCAGTGAGGGCCCCCTCAATGATTTTCTTGTTTGTTCTGTGAAATCCCGCTCACCTCCTGGAGGGGTGGAGCAGCTGGGGGCTGGAGCCCTGTTTCTTTGTGTCATCGTGAGCATGTGCCCCTTCCCAGGGGCTGTGACCATTGGGTGTGGGAACTACGGTCTGTCCTCACCAAGGGATGGGGGTTTGGGGAGGAGAGTGACATTTTCATCATTAGCTTCGGAGAAGCTTCAAGCCCATCCTGTCCCCGCTACTGCCTGGCCCCTTGCTGACTCAGGCTGCACTGTTTGAAGAGGAGCAGAGAGGCTGGCACTAGGGGCCACTGGGGGGCTGGGGTCTCCAGGGGATGACTGTTTTCAATCTCTGGGCCAAGATCACATGCAGGATACCATGGGAAGGAGCCATCTCCACTCTCCTTCTCCAGAACCCCCTTGAAGGGCCTTTGGGACCATTAGTCCATTTCCATTTTACAGACAAGGAAATCAAGACCCAGCTTGGGGGAAAAGCCACCCCTGGAGTCACCTGTGTGTTCAGTGGCACCCCCAGCCTGGGTCCCCTCCTCCCAATAGAGGCTGAGCCGGAGCCAGGGCAGTATGAGGTGGGGCTGCCACTGCCCATACCTCCTCCTCCCTTCTTTCTTTGAAGCCTAATGGCCCCCCAAAAGATGGGCAGGACAAGCTGTAGCCCATCTGAGAGGTTGGGAAACTGAGGCCCAGAAACAGGAAGTGACTCACACAAGACCCCTCAGCAAGGGTGCAAAGGGGGAAGAACTAGGGGCTCCATTGTTCTTCAGGCGACAGGAGACCGTTGCTCCAGTGCATGTCTGCTGGGACAAGGATTCCTGGCCTCGAAGCCCTGGGCTGCACAGCCCTACTGGGCTCCACCTCTATAAACCAGTGACTTCTCTGGGCCTGGGTCTGGGGGAGAGGGTTGCCAGGGAGACTCAGCTCTCCTTGGGGGCTGGCCCAGCTGACTGAGGGTACACAGGATTGGGTCTAGACCTTGATGCCTGGGTGGAGGGCCCTTGTAAGGGGCCATAGCCTCTTCAGGACCAACTGGAGGGAGAGTTAGGAAACACCAGCTCCTGCCTGGGGCAGTGAGGGAATGGGAGCAGCTGTGGGCGCCTCATTTCAGGCAAGTCCTCCCCAAACCTTCAGATGCAGTGAGACCTGGCCTTCCTGTTGTGCTTTTCAGACTTTGTTTTCAGAATGCTTTTATCTCGAGTGTGCCCTTCGGCCCTCACAAGAGCCCCTGGGGAGTAGGTGGTGGCCTGTGCCGTCATCCCCATTTCAAAGCAGGGAGCTGAGGTCCTGGGAGGGGAAAGTGCTTGCCTGAGGTCCCACTGTGTTAGTGGGTGGGCAGGACTGGAACTCGGTTCTCCAACAGCCCAGAGCTCACTCTTTTACACCCAGAGGTGGAGCAGGTGGCTTAGGGGGTGGTTATGTACTTCACAAGCCAATTCCCTTCAGCCAGGAGCTCCTGGGTGCATTTCCGTGTCAGAAACAGTACCGAGTCCCACCCCCTCTGGAGGCACAGCTGTTGCGTCAGGCAAGGTCACCTGCATTTATTTATTGAGCAGCAGTGCTGTGTCAGGCCCAGGGACCGAGCCCCTCTCCCTGTTCCCCTATGGTGTCTCCGAGGCCCTCTGGGAGGGCCCCACATCTGGAGCAGCACCTCAGAGTGGACAGAAAGCATTAGCGTCCACGAGCTCACCCGACGCCGAGCCTGTGAGGTGGGCTGATGGTGCCCGTCTAACCCAGCGCTTCAGGGAGGTCAGAATGGAGCCGAACCCAGGGCTGTGAGCATCACCTCTGGAGCCCTTTCACTTTATGACTGCTTCCTGGACGGGTGGTGGGAAGGCAGGAGCCTGGGTCCTTAGGCTGGGGGCCTCTCTCCATCCACCCACCTTTCCCTCATTCCCTCTCTTGGAGCAGCAGCCGCCCAGGCCTTTAGGGAGGGAGGGTTTCTGGGGCCCTTGGGTTGGAGTGGGGTCGCGTTGCATTGTGTTCATGACCATGTAGCTCATGTTGAAATTAAAGTTTTTGGCTTTTCTAACCTGGCTCGTTCATGCTTTGTGTTGAGACAGCCCTATCTGGGAAGCCAGGGGAAGTGGCTGAGTGCCACGGGGTGCCAGGATGCCACACCTCGGGCTTTGTCTCTGCCCCCTTATGGTGCAGGGGCCTGTTCCAGAAAGTCCTGCCAGAGATGCGTAAGAGGGAGCAGGGTTCTGGATGAACCCCGTCATTCTACAGATGTGGAAACTGAGGCCCTGGGAGAGGATGCGATTCTCCAAGGTCATATTGCTGGTGATTGACAGGACCCGGAAGAGAGCTCGTCCCATGGCATTCTGCTGTGTCCAAGTGGCCCCAGTGACATGGTGGGTGGGTGACAGCAAGGCCTCCCTCATCCTGAAGTGGGGCTGGCCAGGGACAAAGAGCATCAGCTGTCTGGGGGAAAGAGGCCATCATTCACACATGGGCTGATTCCACTCTATACACTGGGCAGAGAATGAGATCGTTTAGCGCAAGAGATTGACCCCCTTGTCAACACTGGACTGTACACGGTCCCATTTGGTCCACCTTTGTTCCCCATGCTTCTCGTAGTGTGAGCATCTGACCTCACTAATTGCAGCGAAGATTCCAGTGTTGAAAGTTGCACATTTCAACCGTTACTCAGAAAACCAGCCTCTTCACAACAGAAAAGTTGCTCTGGAGGGTCGGCTCTGAGGTGGACCTGTGCAGAGCCTCTCCTAAGTGCTGATGTGGCCACGCCCTCATACAATTTGGACTACAAGGAATTTGCTCCTACAGGGTGACCCTGGAGCCTGGTTTGTGCTTATGGTGTGACTGTAATATATTTTTGGAAAGGAGGGAGGGGACTTAGCCACAGACAGTAATGAGAAACTGCTCGTGGCAGAAGACCGCCTAGAGGCCCGTCATCCGTTTCCAATCCCTGGGGAGGGTGCCCTGATAGCTGAAGCCAGACCCTCCCATTCCAGATTCGACCCTGGCCTGGGTGGGGTTGTCAGATGGACTTCCACCGGGCCCCAAGCCTGGGAGCCTGCCCGCCACGCACGACCCCCGGGCTCGAGGGGGGCGAAAAGCCCAGGTTGTCGCGGGCGCACCTCTCCAGCTTGTGCACGTGGCAGAAGACAGAGGCGGAGCCCACGGAGCGGGCCGGGCGGCGGGGCAGCCAGAGGCCACGGCTCTCGGGCGCCCCCGGGGGGCGCGGGCTGGGGGTGCGGGCAGCGCGCTCGGGCCAGTCGGCGCTGGCAACGAGGAAGCGCAGGACCACCAGGTTGAGGAAGGCGCCAATGACCGTGAGCCCCAGGAGGATGTAGAGGAAGCTGAAGGCCACGTAGGGGAGCTTCCTCTGCAGCGCCTCGCCGCTCTGCAGTGCCACGAAGTCGCCGAAGCCGATGGTGGTGAGGGTGATGAAGCAGTAGTAGTAGGCGTGGAAGAAGGTCCAGCCCTCGAAGTGCGAGAAGGCGACGGCCCCGAGGGCCAGGGTGGCGGCACACGCCAGCAGCCCGGCCACCACCAGGTTCTCCGTGGACACGCACGTCCACCGCAGGCCCAGGCAGCACTTGGCCGCCAACAGGAGGCGCCGCACCACCGCGTTCAGCCGTTCGCCCAGGCTCTGGAAAGTGACCAGCGTCAGCGGGATGCCCAGGAGCGCGTAGAACATGCAGAAGACCTTGCCGGAGTCCGTACCCGGCGCGGCGTGGCCGTACTCTATGCAGGGAGAGCGGAGGGGAGGGCTGTGAGCGCCCAGCTCCAGCTGACAACAGTCCCGCCCGCAGCCTGCCTGCCCGGCGTGTCCCTCCCCGTCCCCGGGGCTGGAAGGGCATCTCCAAATACTAGTCCTAACTAGGTCATTCATCACCCCAAACTTCAGACAACCCAAGTGTCCCTCGACTGGGGAATGGATAAACAACCTGTGGGGCATCCAAACACCAATTTTTTTCAGCAACTGAATGAACTCCTGTAACTTGCGGCAACCAAGGATGGATCTCAAATGTCTAAGCTGAGTAGAGGAAGACGAGCTCGAAAGCCTACAGACCGCATGGTTCCCTATAAATGACACTCTGGAAATGACAAAACTGTGGCAACAGAGAACAGATCTGTGGTTGCTTGCCAGTAGCTGGGGTTGGGGGCAGGCTTAACTACAGAAGGCATGGTAGAATTTTGGGGGTTGATGGCAATGTTCCGTCTTGACCGTGGCTGCAGTTACGCGGCAGGTGTTCATCTGTCAGGAGTGTACACAGGAAAATGGTGAGTTCTACTGTATGTAAATTATGCCTTGATGAAAAAAAAGCAAAACTTTCCCCACTTTCCAGCTACACCCCGAGCTGCTTCCCCAGTCAGCATGTCCTCTCCACATGCCTTTTCTCCTGACTACCTCCCCCTCCACTGCTCAGCCTGCCCGCACTGAACACCTTTTGGTTCTGATTGTCTGGCGTGGCGATTCTTACTGGGTCCCTTCAACTACTATAGGGAATCTAAACACGACTGGGCAATCTTGAGTCCTGGAACACCGCGCCATTGCAGGGGAATGAATGGGTATCTCATTGTGTGTCTTTTCCTGGAAAGAGGAGCAGTTGCTTTCATGGTATTCTCAAAGGAGCCTGTACGCCAGGAAGAGTCAGGAGGCCAAGAAGAATGCGCCTCCTCTAACAGATTGGCCCTACCTGCCAAAAAGTAAAAAATACAAATCCTTTGACCAAGGTAGTTCCACAGTTAGGAAGTTAGCCCTTCAATATACACACATGAGCAAAAATATGTGTGCACTTGGGTCGTCATTGCAGCATTGTCGGTCATAGCGAAAATGAGAAACAATGTAAGTGTCCATCCAAAGGGGCCTGGTTAAATAAATTATAGTGCCATCCAAACCATGGGATACTACAGAGTAGCAGTTCTCAATCGAGGGTGGTTTTGCCTTTGAGGGGACACTTGGCAACATCTGGAGACATTCTGGTTGTCACAAATGGGGGTGAGGAGTGGGGATGGCTGTGTGCTACTGGCATCTAGAGAGTAGAGGCCAGGGACACTGCTAAACATCTTGCAATGCACAGGACAGTCCCCACAGCCCCAAATGTCAGTAGTTCCAATGCTGAGAAACCCTACAAACAAGATGACGCAGCTCTTTAGAGACTGACATAAAAACATCAACATATATTCTATAAGTGAAAAAAGTAAGAGACAAAACTGTGTGTATAACGTCTATACAATGTGTGTGTTTTAAAGGAATATATAGGCAGAGAATATATCCAGAAGGACACACAAGAAACTGGCAACTGTATTTGACCCAGGAAGAGGAATTTATGAGCTGAGAGACAGGGTGGGAGGGAGAATTCCTTTTCATTCCATACCCTTTTGTGCCCTGTGAAGTGTGTACTGTGTGCATATATAACTTATTCAGAATATCAGCACTACATACATTTAAAGGCCTGTGGCTGCACTTCCACATTTCTGTTGCATAGCCCTATCACTTTGCCTCTCTGTTACTTTTGGGAGAAAGGGGGTCTGCTCATCACTAGACTTTGAGCTCTTTGAGGGCGGGGACGATGGTGGTGTAGTCCCCATCACCAAGGTCCTGCACAGAGCCTGACGTAGACCAGAAGCTCAATGAGAGTTTATTGAATCAAACCAAGCTGAAGGGGGTGCTGGTGAGAAACAGAAGAGTCTCTTTAGGAATAAAAGGCTTCCAGCTGTTTGGGACTGTGCCAGGTTTTGGCAGAGAGTGAAATGAATAATGATAATAACTAATAATGACAGTAACTAACCCATGTATGTACTCTGCATGGATTATCAGATTTAACCCTCCCAATGACTATATGACATGTTGTTATTCCCATTTTATAGATAAGAAAACTAGGTTCAGAGGGACAAAACTGCCCAAAGGCCACAGGCCTGAGCTATTAACCAGCACCCTCCACAGGCCTGAGCTATTAACCAGCACCCTCCATGGGCCTGAACTATTAACCAGCACCCTCCACGGGCCTGAGCTATTAACCAGCACCCTCCACAGGCCTGAGCTATTAACCAGCACCCTCCATTGCTTCAGTGCCTCTCTCCCATCCAAGCAAAGCCCAAATTCCTGGGGCCTGGCACCTGGCTCTCTGCAAGGCTGGCTTCAGCGGACTAGACCACAGAGGGTGGTGGTGCCCCCAAGTGGCCAGAAAAGGCAAAATTCCTCCTGTTTCCACTTGAGTCTCTTACATCAGCCTCCCAGACGTACCTCAGAGGTAAAGAACCAGGGTAAGAGGCCAAAACCACATGGCAAGCCTCCAAAGAATGTAGATAAAGGCAGAGAGAACAAGTTGATGGCATCCCAGACCAGTGGGCACGGTAACCAGGAGGGTCTCAGGTGTACCAAGATAGGAAGCAGGGGTGTCCATGTGGACAGGAGGGGGCAAAAGAGCTGAATAAGAGCTGGAGCCACGTTGGCAAATAATGAATTATTACAAATGAATAGTGCCTACTTGGCTTCAGGCACTGTGCCAAGCATGTTACATGCTTGACCTCACTGAAACCTGGCAGTCACCCAGTGAGGTAGGAACAATTGCATTTTGCCTTTGGGGAAACCAGGGCTTGGACAGGTGGAATCAATTGCCAGAGAAGGCAGGTGGCAATAGAGATGAGACCAGAACTCCAGTCTCTGTGATTCCAGAACTCATACTTTTAACTCCACTGCAAAAACCACAGCTCATATTCACTTGCAAGAGCATTATGGGGAAACTTTCTCCAAGGCACTGGCTTTCGGACTGGTGATCCAAGCCCCAGGGGGGGTGCCGGGACGTTCACAGCTGGAGCCTGGGGAGTGGCTGGCACCAAGCCTGGAGCCCTGCAGAGCCCACTTCTCTCCTTCCTGTTCCCCCAGGTTTAGGCTCAGCAGGTACCAGCCAGATGGTAGTCATGGCAACAGCTGGTGGTCCAGATGCTCCAAAGGAACTGCTCTGCATCCCTGAGGGCAGAGTCCAGAGCCTGTGGTTATCAGTCATTCCTTTAACAAGTATTTATTGATCATCTACTGCATGCTAGGCACGGGTCATACAGCAGTCCCTAAGACAGACTGGGTCCCCATTCTCATGGGGTAACAATAACAATTGCAATAATAAAAAAATGATCTTTTCTTTGTAGTGCTCTGTATGTGTCATGTTTTAGCACAGGCCTTGTCTGTGCATAGTCTGTCTCCTGAATAATAACTCTCACCACAGCCCTGAGATAAGGCCGATTAGCGACACTATTTTACAGAAGAGAAAACTCTGGCTCAGAGAGGTTGAGCAACTCGTCTAAGGTCACACAGCAAGTGTGAGGCAACCAGGCAAGGAAAAGCAAATCCAGCCACTTGGTCTCCCAGCCCCGCTTCACCTATCTCCAAGCCCCTTGGACGTTTTCTGAGCACTCCTGGGTCAGCCTTTTGGCAAACTCGATTTACTGATTCCTCCCGTCCCTGCCTGCGTGGGCTGACAGCTCCATTCAGCAGAGGGGGGCAAAGGAGACCAGGGAGACGAGGGAGGCGAAGGAGATGAGGGAGGCTCGGTGAGCCGAAATGACCCGTCCAAAGTAGCTCAGCTGGGCGGGGGCAGAGGTGGGACCGAAACCCAGAGGCGCCCCGGGACGGCTGGGGCTGGAGCGGGCGCGGAGGGAGGCTCCGGGCGGCTCACCGATGGTAGTGATGACGGTGATGGCGAAGTAGAAGGAGCCGGGGAACTTCCACTGGCGGCCGGCGCGGTGGGGCTCAGCCTGGAGCGCCAGGCGCTCCAGCTCGCGGTAGTCCTCGGCCGAGAAGCCGAACTTCCTCCGGAGAGCGCCCCGCTTCTGGACCAGCAGTCGCTGGCGGCCGCTTTCCGCCTCGGACTCGAGCGCGTCGAAGACAGCAGCGCCCACCAGCAGGTAACACAGGGTGCACAGGACCAGCCCGGCCGCGCGCACGCTCGGCCTCCGCATGGCGCCCCGGCCCCGGTACCCGCCGCGGTCCCAACCTGCTCCGTGTGCCCGGACCGCGCGCTCCGCCCCCTCCAACCCCGGCCCCACGCGGCAGGGTTGTGACGGGCGAGGCGGGGCGACTGCCGGGAACCTGGAGGCTGGGATCGCCACGGGTGGGGGCCGGAAGAACCGCTCCCCTGTCCGCCTCCCACTCGCCTGCCCGGGGTTCATGTGTCTGTGAATAGTGAGATCTGAAGCAAAGGCCCAAACCCCGGGCCTGCAGAAGTCCTGTTCCCGCCACTAACTCATGTTGTGACCTCGTGCCAGTCTTCCGTCCTTCCTTCCGTCCTTCCTTCCTTCCTTTTTCCCTCCCTCCCCTCCCCCCTCCCCTCCCTTCCTCCCTCCCTCCCTCCTTTCCTTCCTTCCTTCCTTTCACTCCTTTCCCCATCCCTCCCTCCCTTCTTCCCTCCCATCCTTCCTCCCTCCGTCCCTCCCTTCCTCCCTCCGTCCCTCCCTTCCTCCCTCCGTCCCTCCCTTCCTCCCTTCGTCCCTTCATCTCTTCTTCCCTTCCTTCTCTCCTTCCTTCCTTCTTTCATTCAGTCAGTCAATCCTCTGACAAATATTTACCAAGCACCTACTGGTGCAAACAACATTCCTGTTGTAAGTAAAAGTGATATCCTAGTGAGGAGGGCCAGCTAACAAACAAGAAACTAATTTAAGACAGGAGTGAGAAAGAAGGAAAAGGGATAGTTTCTTGGGGAAGGTGAACCCCACCATCTAAGGTGGTGCTTAAAACAGAACTGAGCATGACTTGGCAGCCAGAATAGCAGAGGAGCCGGTGTCGCTGGAGCCCAGAGAACTGGGGGGCAGATACTTTGGGGGAGCAGAAGGAAGGCAAAGAGGCAACTTCACACAGGGTCTTACAAGCCCTTATGTGGGTTTATTGAAAGCCATGGAAAGGCTGTATTACAAACACAGGCAAACAAACACACACGCAACACCACCACAATGATCTGATTCATATTTTTTAAAGAGCCCCTGGCTGTCATGGGGAAAAGGGATGGTGGCTAGGAGTGGAGGCCAGTTCGAAGGCTAGTGTAGTCCAAATGTGTGAAGATGGAGAGAAATGAGGGGATCCGGGATGCACCGGGGAGGTGGAGTTGGGCGCCCAGCTGGCCACATTGCCCAGCCTTTCTTGCACTTAGCAGGGTCTATGTGACCAAGCTTTAGCTCATGGAACATGGGCAGAAGTGACATATGCCACTTCCAGGCCTGGCCCATAAAACCCTGCCCTACACGTGCTCCATCTCTTTCCCCCACCAGACGGCTGAATGCAGAGAACTAAAGTCTTTAGAAGAGAGGGAGCCCACAAGGTGGGAAAAACCTGGGGCTGAATGACACATTGCAAGGTTGTCCCCCAACCCCCAATCAGGAGCCCCAGTTTTGAGCTTCTGTTGTATTAAGTCGCTGACGTATGTTAAGCCCCTGAGGCCCAGCCTGCCGCCTAGGCCCTCCAGGTCCCAGAGGAGGACATACTTCCATATGGAAGCCGCTAGAAAGGAACTCAGTCCTGCCAATACCTTGATTTGAGCCCAGTGAGACCTGTGTAGCCCTCCACCCTACAGAACTAGAAGATAATACATTTGCCTTAAGCCACTAAGTTTGTAATAACTTATTGCAGTGGCAACAGGGAACTAATACAGTGGGTGTGAGGATTAAATGAACCAGTAGATGTGGAGCCGGAGAGCTGAGCTTGGCCCTGAGGATTTGTTTAGAAGTGTGAGCCACTGTTACAGATATCACAAGTGAGCAGACGCCCGGGCCTGTAGGGATGTCCAACCCAGTGCCTGTCCGACTCAGTTCCCAGGCAGAATTGGGCCCCAGTACCTGGTAGAGAGGGCCTGGACCCCTTCTTCTCCCGAGAAGCAGGATGAAGCTCAGTGGGCTGGAAGCAGCGTGCTGGTGCCACTACCTCAGCCTGATTTTTAGCAACAGCATCAGTAAGTTTAATATTCCGATTTCTGCTCAGACTTCAGAGGAGCAGAAACCTGGGCTGAAGTCTCAGAGTCGGAGTGAGTGGGGCTCCAAGGACCCACAGCCCAACAAGAGCCCGAAAAGAGTTTGTGGAGACAGTGGGATGTGGGGAATGGCCTGATCTTAGGGGAAGGGCAGGGCCCACTCAGGGGAGAGTTAATGAGGGCATGGTTGTGGACACAGCTGGAGTCAATAAGACCTGAGTTTGAATTCCAGCTCCTCCACTTCCTAGCTGGGTGTATTAGTCTGTTGTCACACGACCATGAAGAACTACCTGAGACTGGGTAATTTATGAAGGAAAGAGGTTTCATTGACTCACAGTTCCACATGCCTGAGGAGGCCTCAGGAAACTTACAATCATGGCAGAGACCAAAGGGAAGCAAGCTATGTCTTACATAGCAGCGGGAGAGAGAGAGAGGAGGGGGACTGCCAAACACTTTTAAACCATCAGATCTCGTGAGAACTCACTCACCATCACGAGAACAGCATGGGGAAAACTGCCTCCATAAGTCAATCACTTCCTACCAAGTCCTTCCTTCAACACGCAGGGATTACAATTGGAGATGCAATTTGGGTGGAAACACAGAGCCAAACCATACCACTAGGTGTCCATAAACAGAACACTTGTACTTCCCTGTGCCTTGGTTTTCTCATCTGAGAAACGGGGGTAGTAATGACCCTCACCCCATAGGACCATGTAGAGGATTATAGAAGCTGTTTTGTGTCACTATCCAGGTGCCCCTTAGCCAGTAGCTGCTTCTCCTCCTTTTTCACAACTGTCTGTGTGCAGATGTCGAAAATTCTTTTTCCAGAAGCAGGGACAGGGCCAAACACTCTGCCTGTGCGAGGCATAATCACAGACATCACTCACAGGACTCTCACCTTACAGCCCAGGACACAGAGGCACTTAACCTGCCAAGAGATACTTAACCTGCCAAGTCCTCCCAGCCAGGCTGTGGCTGAGCCAGGATTGAACTCAGGGCTGTCCGGTTCCCCAGGTCATGATCCTTGTCAGGCCAGATGCTGCTGGCTTTATCCCCCTCCCATCGCCTCTCTGGCTCTCACTTGCCTTGTCTCCGGGATGGGGCCGAGGATCCGTGGCTGGCTTTGCTTGCCCACTGTTGTGAGGGCCCCATGATGCGCAGCTGAGAGGCGCTTGGTCAGGTGTGCCCACTGGGGGTGGATGTTACTGGGGCCATGGGGGAGCTGTCTGGCTCCGTCAGGCAGATGACTCTGCCCTGTGCTTGGCATTTTTGGTTCAGTGGCTCTATTTTAAGCCAGAGGAGGTTAGACTTTGTGTATGTGTGTTTCTCAGGTTGGAAAGCTGTCAGCTGAGCAGTCACCAAAAACAGCAACACCCGAGGCACCTCCCCCTTCAGCTTACCTCCCTCTGCCTCCTCTCCTCCTTCCTCCTTTGGAGACCTGAGGGAACCCAGTGATTTTCCTCTGTCCCATCGCCCCAGAGGCACACCCGCGTCCCTCAGCGGGGCCTTGGATTTTCTTCTTTCAGAGCTCCAAGGTTGTCAGCTTTGAGGATGACAAAAAAGGCAATCCCAGTCCCAGGCTGGGTGCTGGGCATGCTTCTAAGCACTTAGGAGTCTAGATCCTTCCAAAGCCTCTGTGAGCCAGGCAAGCCATTCCCATCTCAGGGAGAGGAAACTGATGCTCAGAAGGAGAGAGAGAGACTCACCTAAGGCCACACAGGGTAGGGCAGTGGCAAAGAAGAACATGGGTGTTAGAGTTAGCCAGACCTTGGTTGTGTCTTGGGCAAGTAACTTCACCTCTCTGAGCTTCAGTTTCCTTGTCTGTGACCTGGGGCTAGGAATATCTGCCTGACAGTGTTCCCGTGAGGATTAAATGGAGTGTATGAAGAACTGCTCAGCACAGAGTATGCCCAGCAAATGTTAGTACTGTCCTCCACCCAATTAATTTCTTCTTTGCCCTTTTCCACACTGCCTATTCCCCAGGGCTACTGGGATCTTAAGGGATTGATTTCTAATAGTTAGACTATAGCCCAGTAATTTTCCAGAAAGCCAGAAGATCTGGCACGTTCCCTAATAACATCTCTCTCTTGTCTCTCTCCTGAAAGAATGGATTATTTTAACCTCAGGGAACAGTAGGTGCCAGCTCCTTAGAGGTGGCCGCTGTGGCTTTTCTGTAGCCTGACTGTCATTTAGGGATCTGGGTTACAAGAAATTAAAAGCTGTCTCTTGCTAATTTAAGCAACGTTACTGGTAGGAGTTTGGGGTCTCTCATAATTTTCTGGGCACTGAAAGACAAAACATACGGTTTGGGGGACCCAGAGAGATGGAATCTTGAGTATCACCAGAAAAACACATAGCCACACCCAGTGGGGGAAACCACTGCTCCCAGGCCGATGAGGATATTATTTGGGGGACAAATGACAATTGTCTGAACAAGACTCTGTCTCTAACGGGTTTTAGGCAGGGCTGCTCAGAGAGGTCCTAACATGTGTTTGTGACCATTTCCTTGGAGCCACTGAGAGTTTGTTCTTCAGCCTCATGAGGATCCATATCTCTGAGTTAATGGAGTTATTAAAACCCTTACGCTGGGCTGAGTGTGGTGGCTCATGCCTGTAATCCCAGCACTTTGAGAGGCTGAGGTGGGTAGATCACTTGAACCCAGGAATTCAAGACCAGCTTGGGTCACATGACGAAACCTTGTCTCTACAAAAAATACAAAAAAATTAGCTGGCATGGTGGTGCACACCTATAGTCCCAGCTACTCGGGAGGCTGAGGTGGGAGGATTACTTGAGCCTGGGAGGTCGAGGCTTCAGTGAGCCGTGATCACATCACCTGAGCCTGGGGAGGTCGGTCCATCAGCCACTGCACT
Source organism: Homo sapiens (assembly GCF_000001405.40). NCBI lineage: Eukaryota > Metazoa > Chordata > Mammalia > Primates > Hominidae > Homo > Homo sapiens. Next base: position 44,741,043 of record NC_000020.11, on the reverse strand, counting down.
TCAGCCTGGGTGACAGCGTGAGACCCTGCCTCAACAAACAGAAACAAAACAAAAAAACCTTTACTGTGGTTTGTTTTAGATTTGAAAATCTAAGTGATAGGAGTATAGAGGTTTGCTAAACCATTCTCTCTACTTTCATGTATATTTGAGAATTTTCACAATAAAACACTTTTTTTTTTTTTTTTGAGATGGAGTTTTGTTCTTGTTGCCCAGGCTGGAGTGCAATGGCACGATCTCGGCTCACTGTAACCCCAGCCTCCTGGATTCAAGCGATTCTCCTGCCTCAGCCTCCCGAGTAGCTGGGACTACAGGCACACACCACCATGCACAGCTAATTTTTTTTGTATTGTGAGTAGAGATGGGGTTTCACCATGTTGGCCAGGCTGATCTCAAACACCTGACTTCAGGTGATCCACCCTCCTTGGCCTCCCAAAGTGCTGGGATTACAGGTGTGAGCCACTGTGCCTGGCCAATAAAACACTTTTTAAAAGAACATTTTCTCTCTGTCCATCCCACCCTATTTTTTCCCCTGCTGTTTATTTGGTCTGAGTGGAAGGTGACTCTGAGAGTTAGAGTAAACGAGAACATTGATTGAGTAGTTAGTATGATCCAAGCACAAAGCAGGCCTCACTTCATTTAATCCTCAGAACAACAGTAGGCATTGTTAATTCCACCCTATAGATGGGGAAATTGAGGCTCAGAAGTATGCAGAGATTTTTTTCAAAGTCACAATTCCAAGGAGAGGGGGAACCAGCTGCTGAGCTCTTGCTCTTGACAGCAGCCCTTCCCTGCCAGTGAGGAGCTTAGCATGGCAGTGTTACAGGTGGCAGTTGCTGCCATATGGCAATTTGAGCCCAGTTGCTACAGACAGAGGCCTGTCCCTTTTCCTCCTGCCAAGGACCACCCCTCCCTTTCCCAGTCAGCATAATATGTTGGAATCAAGAGCTGTCTGTCTGAATCAACGGGGGCAGGACTTGCATTTCACAAGACATCATGGGCTAGAAAGAGTCAAGGCAAAGAAAGAGCCTGAGACGTGAAGAAATACATGTGCTAATGTTAGTGTAACACAGAGCTTCCCTACCCAATGCCTTAGCCAGTAACCATATGTGGCCATTTATAGTTAAATTAATTAAAATTGAATTAAGTTGAAATTTCAAGCCAGGTGCCATGGTGTGAGCCTATTGTCCCAGATACTTGAGAGTCTGAGGCAGGAGGACTGCTTGATTCAAATACAGGCTGTCTGGTTCCAGAAACCTGCCCTTAACATTTATTCATAATCTTCGCTTTATATAGGCTAAGGAGGCTTTTGAGGGAAGGAAAGCTGGTATAATGTCCTGAAGAAAGTCCTGCAGGGGCTGGGCACAGTGGCTCATACCTGTAATTCCTCTCAAAGTGCTGGGATTGCAGGCATGAGCCACCGTCCCTGGCCAATTCTGGTTTCTTTAAAGTGGGGCAAGGACCTGCAGACATTTGTATGGCAACTGGAGTGCAGAATCCCTCTAGATTCTTGTGGGTTTTTTTTTTTCTAGATGTTTTGTAGTTGTTTCTTCCACACCTAATTTGACAGTATTCTTTTTAGCAACCAGTCTTCATTCAGTTTTCAGAAAAACAAATCTCTTCCTTTTGCACTCATATTTCATCAGTTTATGGAATATCTAATTCAGTTACATTGTTACAATATTAAGTGTGCTGTGTGCAAACTGATTTGGGAACAGACCCAGCAGACTGTTGGCAAGCATGCTCTTCTACGGCCAAGAGCCAAAGGCGACCAGGGGCCTAGGGAATGGCTTACTAGCCATAAGCATTCAGTATGCCTGGGGCAGTAGCGTTGCATTCAGAGAGCATGGAGAGCGCTGGTTAGCCTGGCAAGCTGGTTAAACAGATTAGTAAAGAGGACTTTGTGCACTAACTCTGGAAAAGACTCCATAGTGTGGAATTGTCTCTGGAAGACATGTGCCCCACTGGAGACTACATTTCCCAGCATCCTTGGCATCTAGGTGTGACCATGTGACTAGTCTCCACCAATGGAATGTGAGCAGGAGTGGTGAGTGTCACTTCCAGGCAGGGCCTCGAGGAAGTAGGTGAGCTTCTCCATCCCTGTCTGTCTAGATGCAGAGAACCCAAAGCCCTGCAGGATGGCAAAGCTGCAACATGGAAGTCACCCGGATCACCACGTAAAGGAAATCTCTCCAACCAGGAACAAACACCTGCCTTGCAATATTAGGTAAGAGATAAACTGCTATTGTGTTAAGCCACTAGATCTTGGGGGCTGTTCGCTATAGCAACTAGCATTACCCTCTTTAATACACTTCCCATATAAGGCTGTCATGAGGATTAAGTTAAATGACACACATGTAAGAGACTCTTAAATGGGACTTTTCCTATTGTCTCAGATTTACAGCTAAAGCCCCAAAGCCAAGGACGGACAAGAGGTGTCAAATACCACCATATCATGCCTGCAGGAACTTTTTTTTTTTTTTTTTTTTTTTTTTTTTGGAGACAGGGGTCTCACTCTGTCACCTACGCTGGAGTGCAATGGTGCGATCTTGGCTCTGCAACCTCTGCCTCCTGGGCTCAAGCTATCCTCCCACCTCAGCCCCCCAAGTAGCTGGGACTACAGGCACAAGCCATCATGCCTGGCTAATTTTTGTATTGTTTGTAGAGATGGGGTTTCGCCATGTTGCCCAGGCTGGTCTCGAACTCCTAAGCTCAAGCAATCCAACCTCCTCAGCCTCCCAAAGTGCTGGAATTACAGGCGTGAGTCACTGTGCCCACCCCCTGCAGTACTTTCTTCAGGACGTGGAAGAGGCCATTGCTAGGCTCTCTCTGGTCCTCCAAAGGCCAGAGCCCATATTGCAGTTCGGGACATGGCTGCTTTCCAAACTAGGATGGGATAATTTTTTAAATCCCTGGGCTGGGAGACAGGAGGCCTGGTTCTCAAATGGACTCTGTCCAAGACTTGCTAAATGACCATAGGAAAAACACTATTCTACATGGACCCCATTGTGGCCCACCTATTCATGGCAGAGGAGTAGGCAAGAGAAACACAGAAACACCCTCTAAGTGCTTTGCTGAGGGCCCATTAACCTCAGGAAACAGAGCCCTGAAGATGTTGTGAGTCCTCTTCTCTCAGGGCCATGGAACCTTCCCCCCACCTCCTCTCCCACTGCCAAGCTTGATCCCCAGGGCTCTGAGCCACACATTCCAAGGTAGAGCTTGAGCCACACGAGTCCCCATAACCTGCATTTGCACCCTTCTTTACCTGCACGGTGTGAATGTTCACCTAGAGCCAGGAAAACAGCACAAGAGGTACCCACCAATGAGGAGTGGGTGTCTGGGCTGTTTCCAGACCCCATGGCAACTACATTTCAGAGCTGGGCCTGTGTTCAAGGGACTCAGGCAAGTAGTTGAGATAATAATAATGTTAATGTTTGAAAAGATTGTAGCATAGTGGAATATTCTCCACCTTCCAGGTCCTTCCTAGGGCTTGGTGCATGTGCATATCTCCTTCCGGAATCCTGGTCAATACTAAGGTAAGATGAAAAAACTGCGGGTTTGGGATAAGCAGGAAAAAAGAAGCAAACTCTCTTAGTGGCGGAACTTACTGAAGTTAAGCTTCGAGTCTGTATTGGTCAGGACTCTTGGTTGCAAGTGACAGAATCCCAACTCTGTTAGTGTGGTTAAAGGTTAAGCTGCTGTAACAAAGATGCCCAGCAGTGCAGTGACTTAAAGAAGACAAAAGTTTACTTCTTTTTCAACTGCGCTGCCAAGTTGTCAAGGCAGCTATGATCCAGGGGGCCACTCAGAGACCCAGGTTTCTTCATAGTGCACCCCATCATTCCTTAGGACAGTGGTTTCCAGAGTGGTCCTTGGACTGGCAGCTTCAACAGCACCTGGGAACTTGTTAGAAATGTCAATTCTCCAGCCCTATCCTGGGCCTAGCGAATCAGGAACTTTAGGTGTGGGGCCCAGCCATCTGTGTCTTTACAGGCCCTCCGAGTGATTCTGCAAGTTTGAGAATCACTGCACTGCCCCAGGATACTATTCCTGTCTGCACAGTGGAAGCTGGGGCACAGAGGGTTGCAGCCAATGGGAAGGGGAAAGAACTCGAAGCAGGCACACAAACTTGTAAGGCTCAGGTCAGGAAGTGGCACATGTCACTTCCCTTCATATTTTATTGGTAAAGATTGAGTCACATGGCCACACCTAGCTGCAAAGGAGACTGGGAAATGTAGTCTAGGCATGTGCTCAGATAGAAGGGAAATCATCTGAGTAGGAGAAAGAGGCAGTGGAAAGCTCTGTGAACTCAGCATTCTGGTCACTGGGACAGTATAAAATTTGAGATCATTTGTTTCATGACTTTGAACCATGACTATCTGTCCCATGGTAAAATTCCTATACTAGAGAAAGAAGGTAGTTTATCCACATTCTTGTCTAACACAAACATTTGACATTTCTTTATTGTGAAATATTTAAGACATTGTGGCAAAGACTGATGGATGTTTGTGATAGCACATGAAATGTAGATAGACTACATTTCCCAGCCTCCCTTGCAGTTGGGTGTGACCATGTGACTGAGTTTTAACCAATGAGACAAGAGCAGAAGTTCTGTGTGCAACTTCCTGGCTCCGGCTCTCCATGAATTGATTGTCTGGGCTTCCTCCCTGACCTAGTCAGGCCTTACTGGATGCAGATGATTGGGAGAAGGAGAGAGGAAGGAGGAGCCCTAGACGAAGGATCCTGAGTCCCTGTATCACCATGTAGGGGAGCCCACCAAGCAGAAGCACCCATAGGGAATGTTACGTAACACACATAGACTTTGTGCTTTGGCTAGTAAGCATTTTGGCAGTGACGTTCCAATGGCGCTGGTGGTAGTGGAAGTGGATGCAGGTGATAAAGGGGTACATTGTCTGTACAGAATTTTAAAACAGTAATGAAAAGGTCTAAAAGTCAATCTGCTTTTTATTATCACCACATGCCAGCAATTCTAAACATTAGTGTTAAAATATTCCTTCTCACCAGGGAGAAAACTCCCACTGTTAGAAGCATTTGAACCAGAGCGATTCCATCTTGAATAGGGGCTGGGTAAAATAAGGCTGAGACCTGCTGGGCTTCATTCTCAGATGGTTAAGGCATTCTAAGTCACAGGATGAGATAGGACGTTGGCACAAGATACAAGTCGTAAAGACCTTGCTGATAAAACAGGTTGCAATAAAGAAGCCGGCTAAAACCCACCAAAATCAAAATGGCCTCGAGAGTGACCGCTGGTCGTCCTCACTGCTAGACTCTCACCAGCGCCATGAGAGTTTACAAATGCCATGGCAACGTCAGGAAGTTACCCTATATGGTCTAAAAAGGGGAGGCATTAATAATCTATCCCTTGTTGAGCATATCATCAAGAAATAACCATAAAAATAGGCAACCAGCAGCCCTCGGGGCTGCTCTGTCTATGGAGCATTATTCCTTTGCTTTCTTAATAAATTCACTTTCACTTTATGGACTCGCCTTGAGTTCTTTCTTACGCGAGTTCCAAGATCCAGATCCCTCTCTTGGGGTCTGGACTGGGACCCCCTTCCTGTAACACTACCACCTCCCCTGGTCCCTTGGTATGCCACTGGATTTCGGGTTTATTTATTACTGGGATCTGGTTTACCCTAGCTAATAAAGACAGGCATAAAGGTATAAATAGCAATGACGAACATCCATATGTACAACATGTTTTTTAAGGAAAAAAACATTACAAATATGACTGTTGACATGAACATTTAAAATAAATTTAGATTTATTCTGGCAACTGCAGTCTGATACTTAAGCAATCTTCCTGACGTGGGGAAAAGACTCAGGGAGACTTTGCATTCCACAGATGCCACATCAGCCATCTGGAGTAGGCAGCGCAGCACCAGTTTCTGCCACCAGGTTCTGATTTAGCCGACTTCTTGATTGCAACCTGTCTTACCACAAGGTCTTTATGATCTGTATCTTGTGCTGACCTCCTATCTCATCCTGTGACTTAGAATCCTGTGACTTAGAGTAGCCATTCTTTATTCCTTTACTTTCTTAATAAACTCACTTTCACTTTATGGACTCACCCTGAGTTATTTCTTGTGCGAGCTCCAAGAACCCTCTCTTGGGGTCTGGATTGAGACCCGATCCAGAACATAAAGATCATCAGCCATCTGGAGTAAGCGGTGATACCACCAGGTTCTCCAACTCTGGGTTTTAGTCAGATGGCCACAGAGCAGGGGTCAAGAGAGGAAGGCAGGGGAGTGGGACTGCAGTGAGATGTCTCAGAGACTGAGAGAGGCAGGGGGGTTAGTGGACCTGGAGGGTGTGTCCTTGAGGTGAGTGGTAGTGAGGGGGTTGAGAGGGTAGAGGGAGTCAAGTCAGTCACCTGTGTCCCACCCCTGCTGGCTTCAGGGCAGGGGAGAAGCTGCTGAAGAGGTTCACGTTAGGTTATTGGCCATCCAACAGAGACTGGATGAAAAGACCTGGCCCAGCGAAGACGTTAAAACCTTTTTCATGAAAGCCAGTGGTGAGGGGGCATTGGGCAGTGGAGGTGTGACCAGAAAGGGGTCCTGATCCAGACCCCAAGAGAGTGTTCTTGGATCTCCTGCAAGAAAGAATTTAAGGCAAGTCCACAAAGAGAAAGCAAGTTTATTAAGAAAGTAAAGGAATAAAGAATGGCTACTCCATAGACAGAAGAGCCCTCAGGGCTGCCGGTTGCCCATTTTTAAGGTTATTTCTTGATGACATGCTAAACAAGAGGTGGATTATTCATGTGTCCCCTTTTTAGACCATAGAGTGTAACTTCCTGACATTGGCATGGCATTTGTAAACTCTCATGGCGCTGGTAGGAGTGTGGCAGTGAGGACTACCAGAGGTCACTCTCGTCGCCATCTTGGTTTTGGTGGGTTTTGGCCAGCTTCTGCAGCCTGTTTTATCAACAAGGTCTTTATGATCTGTATCTTGTGCCGACCTCCCATCTCATCCTGTGACTTAGAATGCCTCATCGTCTGGCAATGCAGCCCAGTAGGACTCAGCCTTATTTTACCCAGCCCCTACTCAAAATGGAGTTGCTCTGGTCTAACGCCTCTGACAAAGGGGCCATAGATAAAGACCAGGCCAGTGTGATGGGGCCACTTGCAACCAAGTTTGTCAGCCAACCTGGAGGTGATGAAGAGGACTTGGCCCCTACTTCTGCCCTTGGGTTCTCCCTGATGTCATAATTCATGTCAGTGGAAGTGAAAAAAGATGAATTCTTGAGAATCAGATGGCTGAGAATGCACCTCAGACCCTAGACCACATTTTAGCCATGGAGAGGCAGGTGGCCTTTTCGTTAGCACCTGACACATGGTGGCCATTGGTTGCCTCCCCTTTCCTAGGCAGAAAGTCGAGGGGTACCTCCCAGGGAGGCTGTTGGAGTTGCCCCTTGAAGACAGCCTCCTCCTGGCAGGTGGCCTCTCGGCTGTTCATGCATGGAAATGCCACAAGGAGGCAGCAGCACATCACTGCTGTCCTCCCCCGAGCTGGAGCTGTGTCTGATTTTAACGAGATGGGAGGTTTGTTAAAATAGATTTCTGGGCCCTACTCCCAGAGCTTCTGTAGGTCTGGGATGGGGCATTTCTAACAAGTCTCCAGGTGATGGCTGCTGCCTCTGGTCAGGTACAATGGATCTATCTGTTAGAAGTCAGGATAGTGATTATCTTGTGGGTAGTGAAGAGAGGGAGACCAAGGTGGATTTTGGAGGTGCAGGCAATGCATGGTCCTGCTGTTGACCCAGGTACTGATTGCATGGGTGTGCTCATTTGTGAAAACTGGACTAACTGAACACTTTTATTTGTATACTTTTTGTTTGTTTGTTTGTTTTGTTTTTTCTGAGACAGGGTCTCACTCTTGTCACCCAGGCTAGAAGCAGTGATGCAATCTCGGCTCACTGCAACCTCCGCCTCCTGGGCTCAAGCCATCCTCCCACCTCAGCCTCCAGTGTAGCTTGGACTACGGGCATGTGCCACCATGCCCGGCTGATTTTTGTATTTTTTGTAGAGGGGGTTTCACTACGTTACCCAGGCTGGTCTCGAACTCCTGAGCTCACGCGATCCACCCGCCTCAGCCTCCCAAAGTACTGGGATTACAGGCATGAGCCACCGTGCCTGGCCTTGTATACTTTTTATACTTCATTAAAAATTCAAGAAAGAAGAAAAAGCCAAGGAAAAGAGAAACAAAATGGAAAGAGAGGAGGAGAGAGGATGAGAGAGAGAGAGACAGAAGAGAGAAACGGTGAGAGAGAGAAACATAGAGAGATAGAAGAAAGAGAGAGGAACAGAGAGAGAGGGAGAGAGGCTGGGCTAGCCGCTGGTTCAGCTGGTTCTGACTTCCCATCCTGGATTGTGAGTGGTGATTCTATTCTTCAAGCCTCAGCTTCTCATCTGTAAAATGCAGATCACAGCAACCACCTCATTTTCAATAAGAGAAGGTATAGAAAGTGTGAAAGGAAAATGAAAACCCCAATTCACTCTGCCAAAAGGAAAAAACTAAGCTGAAAGTTGAGTCATGCAACAAGCTGCCTTTCCTTTGTTCGTAAGCAGAGAGCCACAGATAAAAGGCCAGGTATCTCCACGAGTAGCCACTCTGTGTTCACCTTATCTTATGTAAAGTTACAGAGCGTGAGACGAATACATAATCGAATACATAATTTCCCTACCTGCTCTTTTTCTCTTGCAATATGTGGATTTCCAGACCCTCCTTCTTTCCCCTCCAGCCTGCTTTCCCCTTTAAATACTGAAGCCCTCAAAGTCATCTTTAGAGAAAGGCACAGACCTCTCTACTGGGCGTGTCCTTAACCTTGGAAAAATAAATGTCTAAACTGATTGAGACCTGTCTCAGACACTTTCTGGTTTACAAAAGCATCAAGAACACAGTAGCTGCTCAATAAACAGTGAGACTGTAAGCTGCTCCCCTTAAGTGTGTGGGCTCCCCTGGGCGCCGTCGTTGTTCCTGGATCCCAGAGCAGGGCGTGGGAGGGCCTGGCTGTCTGTGTTTGCTAGATTCATTTTAATTGTAACTAGTTAGGATGGGGAGGACCACGGGTGTCCTGGCAGGCAGGAGGACCTCCTGGGGCCTGTTGATGCCCTTCACTAGGGAAACTTCTTCCTTACGGCTCTCGGCTGGAGGAGGATGGTGTGCCAAGGGCCCCAGGAACAGGCCCTGTGCCAGGTCCTTCAGCCACAGCTGGTAGCGGAGTCCTCTCCAGAAAGCATTCTGCCCCGGGACACTCAGCTTGCCCCGCAGACCCAGGCCAGCACTGAGGAAGTGAGTGCAGAAGCTTCCCATGGAGGAATGGCCAGGCCTGGGCACCTGTGGCCGTGAGAGCTTCAGAGAGGGTAAACCTGGTTTGCCCCTGTGACTTTGCCCCCGACACGTTTCCTCTTCTCCACAAACAAGAGGATTCCCAGTCTTTGCCTTCACAACACTTGCCAAGAATTGCAGGCAGGATGATAATAATAGCTTCAGTTGAAGAACATGGAGGAATTACCTTCCTAATACTCACAATACCCCTGCGGAGTGGATACTCACTATTTTTTTTTTTTTTGGCAGAGTCTTGCTCTGTTGCCCAGACTGGAGTGCAGTGGCATGATCTTGGCTCACTGCAACCTCCACCTCCTGGGTTCAAGTGATTCTCATGCCTCAGCCTTCCAAGTAGCTGGGATTACAGGTGCGTGCCACCACGCCTGGCTAATTTTTGTATTTTTAGTAGAGATGGGGTTTCACCTTGTTGGCCAGGCTGGTCTCGAACTCCCGACTTCAGGTGATCCGCCCGCCTCGGCCTCCCAAAGTGCTGGGATTACAGGCGTGCTCGCCACTGCACACAGCCGGGTACTCACTTTATACAGCCATCCTGTGGGGTGGGCACTACTATTTATTCCCATTTTACAGATCAAAAAACTAAAGCGCCAAGAGTTAGGATAACGGTTGCTAAAATTTATTTTATTTTATTTTATTTTGTTGCAGACTACCACAATTACTACTTGAGACTGTCACTATGACAGTTATTACTGTTACTACTTGAGGCCGTCATTACAGCAGTTACTACTGTTACTGCCTGAGACTTCATTACAGGACTGAACGAGGGGACGAATGTAGAAATGAAAACTTAAGACAAAAGAAACTGTTGTAAAGGAAAGGGCCAGGGGAAGAAGAAGAGAACTCCCTGCTTCTAGTGAGCAAAGGCAGTCCCTGAGCTTCCACAGCCCTTCCTATTTATTGGGTAGAATGAGCAGGGAGGAGGAGGTAATGACTGGTTAGCTGGTTGATTGATCACAGATTCATATTGTTACTAACAGGTTTCAATTAGGCCTAATCACAAGAAACACTATGCTTGGAGCGTGACTGCCCTCAGCATTCCTTCTGGATGGCAGAAACAGTTTGTCAGTTTGCCAACATTCTGCATTTATGAGAAATAGTCTGCTGCTTACTCATATAGCTTCCAGTGGTATACTGAGTTGATCATGACCCTCAATCTTTCGGCCTCCAATATTTATTTATTTATTTATTTATTTATTTAATGAGACAGAGTCTTGCTCTGTCCACCAGGCTGGAGTGCAGTGGTGCGATCTCGGCTCACTACAACCTCTGTCTCCCCGGTTCAAGCAATTCTCGTGCCTCAGCCTCCTGAGTAGCTGGGATTACAGGTGTGTGCTATCACACCCAGTTAATTTTTGTATTTTTAGTAGAGACGGGGTTTTGATGTGTTGGCCAGGCTGGTCTCGAACTCCTGACCTCAAGTGATCTGCCCGTCTTGGCCTCCCAAAGTGCTGGGATTACAGGTGTGAGCCACCGCGCCCGGCCCTAAGTTTTTTTGTAAATCACGTAACACTTTCAACAATCCTCTGTGTTGAGTATTGCCATTATCCCCATTTTAAAGAAGGGGAAACTGAGGCACAAGGAGGTTAAGTACTTTGCCTAAGATGACAGCACTAGGAAATAGCAGAGCCAGGATGCACACCTGGGCAGGTTGGCTGAGCCCACTCACTCTACCACTGCACAGTGGCGGCTCAGCTGTGAGGTCATGGGCCTGAGTCCCAGCTCCACGACTCCAGGGTAACTTGTTAATCACTCTGGGTCTCAGTTTACTCATCTCTAAACAGGGAGTATTAGTGGCACTTTCCTTTAGGAATGTCCCAAGGATGACGTGCAGTGGTGTGGACAGAGTGCGTGGCAGAGAGAGCCTTATGTATGGGAGTCCCTCGGTGCACATTCCTCATTCTTGTCCGTGTTCTCCCTGTTTTGGGGGATGTTATCAGAATTTTGCCTGGAAATGTGTTTAGGGTTTATCCTTGCAGAACCAGACCCATGGAAATTCTCAATCTGTGAGAGACCAACAGCCATTCTCAAGAGTCAGATAAACTCAGGTTGGACTAGCATCCCACCCCAGCTGCAGACCAGCTTTTAGACAGCTCGCTTTCCCGGGTGTTTCCTTATCCCTGAGCTGGAGTTAGTTATATTTGCCATGCAGGGGCTCTGTGAAGGTTACATGGCTCAAACTCAGCATGTGATTCTCAAACTAAGGTTTCTGGAGGGGGTGATACCTGAGATAAGTGTTGGGGGCTGGGCAGCAGGGGCCTCTGTGACCAGCAACCGTACCTGGGGTGGGTAATTTACAAACACTGTGTCTGGGAATTGCCCTCATTCTCAGAACCCTCCTGCCCTTCCTTGTCCTGCATCTCCCAGGCTCCCCTCTCTTCCACCTTCCCAGCAGGTTCGACTCATGGGAGGCATAACTGGAAACTGGGGGATAGCAGCAGGCAGAAGCCAGGGCAGGTCTCCCCACCTCCATCTACTTTTTGTTAGGTCTGCGAGGCTGTGTCTCCTTAGCGGCTGCAGCTCCCAGCAGACAGCCTTGCCAGGTCCTCTTCCTCTGCCTGCTGGTGCCAGCTCTGGGCTCTGCCCTCCCTCTGCCCCTCCGCCCCGAGGGCTGGTCTGGTGTTGAATTTCTCCTCTTGCATCACACGGTCCCCTACTTGGCCTCTCAGATGGGTGACTAAGTCCTCTCATTAAATTCCTTTTGTTTTATTATGTTGAGTGAAAGACGTCATTCATTATAGAGTACCTGCTGTATGGTTGTATTAATGAGAAGTTCAAGAACACGAAAGCTCATCTATGGTGATAGAAATCAGAGCAGTGGTTGCCTTGGGGAGCAGGGGGATAACTGGAACAGAGCCAGAGGGAACTCCCTGAGATGATGAAAATGTTTTATACCTTGATTGAGGAGTTGGTTACATGAGCGTGTACGTTTATGAAGACTCGTTAAACCATATGCTTAAAATCTGTATATTTAACTATGGGTAAATTATACCTTAATAAAATTAGTTTAATAAGAAGAAATCCCTGTTTAAATACCAAGAGTGTTTTCTAATTTCCTGCTTGGATCCTAATGGAAATACAGTTTTACTTTTTAAACAAACACAGGTAGACCATGGAGGAAAATGTAAAATATATGTATTTGGTGTTGGGTGTTTTTTTTTGTTTTTGTTTTTTGTTTTGTTTTGTTTGTAAACAATAAAACATGAGACTTCGAACAATTTCACCCTTGGGTTAGTTGATTTCAGGCTATGCTCCCCAGTCCCTGGGAGGCAGCCTTCATTCTCCCTGCTCTTCTCTGGTCAAAAACGCTGGGAAGCACTGGTCTGTATAAAGTGCTAGTGCCTAGCACATAGCAGGCGCTCAAGCAATGTTAATTATTGGCTGGGCGCAGTAGCTCACGCCTGTAATCCCAGCACTTTGGGAGGCCGAGGCGGCGGGCGGATCACTTGAGGTCAGGAGTTCGAGACCAGCCTGACCATCATGGCTAAACCCCATCTCTACTAAAAATATATTTAAAAAAAAAAAAAAAGCCGAGCATGGTGGCATGCGCCTATAATCCCAGCTACTCAGGAGTCTTGAGGCAGGAGAATCACTTGAACCCGGGAGGCTGCAGTGAGTCGAGATCGTGCTATTGTACTCCAGCTCCAGCCTGGGCAACAAGAGCAAAACTCCATCTCAAAAAAATAAATAAATAAAAAAGTTAATTATTATTAATATGAATTGGGTTTCTTGGATCACTTGAAGGCCTGTCTTCTGGCTTTCTTTAAGACCATGTGATTTCACCTTGTGAGGTTCACAGAGAACTCTGCCCCTGAATTCTGCCCCGGATAATGGGAGGGCTTTCTCAGAAAACACAGGCCTGACACACAAGATCACGCATAGGCTTGTATTCAGGAACAATTTTACAAACTCCAGAAAAGGCAGCAGGAGATCCAGAATCTCTGTGTGCCTTCTCTTCATCCTACCCCCAGAAAAATGGCCAGTCCAGCCCAGCACCTGCTGCAGCCTCAATATTAAGGGACTGCTTGTCCCATCTCTTGCCCAGGGGAAGTCGGAGAGAAAGCTCGCCCGTGTGCATGTTTGATATAGGCTGTGTGTGTAGGCAGGGAGTGGGCTAGAGGACCCTGGACACCTTGGCCAGCCTCCTAGGCAGTGAGTTAGAGGAAAGGGGACTAGGTCTTGCACCTCTGCCATACCTCGGGATCCAGACAGACCAGGCAGCGTGTTAATATTGGTGTTCTGCATGGTGGACCCAAGCTAAAGTGTTGCCTGCAGCCAAGGGCCTGGGCACGGACCATCTTCCATCAGCCCAGGGCCCAGGCACAGGGCCACCAGCTGGGGATGGTGGACACCGTGTCCCCATTCCCAGCCCGGCTCTAGAAGGCACTGTTTTGTGGACTGCGACCCCTGGAGGGTGGGCAGGGCCTGGACAGGCACAGGCGGCGCTGGGTCTCCAGTCGGCAGAAGCGGTTCTGGTTGGACACCCGGGTGGCCATGCCCAGCCCACAGGTGGTCGAGCAGGGTCCCCAGGCCGTGCTCCATTCTGGGCAGGGGACACCAGGGGGCAGGGAAGAGACAAGGCCAGAAAACTGGGGTCCTAGGGGGGAAAGAACAAGAGTTAGCACTGAGCAGCCAGGGCTCAGCAGCTCAATCAACCCACCTGCCAGCGGCCACGGCAATCTTGGTCAAATGGCTCAGCCTCTCTGCATCTCAGTTTCTTGTTATGTAAATTTCTTAACAGTGGATGGCATTGAATAAAATAATGGGCATGAAGTGCCTAGCACAGTACCTGGTACTTGTAAGATTTCCATAAATATTAGTTATTTGGCAACCAGAGTGTGTTGGTCACGATGGTCCCTCAGTGAACCATGGTTTTCTCGTCTCTTTGGATAAACAGCATTTTACAGGCAGGGGGTGCCCAGCCTGTGTGGAGTGGTGCTTTGGCCCAGTGGCAAGGATGCTAAAGATTCCAGGATTCTTGTGCCAGGAACAAGATGGCAGGTTCACCATGGTCTAGCTTTTTCTCTGCTCCAAGTCTCCCTCTGTGAGTATTTTGGTGTCCTTCCTTCTAGTCTTACACTAGAAGTCCTCAACTAGGGTAATTTTGCCTCCCAGGAAAGGTTTGGCAATATCTGGAGACAGTTTTGGTGATCACAACTGGGGGGATGCTACTGGTATCTAGTGAGTAGAAGTCAGGAATGCTGCTAAGCACCCTGCAGTGCACAGGAAAACCCCCCCAACAAATAATTACTTGCCCCAATTGTCACTAGTGCTGACGTTGAGAAACCCTGATTTCTACCCACATGTGTGTGCTGTGTATGCATGTGTATGTGTAGATATACCTGTATACGTGCATAGGGACACACTTAGTTGAGATCGAGTTGGAAATACACCTTCTTATCCTGCTTTTATCCATAAGGTGAACTCACTGGTGTTTTCCTATGTATTTAAATGGATATATCATATTCCATCACAGGGATAATAACGGCTACCTCTGATATAGTACCATGTGCCAGGCACTGCTACAGCTGCTTAACTTGAACAAACTCAAGTAGTTCTCACAACGCTATGAAGTGGATGCTCTTATTGTCCCCATTTTACAGCTGGAGAAACTGAGACACAGAGAAGTTAAGCAACTTTCTCAGAGTCACACAGCAAAAAGGGGATGGCGGGGCTGTTGCAGATGCCGTGCACCTGACCCATAACACGTGACTACCTCTTGTGGGTGGCAGCAGCATTTATGAAATCAATCCTCCTCTTTTCAGTTGCCTTTTTTAGAAAGTCACATTCATGTGATAATTTTCAAAAAGCAACACAGCAACAACAAAAATCTCTAAAATTGAAGATTTATAGTGGGACGGTGGGAGGTAACTGTCTTTTCTCCATCTCTAGCCCACCCCCGGCCCACATTCCAGAGCAGCCACTTTGCCTCGTTCAGTTTTGAGTTCCTTTTTTAGTAAGCCCAAATAATAATAAATTACTAAATATATTAATATGTATCAATATATTATAAATACGATAATATTATATATTCTAAGAGCTTAGCTCTATTATATCTCTGAAATGTGAGAATTTGGTTCACATACCCTAACCCACCTTTCCTCTCCCGGCTCTGTCACCCAGTTTTTATTTTTAATTATTTATGGTTTTAAATTACACATCTCAAAGGCAGTGGCTTTTTGTTTATTGGTTTTAAAGAGGGAGGCCTGGTGACCCTCCACTCCTCTTTCTTTTTTCCTCTTTTTGAGATGAAGTTTCGTGCTTGTCGGCCAGGCTGGAGTGCAGTGGTGTGATCTGGGCTCACTGCAACCTCTGCCTCCCGGGTTCAAGCGATTCTCCTGCCTCAGCCTCCCAAGTAGCTGGGACTACAGATGCCCGCCACCATGCTAGGCTAATTTTTGAATTTTTAGTAGAGACGGGGTTTTCCTATGTCAGCCAGGCTGGTTTCGAATTCCTAACCTCAGGTGATCCGCCCGTCTTGGCCTCCCAACGTACTGGGATTACAAGGGTGAACCACAGCGCCCGGCCCTCCACTCCTCTTTCTTATCTCCCTCCTCAGCCTCCGCCCCTCCCAGCTTCTGATGTGTCCCTGGGTCCTGGTACCCAGGAAGCCGCCCCCCACCCCACCCCCTAGGTGGCCCTTGGCGCCCCCAGGCAGTCCTGCCCTGACCTGGACCACCGCTGCGCTCACCTTGGGCTGGAAGGGGCTGGGTCCCCAGTCCCCCTCCTTGGCCGCACACCCACTCAGGGCAGCACTTGCCCAGGACCTCGACCCTCCTGGGGTGGGGGCAGTCCCAGCTGGGCAGCCGCACATCCTCGCTGCACAGCGGCACGCAGGTGAAGCCGCCGTCCTCGCAGCGGCAGCGGATGCTGCAGTGGGGCTGGAAGGTCTCCCCTTCCCGATACAGGCGGCCGTTCACCTCACAGCTGCTGTCGTCCTCTGCCACTGCGGAGGAAAAACCGCACCCCCATCGGTGACCCGCAAAGCGGCACAGCCTTCTCTGCAGAGCTGCCCAGATCCCGCTGCCTGAGGCAGCTGCCTCACAGTAGCTGGGCCCTGCCCAGGGCTCCAGCCCAGGATATGCACCTCTCCCCAGCCCTCCACCAGCCTGCTGGGGCACCCTGGATCCCGGCACAGGGATTGCAAGAAGACAGGCCTGGATTGACCCCCCAAACTCTGCCCTTTCTTAGCTGTGAACCTGGGCCAAGTGATTTCACTTCTTCTTGCCTCAGTTTCCACATTTGCAAGCTGGGATATAATGGTACTTATTTTCCAGGGTGGTAGAGACTACTCGGAATGATAGGCGTAATGATCACAACATAAAAGAGACCTTCCATAGGTCCTAGCTACTCTGTTATTATCATTAGTATAGTTACTATATATTAATAAAGTTTAAGTATTCTATACACGCTGAGATTTCATGCAACAAAGTCGTTGTCCACTTGTGCTGTCATCACTGTCAGGTCAGGGCTTAACTTGCTGGCTGTGTGTCTTTGAGTAAGTTACTTAACTTCTCTGAGTGGCCTGAACTACAGCAATGATGAGCTCAGTAATCGTAACTTCAGGTTCCATGGGATGACATGTCCGTACCCTCTAGCACACAGTGCTAGGCATGGCCTAGGTGCTCAGGGAACACTCTTTCAATGAAGCCCTCAAGATATGGGTGTTATTGCCACTTCCTCCACTGGACATGAACTCCTTGAGGGCTGGGGCGGCCAGTGTGCGTCTCTGCACCCTCCGGTGGGCTCAGAGCCTAGGTGCGACACACAGTACTGTAGGAATGCCCCTTCAGTGAATAGCTGGCATAAGCCTTGGCACATGAGAGACCCTGATAAAATAGCCCTACTCCTTATCATTCCAGAGATATTTACTGTTTCCCGCCTGTGTGCCAACCACTGTGCTCCCAGACAGAAAGAGGACAGTTCCTGCCTTGAGGGACTCATGGGCTTGGGAAAGGGGGACGGGTGTGAGGGCATCATCTCCAAGACAGAATGAAGTAAGAGCGCTGGTGAAGCGTGTGAGCTGCTCAGGAAGTGCAGACGGGAAACAGCGTGTGTGTGAGACCTGGGTGGCCACTGAGCTACGTCTGGGGAAAGGACTCATTAGCAAACAAGTTCTCCCAGATCTTCTGAGAAAACCTTCCAGTAGGTCTGTACACACACAGGGGTTTCAGAACCAAAACCACACATACTTAGGTTCCAACTCTGGCTCCCACTTGTGGGGCCTGGGGCAAGTTATTTTGCCTCTCTGAGCCTTGGTACCCGGCTCACAGGGCTGCTGGGGGATTAGATGAGCTAGGGGACTTACAGCATTTTGCCCCAAGCCTGGCACATAGCAGATGCTCAATAAACAGGAGAGGGTTATGCTTCCACGTAGCATCTGCTATGTGCCAGGCTTGGGGCAAAATGCTGTAAGTCCCCTAGCTCATCTAATCCTCCAGCAGGGAAGGCCTTGCTGAGAAATAATGCTGGTAGAGGGAACAGCCAGTGCAAAGGCCCTGAGGCACGAGTGTGCCTGGGGTATTTAAGGAACAGCAAGGGGCCAATGTGGCTGGAGCAGAGAGCAGGAGGAGAGGAGGTCAGAGAGGAAGCATGAACAGGATCCTGTTGGGGCCTTGTAGGCCACTGTGGGGACTTTGGCTTTTCCTCTGAGATGGGAAGCCACCAGAAGGCTTGGGGCAGAGGAGGGAGGTGATCTGGCTTATGACTTCCCAGGAGCTCTCTGACTGCTGTGTTGTGAATAGACCAGGGGCAACGACAGAAGGAGGGAGATGATTATGGGGCTACTGCAAAATCCAGGCCAATGATGACGGGGCTCAGACCAGAAGGGATGGGAGTGTCGGATGCTGGAAATACACGATGAATTTGCTGGTGGGTGGTATGTGGGAGGTGAGAAAAGAGAGATGTCTAGACCGGCTGTGGTGGCTCATACCTATAATCCCAGCACTTAGGGAGGCCGAGGCGGGTGGATCACTTGAGGTCAGGAGTTCCAGACCAGCCTGGCCAACATGGTGAAACCCCGTCTCTACTGAAATACTAAAATACAAAAATTAGCGAGGCATGGTGGTATGTGTCTGTAATCCCAGCTACTTGGGAGGCTGAGGCGTGAGAATCGCTTGAACGCAAGAGATGGGGTTACAGTGAGCTGAGATCCTGCCACTGCACACCAGCCTGGGTGAAAGAGTGAGACTCCATCTCAAAAAAAAAAAAAAAAAAAAGAGAGAGAGATAGAGAGACCTCTAGAACGACTCCCAGGTCTTGAGTCTGAGCCATGAGAAGGATGGAGGTGCTCTCAACAGACTGGGGAGGCCGTTCTGGGGGGCGGAAGATCAGGATCCCGGCATTGGATGCGCTGTTATCACGATGGTGAATCTGCAGCACATCTCACAGCTCAGAGTTGGCCCTTAGAGAAGAGCGTTCAACGAGTAAGTGATGGGAGAGGTTTTTGGCAGTATGTTCCCTGCAAAGCCCTAGACTGAGCCTTTGTGATGTCTTAGCTGGACTCTTTGGGGTTCACCAGTTCCCGGCCTCTAAATTCAGTTTAAATCATTAAACACTGTTGAGCACCCATCATGTTGACAGACCAAGGTGGGAAGTTGCAGGAAGGACCAGGGACCCAAGTACGCCTTTGGCCTGCAGGTGTTTGAAGTCTGAATTAAGATGGAATAAGAAAAATCCCTTAATACAGTTATTAACAATCACAGCCTATGTACTAATCAACTGCTGCATGTCAGGCAGTTGAGCAATGGAGCTTGTGGAGCCAGCTCCCTGAGTTCAAATCTCAGCTCTGCCGCTTATGAGCTGTGTGACCTTGGGCAAGTTGCTTAGCCTCTCTGTACCCCTTTTTTCCATTTATAAGAGAAGGGTACCTACCTCATGTGGTTGTGAGATTAAATGAGTTTATATTTGTGAAACCCTCAGTGTCTTACACGTGGTAAGGGCTGTGCAAGTGTAAAATAAACTCTGTGGGTGCTGTTTACACGTGTCACAGCAAATGTAAATAACAGCTTTGTAAGCGAAGTGTTACTTATCTCAATTGTTCTTCAGATACATTTTCATAAGCAATCATCCCTCAGTCAGTGTAACGAATCACCCTCCTTATCCTTACAGTACTTGTAAATAAAGCATTTCACATGGAGTTATTACTTTTTTTTTTTTTTTTTTTTTTTTTTGGAGATAGGGTTTGGTCTGTTGCCCGGGCTGGAATGTAGTGGCGCAACCATGGCTCACTGCAGCCTCAAACACCCAGGCTCAAGCGAGCCTCTCACCTCAGCCTCTCAAGTAGCTGGGACCACAGGCATGTGCCACCACACCCGGCTAATTTTTTTTTTTTTTTTTTGATAGAGAGAGGATCTTACTATGTTGCCAAGGCTGGACTAGAACTCCTGGGCTCAAGTGGTCGTCCCGCCTCAGTCTCCCAAACTGATAGGATTATAGGCATGAGTCACTGTGCCTGGCCTGTTGTTTTTTAACAAGGCTTTTCCTACAGATGAATTCATTATCAATGATTCATGAGCTTCTCTCTCTCTCTCTTTCGTTCTTATTTTTATAAAAGTGTGACATGCACATAGATGAAAGAGGCAAATTGTTCTACAAGGCTTATTATTAAAAAAGAAAAAAGAAGAACAATCTCTTGCCTCTTTGCATTTCTCTAAAGTGATGGTTCCCAACTGGAGATTTTGCCCCCTGGGGAAATTTGGCACTGTCTGAAGACAGACTGTCATGACTTGGGGGATGGGGAGTGCTGCTGGCATACAGTGGGTGGAGTTCGGGGATGCTGCTAGAAGTCTTACCATGCACAGGACAGCCCTCCCACAACAACTAATTCTCTGGCACCCAGTCACTGGAGCCAGCTTGCAAAGCCCTGCCCCGAAGCATCAGAGAATACCAAGGCCTAGAAGAGTGGTGAGGAATGTCACATGCTCGGGTGACTGCTGAATACATGGCAAACCCAGGATCCCAGCAGTGCTCCGAGGGCCCCCACTATGGGAGAAGACAGAATAAACTGTTCCTTAGAGCCCGTTGGATCTGGTCCCGTGCCGTGTGACATGAAGCATGTCCCTTAATGCTGGTGAACCTGTTTCCTCATTCATAAAATAGGTCTGAAAGTACTTCCCATCATAGGGTTATTGTGAGGATGATGTGACTTGTGTAGTAAGTGCTTAGCACAGTTCTGGACACATATTATGCCCTAAAAGGTTGCACTTTTATTTTCCCCAAAGTGTTGTAAGGATCCTGAGAAGGGAGTGGTGGCATCTGGTTTGAAGAATCTGGGGGGGCTTCTCAGGGGAGAAGCTGTTTGAACTTGGCTTTGAAAGTTGGCAATGATTTGGACAGGTAGGGATGGGGAAAGGTTATTGGGGTAGTGAGATGGTTTAAGCAGAGGCCAAGAAGGGAGAGGAGGGAGTGGGGAGTGGGCTTTGGGACACCAAGTTCAGCTGGAATGGATGGGATACCTGAAGTGAGCACCCAAGGAGGTAGAGAGAGGAGGGCTGCACTTTGATCCAGGACACCACGGCCTTGACCTCCCGCTCACACCCGCCCCCACTCAGTCCTGCAAACCTGCTTACAGAGGCACAGGGCCCCCCGGCCACCGGGTCCTGCCCCGGGCTGGCAGACCAGGCCCTGGCTGGCGTCGCAGACGTGGAGTTGGTCGCAGGGCTCCCCCAGCCGCCGTGCACATACCCGGCAGCAGCCACAGCCATCCAGCACCAGGGGTACTCCCAGCGGGCATCGGGGAGGTGGCCAGGGGCAGGTACATGGTGTCGGGCACAGCTGGGTACGCACCTGAAGAGACAGAGACCTCACTCAGCCACGGGCTTTCGAGGTGGGCAGTGAGACCCTCACAACCAGCCACTTCTCTGCCAGGCTGGGTAGTGTGGTGTCCACACCTTAGCCTCAGAGCCATGCAGACCTGGCCTCAAAGGCCAGTAGTCCCACAACATGCCCTAAGAGGCAGTATGGCATGTAGTTATGGGCAAGGACTCTGGACTAGAGTTCCAGTTCTTTATTTTTTATTTTTATTTTTGGAGTCAGAGTCTGGCTCTGTTGCCCAGGCTGGAGTGCAGTGGCGCGATCCCAGCCTCACTTCAACCTCCACCTCCTGGGTTCAAGCGACTCTCGTGCCTCAGCCTCCCGAGTAGCTGGGACTACAGGCGCCCACCACCATGCCTGGCAATTTTTGTATTTTTAATAGAGATGGGGTTTCACCATGTTACCCAGGCTGGTCTTGAAATCCTGAGCTCAGGCAATCCGCCCGCCTCGGCCTCCCAAAGTGCTGGGATTATAGGCATGAGCCACTGCACCTGGCTAGACTTCCAGTTCTAATTCTGCCCCTTATTAGCTGAGTGACCTTGAGGAAGTTACTTAAGCATTCTGAGCCTCAGTTTCCTCAAAGTATCTAACTCAGAGGATTGCTCTGAGGAGTACATGAAATGCTGCACAGCAAACCCTCAGCACAGGGCCTGGCATGCAGTAGGCGCTCACTGCACTTAGCTTTGATGATCCTTGTTGTTAATGGTGGCAGAGGGCTCAGCCCCAGCCCTCTGGGAGCTTACAGAAAGGCAAAAGCAACAAGTCAAGGATGAAAATGGTAGGGTCTGGTACATTTTCCAGCATACGGATACTTATCTTAGGACTGAATAAATTGAACCATATCATGGATGTTTTTGGCCTTTCGATCCATTCAGCATGTGTCCCAGCTCTGGAGGTACATCACATCAGCCAGGAGACTTGGGAAAATACAGACCCCCAACCCACTCTGGGGCTTACAAAATCAGAAGTCCCAGAGTCAGGGACCTGGAATCTTTATTTTTAATAAGCTGTCCAGTGGCTTCTGAAGCTCAGCTAGGTTTTCAGCACCTCTGCCCCAGTCTAACCTCCTCCCCCTGCCAGGTACGGATGGGGAAACTGAGCTCCAGAGAGGGACAGGAACTTAGCACACGTCAGTGTGTTCGATTCAGGGCTGGGAGCGTCCCCGGTCCTGCTTCCCAAGTGAGGACTCAGGGACACGGGATGGGGGTAGACTGTGTCCGTAAGCCAGGGACCCACTCCCCAGAGACAGGATCAGGGTATCAGCCCATGTGGCCTGCCTGACCCTCGCCACCCACATCAGAGAAACAACCAAAGCATACAGCAGGTGCCGTGAGCTCCCTGTCTGCCCATTTGAAGGTGGGGACCAAGAAGGAAGTATAATTCAAGATGCTTCCAGTGGCCCCATCTTTGGGGGGCCAAGTTTGAGTTTAGTAGGATCCTTAGGGGATGAGGGTTTCATCTAGAGGAATGGAGGCTTGCAGTTTATAATGATGGAATTAATGACCTCATATCTCCTGTGCAGCCCCAAAGCAGGCAATGACCCCTTTGCTCTGCCTCACCCTCTGCCCCGCCCAGTGCCCCCACTACCCACAATCCTGCAAACCTGCTTTCAGTTCCCGGCAACTCCCACGCCGGCCACTAGGAGCCATTGCAAACTGGCTGACCAGCCTCTGGTGGGGGCCACAAAGTAGGAGGCGATCACAGCCCCCACTGAGACAGCACTGAGTAGCAGATGGACACACGGAGCTAGGTGTCTGGCTGCCTCACAAGGGAGTGGATCCCATCGCTGCAGGCTGTTCAGATTCTAGAGACGATGGCCTAGCCTCGCCCCTCAAGGTGTGGTCTGAACTAGCAGCAGCAGCGTCATCTAGGAGCTTGTCAGAGAGGCAGCATCTGGAGCCCCTCTATAAATCCGAAGCTGAATTTTTATATAATAAATCCGAATCTGCATTTTCTTTTCTTTTTCTTTCTTTTTTTTTTTTTTCTTTTTTGAGATGGAGTCTTGCTCTGTCACCTAGGCTGGAGTGCAGTGGCACGATCTCGACTCACTGCAACCTTCGCCTCCCAGGTTCAAGCAATTCTTGGGAGGCCTCAGCCTCCCAAGTAGCTAGGATTACAGGTGCATGCCACCATGCCCAGCTAATTTTTTGTATTTTTAGTAGAGACGGGGTTTCACCATGCTGGCCAGGCTGGTCTCAAACTCCTGACCTCATGATCCACCCACCTCGGCCTCCCAAAGTGCTGGGATTACAGGCATGAGCCACCACGCCCAGCCCGAATCTGCATTTTCATAAATCCACAGGTGATTCACATAGAAACGGTCTAGGCTTTTGGGTTCCCTTCTAAGTCAGAGGTTCAGCTCCCTTGGCTTGTGGGCAATGGAGGGAGGACTGTCAGAAATGACTCTCAGGTCCCTCCCACCTGAAAACAGGAGTGCCAGGAAATAGACCAGCAGCTGTGCACCTTGGCTCCCACTGTGGACCCCTCTACTGGCCATGCTTGTCAGGGGGCAGGACTCTGTAGGCCCCGATACCCAGGAGAGGCTATTAATGATATCAACTATTCTAGTGTACAATTATCTCATGTGATACCATATGTATGTCATGTGCCAAGTGCTGTTGTCTCATTTACCCCTCCAATGTGAGGTGCCATCATTATGCCCATTTTAAAGATGAGAAAACTGGAGCTCAAACCGTGTAGTAACACAGCCAGTAAGAGACAGAATCAGGATTGACATCCAAGTTCAAGTTGACATCCAAGGCCCAAACTCAAGTTGTCCCATTGTGCCTCAGTTTCCCCAGGGCCTTGCTGTGATATCTGGTGGTGGGGGGCAAGGCTCATGATATCTGGGGCAGGAGTACTGGGCATGGAGTTTTTTGGGCAAGAGTTGAGATTCAAGTTCTGCCAGTGACTTGCTACGTGACTGAACATGTGGACAAACGGCTTTGGAAGGTGGAGGTGAAGCTCAGTTTTCTCCTCTGTAAACTGGAGTAGAGACAACCTGTTTCTGAGTGATGATGGAGATTAAATGAGGTTCTGGCCAGTCCTTGATCAATGTGATTTTGCTTGTGTCCAGGTGTCTGCCTCCTGCCCCGGTCCACAGCCAGGAGCCCCGGAGCCAACGGCCAGCCTGGAAGACTTACAGTTCTCCCTCTGAGGGTTGCTGTGGCTTTCCATGTTGTGGTGACTAAGTCCCTGTGTTTCTGTGCAGTCCCTGCTTCCTGGGACCAGGGAAGAATGGTCCCGTAAGTCTCACCCTAATGGCAAGTCTAGGACAGCTTTACTTTGTTCTCGTATAATCCTGGGCCCCTTCTCCCTCCTAGAGCCCCAAGTCCCCTATTCCAACTACCCAAGCCACCCACACTGGCATCATGCCCTACCCATCCCCTTTGGAAGAACAAACAGCAGGACAGGATGCCAGCGTGGTTCTCAGGCTTCCCAGGCACGAAGACTTGGAGCCTGAGGGAGAGAAGCTCCTGCCCGTGCTCCTCAAAGGAGCGTGAAAATACAGTGAGATCGTGGCTTGTGGTGGGGCCGATTCCATGGCTCTGGGAACTCAGCATTTGCCGAGGGGATGACAAGGCTTAGCAGCTGTGGCCTTGGTCCAGTTTGGGCTTGGGGAGGCACAGACTGGAGTGCTTCTCCCCCTACATCCATGTCATTCTGGGCTCCACCATGGCTCTCCTCTATTGCTCTGACCTTTCTTTGCTGTGTGGCTTTGGGCAAGTTGCTTACCCTTTCTGAGCCTCACTTGACTGAAAACTGGGGTTGCAAGTTGCTTACCCTTTCTGAGCCTCACTTAACTGAAAATTCCTTATGGGATTGTTGTGCATGTTAGACAAGGTAGATGTCCCACAGGCTCTTTGGTGAATGTCCCATGCAGCATTCAGGGATAAGGCCATTACTCCACAGAGGTGTCTCCTGTTCCCCTCTAGCTAGGGCGGGCGGGTCACTCACTGCCTAAGAGTCCAACAGCATTGATGCCCTTGCAGAATGAACCTTCCAATCAGCTAGGCATCCATCCAAATGCTGGCTCAGAGTTAGGCCAAGCATGTCATGTCTTGAGTGCCCCCATTCATAATGAGGATACATTAAAGTCCTCTTCAATTTGCCTGGTAAGTTTGATGAATGATCATGAATGGTCTTCACAGAGGCCTCACAAACTGTATACCCTTCACCTGGGAAGATGCTGAGGCCCAGAGAAGGCAAGACACATATCTGAGGTCACACAGCAGGGCTGGCCGGAGGCAGCTCTGAGTTCCAGGGAGAGAAGCCCTGCTTAGGCATGGGGGCCAGACTGTGCCCAATGTGGGGCCCTGGAGGAATTCTGCCAAGGGGGTCCTTGGCTGCGATTTTACATCCCCACCCCCTCCACACCCAAATAGTCAGCAGTGCATTCCAGGGCCCGGGCCTCCTTACCTTTGAGAGGAGGCAGAGGAGGGAGAAGGCCAGGAGGTGGGTCTTCGGTGTGCCTCTCATGTCCCCTGCAGAGCCAGCTTTGAGCCTGGGAGGCGGACCTGTGAGTCTTTATGTTCCGGCAGCTGTGAGGTCACTCCCAGGCACACACAGGCACACGCACGAGTACACACGCGCGCGCGCGCGCGCGCTCACACACACACACACACACACACACACACACAAACACACTAGCTTTTTCATTCCTTGCTTCGCTTCCCATCCTCATGGCTCAAAGGATGAGCCCATTTACCTGAAGGTGAAACTGTGAAGGCCACCAAGGGGGTGCCTGTCCGTGTGTGTGTGTGTGTGTGTGTGCGCGTGTGTGTGTGTGAAAGCCTGAGCCAGTGCCAGCACCAAGAGCCTGTGACAGCTTGCAGAGGCCTCTCCAGCTCCTTCCAGCCCAAGAGGGTCCTAGCCCTGCTGTAGTTGTGAAGCCCTATTCCAGACCCCCTGTCCGAACCCCAGCGGGGCTGCAGATACCAGAAGCATTCAGTAAACAACCCCTTTGCAGAGCTGACCCAAGGTCTCCTAAGCTCCGTGGCCCTGACTCTGGGTAGCCGCGGCCCAGCCTGCGGTTTCTGGCAGGCAGATTGGCAGCCACCCAGAGGTGGGTGTGACCCAGAGCAAAACTTCCCTGGGCGGCCTGTTTGCTCTTGGCAATAAGGGGCCTCCCTTGGCCTGCCTCCCGGCTCTGGAAGGGGGCCCGTGGTGGGCGAGTCCGGGCAGGCTGGACCTACTATGTGCCAGCGCTTGCTGGGCACCGCTAGATGATGGGGTCAAGCCAAATCCATTTGGTTTCATTCGGCCGCCTCTGAGTTCGCCTCTGCAGGAGCTGGAGGCACAACACTGACCTGAGGACAAGGCCCAGAGAGGGAGAAAACAGAGGGAAAACAGGTGGAAGTTCAGGAATACCAGGCAAGGTCCCTTGCTCAGACCAAGAGTGAGGGACACTTTCTGATGGAGGTGCCATTTCAGAAAGCCAAGAAAAGAGAGGGTGAGAGAGGGCAGAATGTTCCAGGCCAAGGGAACAGTACGTACCAACGCCTAGATGTCGGACATAGCATGATAGCCTGCTTATTCTGGGAGCCAAAGCGCCTGGTATGAGTGGAGCCTTCTGTGCAACGGGAAATGGTGATGTCTGTGAAGGGTGAGACACACAAGTTCACATCACCAAGATTTGGGGACATCTACTATGTGCCAGCCATGGGGGCGGGGGACAGAAAGACATGGGCTTTGTTTGTAGAATTTGGCAAAGATAAAAGAGGTGATGTCAAGGGCTGTCTGGGGCCCCCATTACCTCCACCAGTAGTTGTCCAAACCTCAAAGTGATCTAGCTGGATAGCAGAGGTTCCAGAATGGGCGATTGGTGAGGAAGAAGTGTGACTTGATATAGTGGCAAGACGGGGATTGTGAGCATGGAGGAGATTCCCCACGGGTGCTGTCCCATCGGAAGAGGCAATGGAAACGGAAGGTGAAGATGAAAGTGTGGGATTTGATTATTTATGGCAGGAAGAGGTGGCCAGGGTGGAGATGGGGGTCTGGAAACTTGGAGGAAAAGAAACAGAAGGGATCTTTTAAATTTTGTTTTATTTTTTGGGATTCTTGTGGAAATGCTAATGTTTTAGTCAGAAGCATGCCTAGAATAATTTACATCCACAGTGGATCATTTTTAACACCCCTCTTCCTTCATAGTACAAAATTATTTTCAGTAATAATCATGAAACAAAACAAATATTTTTCATGTATGAATTAAAATTTGCACTTACCAAACAAAATCATTACCATTCACAGTTCACACTGTTTTACTCTTTTAAAAACTGTAAATACAAATCAAAACTCCAAGTAGTTTCGTAAAATGACAAAATTGAAATACCCTTATCGTCATCTTTCCCATCATTCTGCGTTCATAGTTGATTTCACTCTACTGTTTAAACACAGAAATACAGCTGGGCCGGTGGCTCACGTCTGTAATTTGGGAGGCCAAAGTGGGAGAACCACCTGAGATCAGGAGTTCAAGGCCAGCCTGGCCAACATGGTGAAACCCGTCCCTACTAAAAAAAAAAATACAAAAATTAGCCGGACGTGGTGGGTGCACACCTATAGTCCCAAGTACTCAGGAGGCTGAGGCAGGAGAATTGCTTGAACCCGGGAGGTGGAGGTGGCAGTGAACCGACATCTTGCCGCTGCACTCCAGCCTGGGCGACAGAGAGAGACTCTGTCACACACACAAAATAATAATAAAAATAAATGCAGAAATATGAATGCTGGACGGTGGAGACAGGAATGCATTCAAAGCAAGCTTGGAAGATTCCAGAGTTGTGA
Source organism: Homo sapiens (assembly GCF_000001405.40). Lineage (NCBI taxonomy): Eukaryota > Metazoa > Chordata > Mammalia > Primates > Hominidae > Homo > Homo sapiens. Next base: position 44,713,089 of record NC_000020.11, on the reverse strand, counting down.
GGAGCTTACTCTCAACTGATGTGTGTTCCTGAGACCACATGCTCTGGGGGCAACTATAGGATTCTTAAAGTTCTCCAAGTCAAGTTGACTTCCATGTAGAATATGTTTATTAAAGGATAAGAATAAAAATGTGCTGATTTGAAGCTTTACATATACATTATTAAACCCCAACAGTTACTGCACCAATTGTTAGAACTTAGATCAATAAAGGGTATTTTCAGGACAAAGTATTTTACCACTGAAATTATTTAGATCTGCCATTGCACAGTGATCATAAAAGCAGACTGACTTCTCATCAGTTTTATTTTATCTTTAAATTCTGTAGGCCCCCCACCCGTTATTGCCTGCATCCAGGAAAGGTCACTCCGACTTTCCTGTCCTCCCTAGGCCACTGATATTAATAAAAATAAAAGCAATTGTGTATAGCACCCAGCAAGATCCAGCCCTTGTGCTAAGCACTGTTTATAAAAAGCAGCATTTCTAATCCTCATGATCCACATCTCAATTGAAAAAAGTGAGGTTCAGAAAGGTTAAGTAACTTGCCTAAAGCTACACAGCTAGAAAACAGAGCCAGGTTTTCAGTGCGGGTTCATATGACTCCAACACCCAAGTTTCAGTTTTTGATGCTGTTTATTTCTGCTACTGTCCATAGAGCTCTCTGTGATAATGTTTTTTAAGTTGAGAGGTAATGTATATACAGAAAAGTGCTTAAAGTGCACTAATATGAAGTGTAGAGCTTGACAACTCTTTCTTTCTTTCTTTCTTTCTTTCTTTCTTTCTTTCTTTCTTTCTTTCTTTCTTTCTTTCTTTCTTTCCTTTCTTTCTTTCTTTTTTTTGAGACAGAGTCTCACTCTGTCTCCCAGGCTAGAGTGCAATGGCATGAACATGGCTCACTGCAGCCTCAGCCTCCTGGGTTCAAGGGATCCTCCCTCTTCAACCTTCTGAGTAGCTGGTGGCATGAGGCAGCATGTTTGGCTAATTTTGACTCTTGACATATGTATATACATGACTGTATATACCCATGTGATAATCACCCAGGTCAAGCTACACTTCCAGAAGTTTCCTTATGCCCCTTCCAAGACTCTACCCTCTGTCCTCCAGGTACCCGCTATTCTGACCTCTGTGGCCACTGATTAGTTGTTCCTGAAAGGAACAGTTTTAAGCCACTTCTATCTCTGAGGCAAGAAGGAAGACGGGAGAAATGAGGAGGTGTGAGGAAGAGAGTTGGAGGGAGACACGCTGGTCCCAGCCATGTCCATAGCAGAGCAAGGAGACCTTGACAATGAGGAGGTGAGGTGGGCCATGGGTGCCACGTATGGTGAAGAAGACAGGGCCATACGGGGCAGGGAGGTGGCAAGAACGAGGCAGAGTGCTATGCCCACCTAGGGCCCTCTGAGTCAGAGCATGGATTTTTCTTGGAACTTTTTCTGTCTGATAACTGAGGATGGGAAAGTGTGGGCAGTAGGGGCCCTGGGGCCTGGCCAGATCAGGAAGCAGGCGTCATCATCAAGGGTGTTTGGTGATGAAGTGTGAGGGATGGAGCTTGCACACACAGTTCAGCATGAGTGGGTGTGGCAGGAGCGGTGGGAGCTGCCACTTTGCTGATTGGTTTGCTGCGGTTCAGCCCTCCCTTCAAACTGTCCAATTTTGGCACCAGAGGGATATAAGCATCCAGGGAACCCATGAGTCTTTTGGCTGCAGCCGCAGCCCCCACACAAGGGCCCAGGGTGAGTGTGGCTGTCCTTTGCTTTCCCAGGAGGAAGCACAAGCTCAGAAGTCAACAGGTCCGAGCTTCAAATCCCGGCTCCCGCTACCGACTTACAGGGCTGGGACCAGGGTGAGGTGACAGAGGCATGTCGGGTATAACATTTAGGGAGGCTCTCATTCTCAGCTGCTGACCTTGCACTTGCACAACCCCAAGAGTGAGCACCTCATTCAGAATGAGGCACCCAGGTCACACAGGAGTTCATGGTAGGAACTCAGTCAATGTTGGTTGATGGCTAAATGACAATTTCCGTAAGACTGTGCTGAGATCACAAACTAATGCCCACATCTCAGTGGCTTAACCCAGTGAAGCTAATTTCTTGCTCGTGAATGGTCCAAAGTGGGCCAGGCACATCCTGTAGCTCCTCCCTACTCAAGTGTGTGGTCCAAGGACCGATGGCATCAGCATCAGCTGGTTGCATGTTGGAAATGCAGACTCCCAGACCCCACTATCAGGATCTGCATTTTAGTAAGACCCCCAGGTGATTTGCATGCACATTACAGTTTGTGAATCCCTGTTCTAGACCGGTGGCCTCCAAGGTCACCTTGGCAGGAAAAAAGAGGGATGGAGAAGCCACATCATCACTTCTACTCACATCTTATTAGTCAGAGCTAGCCACATGGCCCCAACTTAACTGCAAGGAAGGCGGGGAAATACCATCATTCCATGTGTATCAATGAAGGAGAACCAGAGTGAGGGACATCTAGGTAATATTCTTTGCCGCAGGTACCTTGGCATCTGGGACACACACTTTTGCTTCTCTGGGTCTCAGTTTCTCCATCTGTTAAAAAAAAATAAAAATAAAAGCGGCCTGCATGTTCTTCCAGGCCTGGGCCAGGCTGAACATTTTTAGCGTCTAAGAAATGCATCTGGCCGTGCGCGGTGGCTCACGCCTGTCATCCCAGCACTTTGGGAGGCCGAGGCAGGCAGATCACTTGAGGTCAGGAGTTCGTGACCAGCCTGGACAACATGGCAAAACCTTGTCTCTACTAAAAATACAAAAATTAGCTGGGCGTGGTGGCCCGTATCTGTAATCTCAGCTACTCAGGAGGCTGAGGCAGGAGAATTGCTTGAAACCGGGAGGCGGAGGATGCGGTGAGCCCAGATCGCGCCACTGTACTCCAGCCTGGGCCACAGAGTGAGACTCCATCTCAAAAAAAAAAAAAAAAAAAAAATGCATCTGAAAAGTGAAACTTACGAAACATCACCATCAAGGTACAGCATATGGAAGCCACAAGTAAATATCTGCGGTTGAAAGCCCTTTGCAGTTTGTCAGCTCCCGAGGTGTGTGCCCGCTTTCCCGCTTACGGCCTCTACCCCATGCCAAGTCCCAAGCCGACGCTGGGGAGGTGGAGCTCACAGGTGTGACATTAGGTAGTGGGGACAGAGAAATACAAAACAGATCCTGACCCCAGCAGGGCTGGAAGTGAGGAGGGGCAGTGCTGTAGTGGCTGGATGTACCAGGGTGTGAGGGGACACCTGTACCATGGGAAGGTCAACAGTCAGGTGAAAATCCCAACTCCGCTGCTAATTTGCTTTGTGGCTGTGTGTAAATTCCCTCACTTCTCTGGACCTCAGTGCCCCAGTTTCGTGTTTTGGAGACTGAGATCTGTGACAGAGCCTGATCAATGCCCATTCCAATATCCTTCTTCCCTCCTCCCTCAGTCACCAAACACTGATTTTTTTGTTTGGGGTGGCGACGCACTCAGCTTTGCAGGAGGCGGGGCCACGGGATAGGTTCCAGCACGGAGATACAAGCAGGAGTGTTGTGTGCCGATTCTGGAAAGGCTCCTTAAAAGGAAGGGCTTCCCTTTGGTGACTCCACCACCACTGATTGCTGCCTCCTGCTTCCAGTCAGTAATACGGACGTGATGGTGGAGTTCTGCAGCCATCTTGGACCATGAGGGTACCCTGAGGATGGACTTCGTGTGCAGAAGAGGGCGAAGGAGAAATAAAGGAACTCAGATCCCTGATGACACCCAGAGCTGCCAAATGCACCCTACATGTAGATTTCATTCATGTGATTAGAAACATAATAATGTGTGTGTGTGTGTGTGTGTGTGTGTGTGTGTGGTGTGTAGAGAGAGATATAATGTTTTATATATATACGCTATTTTTATACTTATGTATATATATACCTTTATTTATTTATTTATTTTGAGACAGAATCTCGCTCTGTTGCCTAGGCTCGAGTGCAGTGGCGCAATTACGGCTCACTGCAGCCTCCACCTCCTGGAATCAAGCAGTTCTCCCACCTTAGCCCCCTTAGTAGCTGGGACTACAGGTGTGTGCCACCATGCCCGGCTAAATGTTTTTTTAAAAAATTTTGGCAATATGTTGCCCAGGCTGGTCTTGAACTCCTGAGCTTAAGCAGTCCTCCCACCTCGGCCTCCCAAAGTGCTGGGATTACAGGCGTGAGCCACCATAGCCAGCTGTGCTTTTAAAATGTGTGCATGTGTGTATATATATATGTATATGCATTTTATATATAATATATTTATATGTATATATTATTTTAAAACCTTTCTATTTAAGTCAAAATTATGTTGTGTTTTTCTGGTTAGTTATTGCTGATGTAAAAGCGTCATTGATTTTTGTTGCTGACTGTGTATCTGGCAACCTTGCTGAACTCTCTTATTTGTTCTAATATTTTGTCAGTTTATTTGGTTGGTTTTTCAAGGTAGATGATCACACCATCTACAAACAATGACAGTTTTATCTCTTCCCTTCCAATAATTACACCTCTTATTTTCTTTCCTTGTAGCTCAGCCCAGCTCTCCAGCTCTATGTATTAAACAGTAGCAGTAATAACTAGCATTCTTGCCTTGTTCCTCACCTTAAAAGGCATGTATTATATAAAACTTTTCTCCACTAGCAATATTTTCTGTAGGTTTTTGGTATTAAAAATCCCTACTAAATTAAGGAACTTCTCTCATGCTCCTAGTTTGCTAAGAATTTTTAAAAATCATAAATACATAAAGACCTTATCAAAACCTTTTTCTGCATCAGCTGACATCGTTGGATTTTTCCTTTTGATTGAATGATGTAGTGAGTTACACTGGTGGATTTTCAGATGTGGATACTTTTCTGGGATAAACCCTTCCTGATGGTGATGTAGTATCATTATTTTAACTCTGCTAGACTCAGTCAGGAAAGATTTTGTTTAGTGTTTTCCTATCCATATTCATAAGTGAAATGGACCTATACTTTCCTTTGTGGTATTGTCTTATCTGGCTTTTATAATCAAGACAACACTTTTAAAATAAGATAGGTTGGTTTTTTTTTCTTTTGTTTTCTTTTTAAGCAACTTGCATATGATACGAATTAATTGTTTCTAAAAAGTTTCTGCAGGCTGGGCGCGGTGGCTCACACCTGTAATCCCAGCACTTTGGGAGGCCTAGATAGGTGGATCGTTTGAGTCCAGGAGTTTAAGACCAGCCTGGGCAACATAGCAAAACCCCATCTCTACTAAAAATACAAAAATTAGCTGGGTGTGGTGGTGCATGCCTGTAGTTCCAGCTACGTGAGGGGCTGAGGCAGGAGGATACCTGAGCCTTGGGAAGCAGAGGTTGCAGTGAGCCAGGATTGGGCCACTACACCCTAGCCTGGGCGACAGAATGAGACCTTGTCTCAAAAAAAAAAAAAAAAAAAAAAAGGTTCAGCAGTACTTACCCATGAGAACATCTAGGCTGATTTTTAGGGGAGTGGGAGGGCTTTGACACCATTACAGTTTCTGTAATACTGATTGACCTACTGAAATTCTCTATTTCTTCTTGGGCCCATCTTTTGACATTTTATACCTTTCTATTAATTTCTCCATTTTCCCAGAATTTTCAAATTTGTAAGCATCATAAATACAAAAGGAACTTATCAAAAAATTTTTCCACATCAATTGACATCATAGATTTTCCTTTGGATCTAATGATGTAGTGAATTACACTGGTGGATTTTCTGGAATGTTTTTCCGGGATAAACGCTTCCTGATGGTGATGTGGTGTCATTATTTTAACTCTGCTGAATTCAGTCAGCAAATATTTTGTTTAGTGTTTTTCTATCTATATATTCATAAGTGAAATGGGCCTATAATTTTCTTTTTTGTATTGTTCATAACAGCTCTTAAATTAACTTCAAATTCCTTGGTCAACGTTGTTCCCCCTTTTTACTCGGCATTTGATTTTACTCCCTTGCCTCATACTTCTTTCATCCTGATCAATGTCATCAGGATTCTCTACCTCATGTTGATTTCATCCTAGACATGGCTTCTGGTTCTGTTCGTCTTCTGCAGTCTTCCTTTGTTCTCCAATTCATTGATTTGTTCCCAGAAGCTTTTCTGTTAAACGCAGCTGAGCCTTTCTTTGGCTCTTAATGACTCTGAGTAGTTCCATGTCTTCGGCGAGGTTACATACTTCATGGAAGCCTCATAGAAGGCCCAGCAAATAGCCCTGGCTCGCCCGAGGCTGGGCTGCTGCCCCTAGACTTGAGGCTCCATCTCTCCAAGGCTGGCTAGCCCACGCTGCCCCTGCCTTTGCCATGGTGGGAGGGGTGAAGAGGAAAGTGCTGAGTACTGCCTGCTCAGCTGGCTTGCAAATGTCCAGCCCCCAGGCACCTCCCTATGACCTCCTCTCACCACATATTCCCTGGTTTGGGCAGGAATTCAGAGGTCTGCTCCTGGCCCTGAGCTCCCAGGTGCCATGCAATGGCTCGCCTGGGGCAGCTGTGGGGCTTGAACAGTTTAATGCTTGGCTCCAGTCTGAGCTGGCAAGGATGAGCGTGCAGGGACTAATACGGTCCTCACTAAGGCTAGGATGGAATGTGCAGCTCACAGCACACACATGTGACTGCCTCCTCTGCACACGGCAGCACACACCAGTCCCAGCCAGGCTTCCTGACAATGAAGTGGTCCTCATTTGCTGGGAGAGGGTGTTGTCATAGGGATCATGCCAGGCATGCAGCTAGTGAGGCATAGACCAGCCTGCTGGGGAGCTGGAGGAGGTCATATGGAGGATGGAAATAGCTTTTAAATTAACATGAAAGCTTATGCACAGGCCTAGCATGCCCGGGAATAGGCACTGAGCCTGGCACTTTAGGCGCTAGATACATACTTGCTGTATGAACGAATAAACGAATTGAAAGACCCAAGCTCTTATCCCAGCTCTATTGCTGTGTGTCCTTAAGCAAGTTTCTTGGCCTTGCTCAGCCTCAGTTTCTTCATCTGCAAAAATGGTAGAGGGGTGAATCCCATCATTTTTACAACTTCCTGGCTCTAGGGGTGTATGTTTCTATGCTTGAAAGCATTTATGGGGCGGCAGCTCTGACCTGAAGAGAGGCAGGGAGGGAGGGCCTCAGGAATGCAGAATCCCTGAATGTCAGAGACAGGGTGATTCCTATAGGCTCTGGTGTCAGATGAGTTACCAGAGTTCAGGAGACCCCACTGAGTTGGAACCTGTTGGTCAGAAGGGAGCAGGCACCAGGGCAGGGGTGGCTTTGTTCTGGACCAAATATCTCTTGGAGTAGGAAGACAACAGGTTAGGTTATTCCCTTCCCATCCAAGAGCACCTTCATCAGTCAGGATATCCAGGCTCCAGGGACTTAGCCCTCACTGTCTGAGTCCCTACAGATGCCATTATCTGCCTGATTTATTCATCCACCTGCCCATCGACCCACCTGTCCATCAATCCACCTGTCCATCAATCCATCTGTCCATCCATCCATCCTTCCATGTTTGTCGGTCCATTTGTCCATTCATCTACCATTTGGTCACTCATTCCATCCATCCATCAATCCATCCATCCATGTATCTATTCTTCCATCCAACCATTCATTCATTCATCCATCCATCCACTTATGCATTCATTCAGCAAACACCGAATGTAATAGGTCATTCCCTACTATTAAGAATAAAAACTAAGGTCTCTGTCCACAATGAGCTCACAGACTAGAGGGCAATATAGAGACAAGCAAAGAGATGATTCCAGCACAGTAAGTGGGAGATACTAGGTACTGAGGGTGAAGAGATGGAGGACCTAACCCAGCCTGGGAGGTGGAGGAGGTGGTTTTGAAAGGCTTCCTGGAGAAGGTGACACCTGAGATGAGTCTTGGAGCAAGATTAGGAGTTGTCCAGGTGAAGAGGAAAATAAAACAGAGCAGCAGGAGAGTACAAAGGCCTGGAGGTGGCCTGACAGCAGGAGCTATTTGGGGAGCTGCAAGTAGCTGAGCCTGGATGAAACCATGAGAGCCAGTTGGAGGTGGGGTGGGATGAAGCTGAGAGGCTCTGTGTAGTTGGGGAGGACATTTGCAACTGGAGGTAGGAATGGGGACTGAGGCCTTGGGCACATCCGAGAACTATTTGGAGAGGTAGAAAGCCTCTGGGTCAGGCATGGGAACTCCAGGTTCCTTCCTCCCTTCTACCCCTGAGGGATGTTAGGCAACTCACCTGGCTTCTCTGGGACTCAGTTTCCCAGCTGTGACGTGACAGGTTGCCCTTTTAGCCTCTTGGGACTCTTCCAGCTCTGAGGGAGCTCCTGAGTCACATGTGGTCAACAAAACCAATGCCCACGTGAACATCTGGTCTGGCCTTAGGAGGGAGTTAATTGTTCCCAGTCTCTATGTGTGTTAGGGGGAGGGTGGGGGGAGGCCTTGGTCAGGGGGACCTTGGTTAGGAGCCACCCCCGAGGGGCTCCCAGTCATGGGATGACAGGACATGCTGAGAAGGGAGTGAGTCACTGGCCAGTCATCAGCTTGGGCCCCAGGGTCTCGGGGGGGCAGGGGAGCCCCATTCCCTGCTCATCACAGAGCCTCCTTCTCAAGATGGCTGACCCTTTGTTAGAGCAGCAAAACCCCATGCTACACTCTAATATTTAAAACAGGCCCAAGGACAGTGGTTTGGGATGAAGCAAATGGTGAGAGCCCTCACCCAGAGCAGCCCCCAAGGCCCCACCGAGGAGCCCCTCCAAGTCTAAAAGTCCAAACACCCGAGTCCCTCAGCAGGAGTGACAGGCCCAGAGTCAGTAGGGACTGACTGGAGCTCACACAGCACGTTCATTCGCTTCTCTCCTCTCCTGGCTCTGACACTGCCCTTCCCCGCTCCTGAAGGATGGAAGATAAAGCCAGGCTCCTCCACCATCCCCTGCTCTCTGCAGAGCCTCCCTTCCCTCGAGGAGGTCACGTGTCCGGTGCCAGGTGGCTCCTCTCAGCTCAAGCCCATGGTGGCTCCTTGGCAGCACCATAGGAGACATAGCTGAACCATGCTCTGCCCCGGGCATGACCCCTGCAGAATTTGCCTCCATCTCTGGGTCTGTGTCTTCACCTTTTCAATGGGAAGAGTGAGAGGCTGGGATAACTAGCATGGCACAGGGCTTATTATGTGTCACGTGTATATGCAATCCTCACAGAAACCCCCTAAAGGAGGCATCATTATTATCCTCATTATACAGGTGGGGAGACTGAGGAACCAAGAAGTTGAGTGACTTGCCCAAGGTCACATAGCCAGTAGGAAGCAGAGCTGGGATTTGAACCCAGGTGGCTGGCCCTTGAGTCCCTGCTCTCACTCATTGTGCTATATTGCCTCTTAAAAGATGACCCAAAAGCACCTGCTAGTTCCTGCTGCCTGGCATCTGGACAGGAAGATAGAGGTGATTCAAGGGAAAGGGGGAGAAGCTCTGCTCATTTACTCACTATGTGACCTTGGGCCAGCCACTTCCTCTCTCTAAGCCTCAGTTTCCAAGGTTTGTTGTGAGAATTAAAGGGCTGGGGCAGTGACATTCAGGAGATGGTAGCAGTGATCGTGGTTAGTATTCCTTCAGTACTCACTCCTGCCCCACGGCCCCCTGCGGACACTCTCTTTGGGTGGGGAAGAGGTGGCAGCTGTAATGGAGACCTTTTCTTCCATCTCTGAGCTACCCGGGTGTGTCCCCAGGAGAAGTTTCCCCTCAGATCCCCGGAAAGGACCAGCAGGGGAAAGTCTAGCCACACCCTATCTCCTGGGCGCAGCCCCTGCTCCATGCTCAGATCCCGAGACCTGGTCCCCTTACGGGCCAGTTCACTATCAGGGACCGGCGTGGGCATATGGGCTGCCCAGGCGGCAGCTAGGGGCATCTAGACCAGCTTCCAGAAGCCCAGGGTGGAGGGCACGTGGGACAGGAAGACCCCAGTGCCCCACGCCACCAGCCCCATCAGCTCCCCTAGCCCCAGAGAAAACACTTCATTACTGGAAGCCCAGCCAGGCGGAGGGGGTGGAAGTAGCCTTGTTGAAAGAAACCGCACGAGGTCAGCCAAACCTCAGCCCCTCTTGGCCAGCAACCCACAGATCAACCACGTGGGGCTGGCTCTCCGGGTGTTTACGGAAACACTGGCCCTGAGGTCAGCCCAGCTGCTGGGCTGGGATCCCCTGGGACACCCCCAGGCCTCAAAGTGCCAGCTTGGCAGGAGTCTTCAGAGGCTGCAGCTGGGGCCTTATTTGCCTCCACAGTCCACCTGGGAAGTGGAGCGCAGAGAAGCCCGGTGGGCAGTGGAGATGGGCCAGGTCTTCAGGCTTCCCTGGACAGCTGCTTGAGCTGGGACCAGGGGCCAGACCCTTTCCAGACACCCCTGGGAAAGGGACATCATCTCGGGAGAGGGACATAGAAAGTGGACTGTGGAGGCAGATGGCCTGGGTTTGAATTCTGGCTGTGGCCCTCGCAGGCTCTGTAACTCTGAGCAGTTTACTTAGCTTTTCTGTGCCTCAGTTTCCCCATCTATGAAATGGGAATGGTGATAACAGTACATACTTCACAGAGGTGTTGACATAATTAAATGATTTTAGTAAGTGATCTAAATAAGTGATCACTGGCTGGGCGCAGTGGCTCAAGCCTGTAATCCTAGCACTTTGGGAGGCCAAGGCGGGCAGATCACTTGAGGTCAGGAGTTCGAGATCAGCCTGGTGAACATGGCGAAACCTCATCTCTTAATACAAAAATTAGCCGGGCGTGGTGGCACATGCCTGTAATCCCAGCTACTTGGGAGGCTGAGGCAGGAAAATCGCTTGAACCTGGGAGGAAGAGGCTGCAGTGAACCAAGATTGTGCCACTGTACTCCAGCCTGGAAAGCGAGACTCCATCTCAAAACAAACAAATAAATAAATAAATAAATAAATAAATAAACACAATTTTAAAATAAATAAATAAATAAGTGAGAATTTAATAGATGATCCAAGTGGTGTGCTTGGAACAGTCCTTGTCACAAACTAAGTGCTACCCTTAGTGCCGCCGCATCCTACCTAGTGGCCTCCCTCCTCTGAGATCCTCCTGCTCTGTTCAGGTTGGACCGCGTGCTCCTCTGAACTCCCAAGTGTTTGTTATGGAAATCTCTTCCACTTAAACGTTTGCTGAGCATTCCGACCATGAATAATGAGGAACTGAGGTTACAGAGACAAATCCAGTTTAGATCCTGCTCCAGGGAGCTTCAAAGCTAAGGCAAGGATGGGAGGTGAGGCCTGTGCGCTTGGGCAGGGTGACTATAATCCCTAATTATAGTCTCCATGGTAACGAACTGGGGTAACTAATTGGCTGTCCAATGTCTGTGTTTGTGGGAGCAGGGGCTACATGGTCCCTCCACTGCTCCGTCCTGGAGACCAGCTCAGAGACTGGCACCAAGTTGCTAATGACCGCCTGGCACTAGAAGGACTACATGAACACCCGATGCGCTTGGAGCCCTGGCCAAGCTGCCCACACTGAGCCCGTGGTTTCCTTCACCCTCAGCACCTTAATGGAGTAGGGCGTATCATTCTATGTTCAGAGAAGCAAACTGAGGCTCAGAGACGCCAGCCCAATGTCCCACAGCTGGCGGGAGATACAGCTGAGGCTGAACCCACATCCAAGTTCAAAGCCTGCATTTTTAGCTACTCAGCCATACATGATCTTCCTGCAATGTCAATGTAGTATCAAATTACACAGCAACCCTCAGCCTGGGAGTTCAGAGGAGCACCCAGCCTGACCCAGGAGGATCCAGAGGAGGGGAGGGAGGACTTTCCAGGCAGAGGGATCCACTTGCAGAAAGGCGGGGCTGGGCCGTGCGCTGCTCCCAGCGACCTGTGTGTGGAATAGCAACAACTGTGGTGTGCAGGTCTGGGGTGTGTGAATTTTGGGAGCAACAGGTGGTGGGGTTGAGGAACATCTGCAAACAGCCTTGAATACCGGGGCAGGGTTTTAGACTATCCTGTGGGGTAGGAGTCCCCAGAGAGTTCCAAGCAGGGCCTGCATGTGGCCAGGATGGAAGATGAATTACAAAGAAAGGAGTGAGAGGCTGGGAGAAAACCTATTTGCTCAAATAACAAGGCTCAGTATCATTACCATGGAGGAGCTGTCTCCCCTAAATCAAAACTTGCCTGCCTGGAGTTCCACTTCATTTTAAACAATGTGTGCATGTATTGGGGGGTCCCAGAGCCTGGGCATGGAGCAGCTAGGCTTCAAGTCCTTGGAGCCCCGAAATATGCCTTCCTTCCCACCCCAGCCCCAGCGCCTTCAATGCCTTCCTCTGGGGTTAACCCCATTGTGGCCACAGTGGCTGCCAGCAGGGAGGAGGCACAGAGGTGGTGGGAACAGGGCTGAGGGGCACACAGGATCCTCAGCAGCCAGCTTCACCCCCCAGCTTATCCAGGATTCAGACAAGTCCAAGTTCAGATCTTGGATCTGCCATAGACGTGAGATGCGACCCTGGCTGGGTGCCTTGAGGTCTTGACACCTGAGCTACCACACTGGTCACATAAAGACAATAATCAATGCAAGGGCAGCGTGAGGACTGTGGAGACCCTGGGCGGCAGGTGTGCAGCGCGGCGCCACCCCTGCTCTGGTACAGTGTGAGTGCTCAACGCTGTTGTTATTACTATAGCCTACAGCAGAAGCCGCCGTCTGGTCTGGGAAGGACTTGGAAACGCCCTGCTGTGGCCTAGAGATGCACAGAGAGCATCTGTCCCTCTGCCCAGGACCTGACTTAGCTCAGGGAGGCCAGTTTCCCCCAGTGAGCAATGGGGCCCCTGCTTGGAGCCATCTGCGTGTACCCTGCAGGGCAGAAGCTGGTGAAGAGTGGAAGAGGCAGTGTTCTGGGTTCCATCCCTTGGGTTTTAGGGATTAAGCCATCTTGATTCTACCCTCAGCTCCATCCTTTTCTAACAATGCATCCTTGGGCAAGTTACTCAATTTTTAAGTGCCTCCATTTCCTCATTTGAAAAATGGGTATAATCATAGTCCCTACCTCATAGGATCATTGTAAAGATGAGATGAAATCCAGCATGTAAATGCTTAGCCCAGGGCTTGGCACATGGTGAGCACTTGGTAAATATTAGCAATCATTGTTTCCAGGCTGTCGACACAGAGGAGGAGACATGGGACAAGGAACCAGTAAATAATGGGAATCAAACCATGCTACAAGGGGATAAATAATAAAAAGGGTATAATATGTACAAGTGGAGGGAGAGACGAAGGCCATGGCAAGAGGTCCAAGGCAGGGCCACTGCTGGGAAACAGGCCCAGCCAACCTCAGAAAGGCAGTCAATAAAAATAATAGGAACAGGCTGGGTGCGGTGGTTCACGCCTGTAATCCTAGCCCAGCACTTTGGGAGGCCTAGGCAGGTGGATTACTTGAAATTAGGAGTTCTAGATCAGCCTGGCCAACATGGCGAAACCCCGTCTCTACTAAAAATACAAAAATTGGCCAGGTGCGGTGGCTCACGCCTGTAATCCCAGCACTTTAGGAGGCCGAGGCGGGCGGATCACGGGGTCAGGAGATCGAGACCATCCTGGCTAACACGGTGAAACCCTGTCTCTACTAAAAATACAAAAAAATTAGCCAGGCGTGGTGGTGGGCACCTGTAGTCCCAGCTACTCAGGAGGCTGAGGCAGGAGAATGGCGTGAACCCGGGAGGCGGAGTTTGCAGTGAGCCGAGATCACACCACTGCAGTCCAGCCTGGGCGACAGAGCGAGACTCCGTCTCAAAAAAAAAAAAAAAATTAGCCAGGCATGATGGTGCACACCTGCAATCCAGCTACTCAGGAGGCTGAGGCAGGGGAATCACTTGAATCCGGAAGGCAGAAGTTGCAGTGAGCCAAGATCGTGCTACTGCACTCCAGCCTGGGTGACACAGCGAGACTCTCTCTCAAAAAAAAAAAAAAAAAAAAAAAAAAAAAGAACAATAACAGAATTTTCCCCACAAGTGAGCACTAAGGGCATGCTACATGCTGTGCTAACATGCTTTGTATACAATATCTCATTTCCTTCCCACGACAACCCTGGGAGGCAGGGCTGGGGCCAGGTTGAGGCAGCAAGGTGACCAGGGTGCAAATCTACCGAGGCCCTCACCCCGGGGCCTGAGCAAGTGCAGGGTTGGCGCCTCAGAACAAGCACCTCCCTAAATGTTATGCCTTGAGCACCTGGCTGGCTTCACCCTAGTCCCAGCCCTGCTGAGAGGTTGGTATAATATTTAGTCCCATTAGATTGATGTGAAAACCAAAGTCCCCCCACATGAGGCACCTGTCCAGTGAATGTCACATAGCTGGGGAGGAAGAGGCAGACCCCAGGATTTTGAAGCCTAGAGTTATTTTTACTCTGAGGAGCTGCCTCCCAGCCTGGACATGGAAGGTTCCAGTCCACCTCCCAGTGGTCCAATAACTGGAAGAGCTGCTTAGAACCACCCTCTTCTGGCTGGCCTGGGTGGCTGGGAGAGCTGGCCTCCTGGGTGGAGGTCTGGAGATTCCTCTCCACATTCCTAGGGGTTAAATCTGGGGACCCGGGTTCCCAGCATCAGCCATCACGTTCCCCAGAAGGAATCTCTATTCATAACAAACCCTAAAGGTCACTCGTCTGGGAAGGAGTCTTCTGTCTCCACCCCAGGGCAGGACAGAAGGCCCCAGGCTTTGTGAGAGCATCAGGTCCCCAGAGGAAGATCACCTGCTTTTGGCCAGCCTGTGAGCCCCTCTTCTTCCTCTGGGTCTCCTCTGTAGATGGTATCTAAAGAGGATGAATAAACATCCCAGTTGGAGATGAATGGCCATTGCCCGCAGAGAGCAATTGTGCGCTAAATGCATGGGCTCTGAACTCAGCCTGCCTGAGCTCAAATCCCCCTTTCATCACCTGCCAACCATGTGGCCTTGGGGAAGTTACTTTTCCTCTCTGTGCCTTAGTTTCCTCTTCTGTAAAATGGGGGATAATAACACCTACCGCACAGGGTTGTCATGAGGATTTAACGCCTTCTACTCACTCAGCAACTATTTGCTGAAGGCCTACCAACTTCCAGGCAGTGAGTAATATGGCAGTGAATACAACAGACAAAACTCCTTACCTTCATTTTTTTTTTTTTTTTTTGAGATGGAGTCTCGCTCTGTCGCCCAGGCTGGAATGCAGTGGCACCATCTCGGCTCACCGCAGGCTCTACCTCCCGGGTTCATGCCATTCTCCTGCCTCAGCCTCCCAAGTAGCTGGGACTACAGGCACCCGCCACCACGCCCGGCTAATTTTTTGTATTTTTAGTAGAGACAGGGTTTCACCATGTTAGCCAGAATGGTCTTGATCTCCTGATCTCGTGATCCGCCCACCTCCGCCTCCCAAAGTGCTGGGATTATAGGCGTGAGACACCGCGCCCGGCCATCTTCAATTTTTTAAAAGGAAATATAGTGAAGAATATTATATACTTCAGAAAATGCCAGCACCAAAAAACATGATGCAAATACAGTAAAATGTTAACAGTTGGAAATCTAGATGATGGGTAAGCGGTAAATGGGTCTTCATGATAGGTTTTCTGTATGTTTGAAGTTTTTTATAAATAAAAGGGAAAAGAAAAAAGAGGGAGAGAGAGAGAGAGGAATATCTGCCATTTTGAAACTTACAGTCAAGTGGGGAAATAGACAATAAACACATCAGTATAGCTGGACGTGGTGGCACGTGCCTGTAGTCCCAGCTATTCGGGAGGCTGAGGCAGGAGAATCGCTTTAACCTGGGAGGTGGAGGTTGCAGTGAGCTGAGATCGTGCCACTGCACTCCAGCCTGGGTGCAGCCTGGGTGACAGAGTGAGACTCCATCTCAAGAAAAAAAAAAAAAAAAAATGAAAACTTGTGGTGTGTCAATTGATGTTAAGAAGAGGAATAGAGAATGGCCAGGGTGGTAGAGGAAGTTCCTTTTAAGTCAGGCAGTCAGGGAAGGCCTCCCTGGGAAAGTGACAGGGAAAGTGACATCAGACAGGAGAGCCTAGTTCTCCCAGCTTCCAGGCCTAGGTGCTCCCAGTGTCCATGTACAACCTTCTGCCCAGGAAAAGAGTCATTGTCAAAGCCCAGGACCCAAGCCTCTTGAGACTGTGGGATCTTGAATTATGTGCAGCAGATATTCTCAGTCTGAAATTCAGATGGGCTGGAAATGTAATCTATTTTAAATTCATTCTCATTTCAATGCTCCATTCCATATGTGGGCAGAAAATTCATCTTATTCAATTGGGATTTTTTTCCCCAACCCCATCACTTTCCCAGCTCCATTCATTTTTTTTCCCCAATTGTATCTAGGCGTGAGGTTGTCTCTGGCCCTCTTGGCCATTTTATCTCTTGAGATCCTCCCTGCTCTCTGCTTCTGAATTCTTCAAAGCTCTCTGGGGCCCACTGACCAACAAAATCCAAAATATGCTCACTCATAGCTTTTTCTCTGACCTCCTTCCCAGCCTTCTTAGATGGGAGGAAGGAGGGAGGGGAGGGGAGAGCTGTGCATCAGTCAGGGTAGGGTGAGTTCTGCTACAGTAACAGCAACGCTCAAGTCCTGTTTCTCAGTGGCTCCTGATGCACGTCCCCTGCTGGGCAGCTGCTGCGCTGCTCTGTGTCTCCTTGCTCCTGGATCCCAGCTGATAGAACAACCACCATTTCAACTGTTGCACAGCAGAGGGCAAGAGAAAGCATCAAGCCACAGACTGGCTCCTAAAGTCTCCCCCAGGAAGTGGCACACTTCACTTCTGCACACATTTCATTGGCCAAAGCTTGTTACTTGGCTGTACCTAACTTCAAGCAGAGGAGGGAGTTCAAGTGGAAATCCTACTATGGGCCTGTGCTGTGGTCTGAATGTGTTCCCCAAAGTTCAGATGTTGAGACCTAATCCCCACAGTGATAGCCTTAAGAGGTGGGGCCTTTGGAAGTTGATTAGGTCAGGAGGGCTCCACCCATGAATGGGATTAGTGTTCTTGTAAAAGAGGCTTGAGGGAGCCCATCTGTCCCTTCTGCCATGTGAGGACACACAGAAGTCACCATCTATAAGAAACAGGCTCCCACCAGACACTGAGTCTGCTGGAGCCTTGATCTTGAATTTCCCAACCTCCAGAACTGTGAGCAATGAATTTCTGTTGTTTATAAATTACCCAGTCTAAGATGTTTTGCTGTAGCAGCCTGAACAGACTAAGGCACCCTAAAAGGAAAAGAAACAGAGTATTTGTGGACAGTCCCTAAAGACAGTCACAGAAAGTGAGAGCCTCTTTCAGATTCATTAGGTGTTCAAGATGCCCAAGTCTCTTAGGAATGTTCTTTCCTGGGAGGAAGGGGTGTTTTTGAAACCCAGAAATGTATTCTCTGCTTTTACTAACACATCTGTTTCCTGAGTCAGTAGATGTTCTGCAGTCTAACTGCCTAAATAGGGAACAAAAAATCCAAGGAGAAAACTCGTGCAGCCTTAGATTCCTGGATTTTGAGTATCATGTAATCTTAGACTGGAATCTGAGAAAATGGGACCTGAGAATCTTGCAACCACAGATTTCAAACCTGAAAGGTCTTTGAATCTAATTTCACTTTCTATGCAGTAACTGTCTTAATAATCTTCCTTGCAGGTGGCCACCAGACTTTCTCTGCTTGTATCCTCCCAGGACCACAGAACTCATCGCATCCCAAGGCAGCCTATTCCATCATGGATGAGCTCAAAGTGTTTGAAAGTTCTGCTTTATCAAGTGAGCCAAACTTCCTCCCTCAGGACCATCCACTCCAGGGCCCAGTTATTCTACTGGAGGAGTGAGGGTAAAGCCATCACCAGGACAACCTTGGTGACAGGCTGGACTGGCAGCCAGCTTTTGGGGATGACTTCAGGGAACCCTGAATAGCCATGGGAGCCAAATGTATTACTCCTCTGATGCCTACAATTCCACTATAATAGTCTGGTGGGCTTCTGTTAGGGAGGCTTATACATGGTGGAAAGAATAAAGGCTTGGACTCAGCCTAGGTTCAAGTACTGCATCTTGACCTGGCCTGTAGGCAAGTCTTTTCACTTCTCTGAGTTTTGGCTTTCTCATTTGTCCAATAGGAATAACAATAATGATAATAATAATACCTCCCATGCAGGATTGCTAGTATGTTCAATGGGATAATATATCTAAACACCTCACACAATGCCTGGCACATAGCAGGTGTTCAATTAGGTCTGTATTAAAATCCAGGCTCTGTCTCTTATTATTTATATGTCCTTGGACTTCATTTCCTTGAACCCTAGACTCCCCATCTCTAAGGTGGGGTTGATATTACTCACATCCCACCAGGCTCTGGTCAGAATCTTTTAAGTGTTTATTTACAGATAATGTGCCAAGTTCTTTATCTGAATTGGACATTTAATCCTTTACTCTGTGGGTAGAATATTTATAATCACCCCAATGTTTTCAATGGGGAAACTAGGGCTCAGTGAGGTTGATTGACTTTGCCCAAGGTCACATGGCTGGTGAGGTGGCAGACTCAAGATTTGAGTCCAGGCATTTTGCTCCCGTGTATACACTGTGTGTATAAAGGACCTGGCACAAAGCAGCCAGGTCATTTTGTGCTTGAACTGCTGCTCTGTCCCCAACTTCCCCAAAAAAGCACAACATCCAGAGTAGGCCAAAGCTATGTTACTTGGCTCTACCTAACTTCAAGCAGAGGAGGGGTTTCAAGGGAACCAAGTATTTGTAGTGCAAAGCCACTGAGGTTTTGGAGTTATTCGTTGTAACAGCTGGCATGGCTTAACCTTGTCCTCTTAGCTGTTTTCAGCATTTGCACCTGAGTGTCAATCAGCTAGGATGTTTTAGGCTGCAAGTAATAGAATACCCTATTACTCCTGAATTCAATAATAGGTGCCTTCGCAGTCAAGAAATCTGGAGGTTACGTGGCTCCAGTTTTGGTTCATTCAGAGGTTCAGTGATGTCATCTAGGACCCGCATTTTGGCTTCAGCACCCTCAGTATATTGGCTGTAGCCCTGAGGCTTGGCCCGTCATGCTCTCAACATGGCTGCCAAAGTTCCAGACATCGCATCCTCATGCAACCACTTAAAGGGAAAGAATAGGGGACCTTCCCCACACCCCTTTTTATATAATAATTGAGGCCAGCCCTTCTCAAACCTCCTGTCCCAGCATACTTTCTTTATGTTTTATTGGCCAGAACTGGGTCATGTTCTTGTGGAAGACTACCAAGGCTCACCAATAGCCATCTTCTTCTTCCTGGGCACACATGTGGGATACATTTCCCAGCCTTCTTTGCAGTTAGATGTGGTCATGTGACTGAGCTCTGGCCAATGGGATGTAAGCAAAAATAATTGTACTGATTTCAGGTCTGGCTTATAAAAATCTTCTACCCACAATCTTTCTGCCATCTGCCTGCTGAATGGAGAGGACTCTGAGAATGAGGAAAGCCACAAATAGGAAAAGTCTCAATCCCTATATGACCTGCAGAAAACAGAGCCCTCCTGTCAAGACTTATTGCAGTTTGATGTGAGAAAGAACCAAGCATTTATAATGCAAAGCCACTGAGGTTTTGGAGTTATTTGTTACAGCAGTCAACATGGCTAAACCCAAGGCATAGAAGGACGGAGCTCAGGGAGACAGCTGCCTTCCTCACATGCTGGGGCTAAGAGGGGTGCGAGCAGGGAGGAGAAGGGCTTCTGTAGATGTCCAAATCTGACCCAGGCCAGCTTCCACCACTGTCTAGCTGTGTGACTCTGGGCAAGTGCATGACCCTTTCTGAGCCTCCTTAAATAGTTACGTGAGGCAGTGGGACTGGAGGCTCTCACCCTAAGTGCCCATATGATTATGACATTCACTGACTCCTTCCTCACAGCAGCCAGTGGCCAAAGAGAAAGGGTGTGGCTCCCCTAGGGGCTCCGGGTCAGGGTCACTGCTCTGTCTGGAATCTGGGCTCTGCTGCCCAGAACGGCCCTCCTGATGTCTGGAATTCCACCATGAGTGACTCATGCCTTTGGGAAGCCACTGCCCTGACCCCACTGAGTAATAACAATAACAGCCCCTCGTGGCTTTTTCTTTGCTGAGAGTTTCATAGTCCATGGTCTAATCTGGTCCCCAGCACACGGCTGTGAGTAGGCAGTGAAGGTGGAGAGAGTTAGAATTGCCATACACGATGCAGGAAGCAATGTGCCCACAGCTACACAGCAAGTTAGTGGCCAAGCCTAGAGTCCTGGACAGTGGCTTTTTCCCCAAAAACCCTTTGCTTGAAAAGGCTGCCTCTGATATTCGTGTGTCCATGTTCATAGCAGATTATTCACAATAGCCAAAAGGTGAAAGGCACTCAAGTGTCCATTGATAGATTAGTGGATAAGCAAAATATAGTGTATCCACACAATGGAAGATTTTCAGCCTTAAAAAAGGAAGGCAATTCTGATACATGCTACAACAGGGATGAAGCTTGAGGACATTATGCTAAGTGAAATAAATCAGTCACAGAAAGATGCATACTGTGTGATTCCATTTATAGGAGGTATCTGTCAAAAGTAGTCCAATTCATAGAGACAGAAAGTGGAATTGCCAGGGGCTGGGGAGGGGGAAATGAGAAGTTTCCTTAATGGGTTTAGAATTTCAGTTTTGCAAGATGACGAGTTCTGTGGAAGGATGGTGATAGAAACTCAATAATGTGAATGTACTTAAAGCCATGCATTGTACATTTAAAATTGCTTAGATGGTAAATTTTATGTTCGGTGTGTTTTGCCAAAATGTAAAAGTTAAAAAAAAAAAAAAAAGCTCTCCTAAGAGGTAGATGCTAAGTTCTAATATTTTTCAGGACATATAAATTAGTTTACCATGATTTGTATCAGTCAGGATAGGCTAGGTCATGCTGCTGTAACAAACAGCTCCAAATTCTGACTCTAGATTAGACTGCCCTTACACTAACTCTGTTCCTCCTGGAACATTCTTCTTTACCATCCTAAACCTCTCCCTACTCTGCCTGTATCCCAAACCTGGAATAAGGCAATAGAATCAGACATACTCAAACTTGTCTGGCTGTGTGACTGTGGGCAAACCAGTTAACCTCTCTGGGCCTCAGTTTACTGATCTGAAAAATGGGGACAATAAATGAACCTTGAGAAGAGAATTCAAGGAGTATGGAAACATTTAGCATGATCTAGGGCATAGTGTCAGGCTGTGGGTATATTTAAACCTCATGCAGAGCTTGGCACCCAGGCAGGAATGGGGTAGGCTTCAGTCTCCTGCCAGTCAGGCCCTCAGCCTGAACAATCTCGAGAACACCTTCTTCCAGCCAGCCTTGCGTCAGGGCCGGGGAATGGGTGGGACAGGAGCCAGAGGCTGCAGAGACAGCCGTCTAGCGCCTGGGATACTTTTCTCCCCAATAATCTGTTTTCAATCTTTCATTATTATATTTTTTTCTTTTTTGAAAGCCATCCTGCCAAGCAACAGGCATGCAAGTGTAGTCAACTCCCAGCCCAGCCTACATCAAAGTCTTTGCGAATTTCTGCTTTGAATCATGGGGTAGGGGACCCTGCCTTATATCACATGTGTCCAGCCTCCACACTTTTGCAAGTGTGCTGTTTCCACACCCTGCCATGCCCCATGCCCTCTGTCTTTCCAGATTCTGTTCACCATCTGTCAAGGCTTGGCCACAGGGCTCTCCCCTGCCAACAGCTCTCTGATGTCTCTCCCTCCCTTGTTAACACAACCCCTACAGTCTCACCAGAGCTGGGGACATGTATTGAATTCTCATCTTCTTTATTTAACACCTTTGAGGGCAGGGACAGCATCATCCACTTTGTCTGATGACTTTCATGAATCGATAAAGTGTTTTTTGTCACCACCATACCAATGGCAGGAGAGATGATGAGGATGTTTATCCCCATTTTACAGATGAGAACATGGAGGTCATGAGACCGGAAGTGATAGTCACCCGGTTGGGGAATCAGGCCCTCTATCCCGACGCCCTCGCTCTCTCTAATCTACCCTGCTGGGCTGAGCACACAGTAGGTGTGTGCCTAAATGTGCATGAGTAGGGGGCTGGGCAAAGGCTGGGGACTGGCAAGCTCTTCCCTGAACTCATTTCCTCTTCTGCCTGGACAAGCAGTGAGTCTACATTTCCAACCTTCCTTGCGAGGAAAACAAAGTCTTCCAGTGGACTGATTATGAAAGCGGGCCAGATTCTGCACCACTATCTGTTTCCACACCCCTTTGCAATGTGACTTTGCCTTCGTTCTCTCCAATGTGGGTTGGCTTTGGGACTCTCTTTGGTCCATTGAATGTGGTGGAAGTGACCTTGTGCTAGTTCTGAGCCTGAGCCTCAAAAAGAATGCAGTCCTTGCAGTCTCTCTCTCTCTCTCTCTCCCACCCTCTGCTCCCCACCTTCCCCCACCCCCCTGAACCTGACCCACCCCCGCCAGCCTCCTCCACCATGAGACAAGCCAAGGCTAGCCCACTGGAGAATGGGACCAACTCTTTTTTTTGAGACGAAGTCTCACTCACTTTGTCATCCAGGCTGGAGTACAGTGGGGCAACCTCTGCTCGTTGCAACCTCTGCCTCCCAGGTTCAAGCGATTCTTCTGCCCCAGCCTCCCAAGTAGCTGGGACTACAGGCACACACCACCATGCCTGGATAATTTTTGTATTTTTAGTAGAGGCAGGTTTTGCCATGTTGGCCAGGCTGGTCTCGAACTCCTGACCTCAAGTGATCCACCTGTCTCGGACTCCCAAAGTGTGCCTGGCCCCAATTCTTACATAAGACAGTTCTACCATCACTTTAAGTCACAAACATGGTCTCAACTCAAATTTAAAATGTCCAGTCAAGCTATTAATCCAAACTCCCAATTGGATCTAGGTTTAAACCTTCTCCCCTTGCCCAGCTGGGGCCTGTCCTGGGGAGGCAGTTTGGGGGGCTCCTTCTCTGGACCTCCTCCCCTCCCCCACAAGTGGGGGCTGTGGAGATAGTAAGGGGAGGGGAAGGGTCTCACTTGAGCTGCCGCCATCCTGCTGGCTTCCAGCTGACAGTGTCACAGATGTCCCACAGATGGCCATTGCTGCAGGGCTCCCTCACTCTTGACCCTGGGGGGGATGCACTTCTCCTTCTGGAGGTCCCTTGCAAGTCCTTCCTCGGCCCTCAGGAATCCAACATCCAACTCCAGCTTCTTGCTGCTAAGACCACTCCACCCTCCAGGAGGCCCTAGGGAACAAGACCCAAGCAGACCCCTGCAAGCTACCCCCACCCCAGCCCACAACGAATCCCCAAACCCTTCCATGTCCCCTGCCTGGCATCTGGAGGGGCAGTATTGGCCCCCTCTGGGTGAGGTCTCATAGCTGGAGCTGCCGCTCCTCCTGCAACACCTCCTCCCCAAACCCCAAGCCCTTTATTTTCCCACAGTCAGTGAGGGGGTGAAGGCTGGGGAGAGAGATCCTCGGCCACCTTCTTTGTAAATCCGTCGGACCTGATGATCCAGTCTAGAATTTCACATCTTTCCTATCCTGGGGTCTTCTGTTGAATATTTTGATATATTTCAACATAAGGAAACAGGACTTATATACTGTTCTTGCTCTGGATTTTATTATCTTTGTATCTTACATATTTTCTCACCTTTCCTTATAGATACCTCACTTGAAAAATTTTAATTGCAGCAAAATATACATAACATAAAATTTAGCTAATTAGGAAGGGCACAGTGGCTCACGCCTGTAATCCCAGCACTTTGGGAGGCCGAGGCAGGTGGATCACGAGGTCAGGAGGTCGAGACCATCCTGGCTAACACGGTGAAACTCCGTCTCTACTAAAAATACAAAAAATTAGCTGGGCGTTGTGGCAGGTGCCTGTAGTCCCAGGTATTAGGGAGGCCGAGGCAGGAGAATGGCATGAACCCAGGAGGTGGAGCTTGCAGTGAGTCGAGATCACGTCACTACACTCCAGCCTGGGTGACACAGCGAGACTTCATCTCAAAAAAAAAAAAACCAAAAATTAGCTAATTAATCATTTGAAGTGTACAGTTTTGTGGCATTAAATATAGTCACATTGTTCTGCAACCATCACCACCAAACCTCTCCAAAATGTTACCTTGCAAAACTGAAACTCTGTACCCATTAAACACTAACATCCTATTCCCCCTCCTCCCAGCTCCTGGAATTGCCATTCTACTTTCTGTCCCTATGAATTGGGCTACTTTTTTTTTTTTTTTTTTTGAGACGGATCTCACTCTGTCGCCTAGGCTGGAGTGCAGTGGCGCGATCTCGGCTCACTGCAACCTCCGCCTCCCGGGTTCAAGCGATTCTCCTGCCTCAGCCTCCCCAGTAGCTGGGATTATAAGCACATACCACCACGCCTGGCTAACTTTTGTATTTTTAGTTAAGATGGGGTTTCACCATGTTGGCCAGGCTGGTCTCAAACTCCTGACCTCAGGTGGTCTGCCCACCTTGGCCTCTCAAAGTGCTGGGATTATAGGCGTAAGCCACCGCATCCAGCCTACTTTAGACAGATACTTTGTCTAAGTGGAATAATACAGTATTTGTGCCTTCTTGTCTGGCTCATCTCATTTAGCATAGTGTCCTCAAGGGTCATCCACGCTGTAGCATCTATCAGAATTTCCTTCCTCCTTAAGGCTGAATAATATTCCATTTACATATAGACCACACTTTGTTTATTCATTCGTCCATTGTTGGATACTTGGATTGCTTCCACCTTTGACTATTGTGAATAGTGCTGCTATGATCACGGGTGTACACATATCTGTTCAAGACCCTGCTTTTCAGTTATTTTGGGCACACACCCACAAGCAGAATGACTGGATCATAAGGTAATTTTATTTTACATTTTTCGAGGAACTGCTGTACAGTTTTCCGTGGCTGTTATACCATTTTACATTCCTACCAACAGGGCACAATGGTTCCAATTTCTTCACATCCTCACCAACACTTATTTTCATTTTTTAAAAATAGTAGTCATCCTAGTAGGTGTGAGATGGCATGTTTCCAATCTTTTGCTGATAAAAACGGCAGTGGATAATCTTGTACACACCTCATTTCACACATATGAAAATATATCTGTCGTTTAATTCCTAAGAGTGGAATTGCTGGATCAAAGCATCTTTTGGAATTTCTTATGGAAGTCTAACTTATACACAAAGTTGCACACAAATCCCAAGTGCTTAGCTTGATGAATTTTCACGGAGTGACCACGCTCCTGAAGATGGTGTCCAGAACATTGTCAGCCCCAGAGAAGCCCCCAGATGGCCCCCAAAGAGCAGCCATCATCCTGACTTTAACATCATAAATTAGTTTTGCCTCTTGTGAACTTTTTGTGAGTGGAATCACACAATATGTATTATTTTGCGTGTGGCTTCTTTTGCTCGACACATATGTGTGCAAGTTCCATCTACACTGCTGTGTGTAGTTGTTCATTCATTTTCATTCTCACTGGAGTATTGCATTGTATGAAGATACCACAATTTATCCGTTCTGCTGTCGATGAGCATTTGGGTAGTTCCTGGTTTAGGGATATTTCAAATTATGTGGCTATGGAGATCACTGGCATAGTCCTGTCCAATAAAATATGATAGACACAGAAGAACTGAAAATATGAGTCAAACAGATATTTGTACCAAAATGTTCACAGCAGCACTATTCACCATAGCCAAAAGTGGAAACAACCGAAATGCCCATCAGTGAATGAATGGATAAACAAAATGTGGTATATCCTTACAATGGAACATTATTCAGTCTTAAAAAAGGAAGGAAGGTCTGACATATGCTACAACATGCGTGAACCTTGAAGACACTATACTGAGTGAAATAAGCCAGCAACCAAGGACAAATTGTATATGATTTCTCCCGTATGAGGCAACCTAGAATAGTCCAGTTCACAGAGACAGAAAGTAGAATAGTGGCTGCCAGGGGCTGGGAGGAGAGGAGCAAGCGGAGTTGTTGTTTTATAGAGGCAGAGTGTCAGTTTGGGAAGATGAAAACGCTCTGGGGGTAGATGATGGTGATGGTTGCGCAACAATGGGAATGTACTTAACACAGCTGAACTTCTGGACCCTTAAAAATGGTCCAAATGGTAAATGTTATGCATATCTTACCACAATAAAAAGGTAAAAATATATAATATGATCCACAATGCAAGCCATGTATATTTCTAGCAGCCACATTCAAAAAAGAAAAAGAAATAGGTAAAAGTAATTTTAAAAATTACTTAACCCAGGCCAGGTACAGTGGCTCATGCTTGTAATCCCAGCATTTTGGGAGGCTGAGGTGGGCAGATCACTTGAGGTCAGGAGTTTGAGACCAGCCTGGCCAACATGGTGAAACCCCATCTCTACTAAACATACAAAACAAAATTAACTACGGGTGGTAGCAGGTGCCTGTAGTCCCAGCTGCTCAGGAGGCTGAGGCAGGAGAGTCACTTGAATCCGGGAGGCAGAGGTTGCAGTGAGCCAAGATCATGCCACTGCACTCCAGCCTGGGCGACATAGTGAGACTCCGTCTCAAAAAAATAAAAAACAAAAATAAAAATTACTTAATCCAATCTATCCAAAATATTATTGCGACACATCATCAATATTAGCAAGTTATTAAGGAGTCATTTTGCATTTTTGTTAGTATACAAAATCCCATATATATTTCACACTTGCAGCACATCTCAATTTGACCAGCCATATTTCTTTCTTTTTTCTGAGACTGTCTCGCTCTGCTGCTCAGGCCGGAGTGCAGTAGCACGATCTTGGCTCACTGCAGCCTCCGCCCCTGGGTTCAAGCAATTGTTGTGCCTCAGCCTCCCAAGTAGCTGGAACTACAGGTACGTGCCACCACGCCTGGCTGATTTTTGTATTTTTAGTAGAGACAGGGTTTTGCCATGTCAGCCAGGCTTGGATCAGCCATATTTCAAGGACTCAGCAGCCACATGTGGTGGGTGGCTCCACATCAGATCATGCAGGTCTAGTTCAAGTCTTTTGATGAATGTATCATGCATACCTGTTAGATATGTGCATTTTTAATTTTGATAGATGTTACCAGATTAGCTTCTATAGGTGTTAAACCAAGTTTTCTTTTCTGGTTTTTTTTTTTTTTTTTTTTTGGTTTGTTTGGAGATGGAGTCTCACTCTGTTGCCCAGGATGGAGTGCAATGGCGAGATCTCAGCTCACTGCAAGCTCCGCCTCCTGGGTTCAAGTGATTCTCCTGCCTCAGCCTCCCGAGTAGCTGGGACTACTGGCGTGTGCCACCACACCCAGCTAATGTTTGTATTTTTAGTAGAGACAGGGTTTCGCCATATTGGCCAGGCTGGTCTTGAACTCCCGACCTCAGGTGATCCGCCCTCCTCGGCCTCCCAAAGTGCTGGGATTACAGGTGTGAGCTATCGCACCTGGCCAAAACCAAGTTTTAATCCCACCAACAATGTAAGAAGGAGTGTGTCTCCATATCCCCACCTGCATAAGTTTGCCAGTTTGATAGCAAAACAGTGCCTGCTCAGGTGGTGTGGGTTTAACACGTTTCTCTTCCTAGGAGTGAAAATGAGAATCTTTTTATATGTTAAAATGCCGCTGCGCTTTCCTTTCTGTGAACCATTGGCTCACCAATTTGAGGGCTATTTTATACTTCTCTCACCCCTCTCCCCGTTCTCCAGGCCCCACCAGAGTTGGGACTAAATGAGGGCTCAAAGCCAGATATTTCAGAATCGTGCTGTTGTCTTGCTGGCAAATTCTGTCTGAGTTCTGGGAAGCAGGGCTTATCCTTGAGGGCACACCGCCCCCTGCTGGCCAAGATGGGTTTTTCCTCCCCAGCTTAGACCAGGAGAGGAGGCAGGACGGCTGGCGACTGAGGGGGGCTGCCTCTGGAGTCTGGGTTTGATCTCACGTATACCATTGACTCCTATGTGACCTCAGGTAAGCAACTTCACCTCTCTGGGCTTTCTACTTCCTCACCTATAAAATCGAAATAATAGCCATTCTTCTCACTCTCGGCGTTGTTGGAGGAATAATCCGGTGATCGGGCTTGAAGGTGCTTCACAGAGTGTGGCAAAAAACAAGTGCTAACTAAACAGTGGCTGGGATTCTTGACATTCAGAAAGACCCAGTGGAGAGAGAGAAAGGATGACGGGAGCTTAGCAAAAGAAGCAGCTGGTGCAGCTGGAATTTCATAGGTCCACTTCTGCCTAGCCAACTTCTAAACCTGTTTTCTCTTGGCTCCCTTACTTTCCAGCCAGAGGCTCAGTCATACTGCAATGCTGAGAACTCCCTGCCTAAGCCAGACAGGGCCTTGACCTTTCCCCCACGTTGGGCTGGGCACACTAGAGTGCTGAGCAAATCCACACTCAGCACCTCCCCTCCCCCCCCCACACACACACATACACAAAGCCACACATGCAAAGCATTTGGATATCTTCTTCCAGGGAGCTTATAGACACCCCAGCAGAGGCTTCTGTGATCACACTGGCTGAGCACCAGCTCTCTGTGTGGTGCTGGATGAGGGGAGTTTTATCTGAGCCACTCTGGCCCCCCGCTGTAGGGCCCTGTCCTCTTATTTGACATTCAACTCTTGCCTAATTGACAATTACACTCATATCCTTCCTCTGCTCTGCAACCTTCCATGGCTCCCCAGTGCCTACCACCTAAGGCCAGATTCCTCACCCTGGCATTCAAGGCCACTCATGGCCTTGGATGGTCTGTGTGTGGAGGGGCCCACTAGGCTACATGAGGAACGCTCTCTCAAATCCTGCCCTTCCTTCAAGATTGAACTAAATGCCACTTCCTTCCTTCCTTCATTTCTCTACCCATTCATTCAACATGATTTATTAAACACAAAATGGATTTATTAGCACATATTTATTACCTACTATGTGAAGACATTATTCTAGGCAGTGGAGAGAGATAGTGGTCTCAGCCAATTGCAACTGAAATGTGTTAGTTTTGCAAATGTGAAACATATGCCCATGCGAATGCGTTGGAAAGTTCCTCCATGGCCCTGGGAGAGGACATGCAAGTCAGGAGCCCTGATGCGTCACCAGCCTCACAGTAAATTCACCTCTGTGCCCAAGAATGCAGGGCTGTCTCCTGGTCCAGGATCATGGTCTCTTCCTCCTCTGATCTCCAAGGACTTGCACTCTCGGCTCTGCCACTGACCAGCTTTGTGACTTTGGGAAGTCATTTTTCTAAGTCTCAGATTATGTATGTAAATGGGTATATAGGAAGTGATTCCTACCTTGAGAGAGGAATTAAATGTTAATTAAATTGCTTAAAGGGGTTAGGTTACATTAGATTAGGTGTAAAAACGTCTGCACGTGGTAAGTGCTCATTGAGCGGCAGCCATTATTATTACTATTAGCCGCAGCTGACTTGGGCAACACCTGCTACCTGCTTCCAGATGGATCCAGAGGTTTGCTTTCTTTGCCCACTGGAGGGCAGCAGAAAGCAGAAACCTGCCTTCCAGAGCTTTGCACCCCGGCTAACACCTAACACTGGCCTCTCAAGAGGCAGGAGGAAGGGTAAGGGGTTTCTGGGCTCAAAAGTGAGGCTGGCCAGTGAATTTTCTGTGTCTCTAGGACTGGATGCTAGTGGCTGGGGTAGGTTCCCTAAACAGCTCCAATCAATGCAAAGGCAGCCAAGTCATCCAGCCCACAGCCCCAGTGTCCGTCCCTGGATGCATCCCACAGTCCTGGACAGGATGGGCAGGAGTTCTGGCCTCTGGAGCTGCTCTTCGCATTTCTGTCTGTGTGACCTTGGGCAAGTGCCTTGACCTCTCTGTGCCTCCATTTCTTTTTCCGTAAAATGGAAATATTGCTGTTTCCCCCAAAAGGAAAAGCTTCCATATATGCAGAGGGATGGCCATGCTTGCGTTGCTTTGCATCAGGTAAATCTGTTACATTGTAATTAGCTTTTTTCTTCTGATCACAAATGCAATGCATTAATTGGTTTGAATATTTTGAGTGCCCTACAGCAGGTCAACCCCTGCATGAGCTGATGAAATTGGCAAAAATGAAGCTAGTCATTGTGTTGGGGTGGTGGGATTCTGGATGACAGAGTTCCCCCCTCAGCAACCGCCACCCCATTCTCCCAACTTTCTATGTTATTGCATCGCCTTTACAATGGTAGAAAAGAGAGACCAGGAGGAACGTAACTGAGCACTTACTATGTGTGAGATGTTTCCATTTATCCTTTCCCTAATTCTGCAGGCTCTACACGGCAAGCCCATGTCTGTGTTGCTTGCTGCTGTTTTCCCAGTGCCCAGCACCGTACCTGGCATGTCGTTGGTCCTCAAAACATACTTGTTTAGCAGTCAAAGAAATGATTTGTGCAAAGTTTACAAATGAGGAAATTGAGGTTCAAAGAGGTTATGTGACTTGTTCAATATCACCTAGCTAGTGGGACGCAGGACCAGGATCATTGGACTTCAGGTCCTGAGGAAGGTCTTTCTACTCATGCCTGTCCCTCTGCCTCCTCACATTCCGACACCCTCTTTGTAAAGCTGTCTTATTTTACAGGCATCTGATCAGGCGGCCTGCAAGAAGAGTGCGCCCCCTTAGCCAGTATGGCCACGCTTCCTCCCTTAGGGGCTGCTGGGTGTGCCCCTCATCTTCTCAACCCCCTGGGGACCCCTGGAGGATCTGGAGCACACCCTCCAGC
Source organism: Homo sapiens (assembly GCF_000001405.40). NCBI lineage: Eukaryota > Metazoa > Chordata > Mammalia > Primates > Hominidae > Homo > Homo sapiens. The sequence goes on along the minus strand of NC_000020.11, from coordinate 44,682,495 downwards.
TGGGGGATTTGCCCAGCAGGTGAGGCCCCTTAGTCGCTGTAGCCCATTTGGAAGTTTGGCAGGTGGATTTCTAGTGCAAGGCCACCTCTGCCCTCTGAGCTCAGAGCCACCTATTTCTGCCCCACCCAGTCCTGCACACAGCTGGTAGCAGGTGCAGGGAGGAGGCAAAAGCCAGACTTTGCCCCTTTATCTTGCACCCCTTTTCCCATTCTCAGGCAGATGTGTGTCCAAAAGTGTTTGACCTGTGCTGTGTGCATATGGGAATATGCACATATATACATGCGTGTCCCCATGCACATACCTGTGGACATGGGCAGCCCTGTGTGTGAGCACACATGTGTGTCTGAGTGTGGCTTGTGCGATCCTCCATGTGCCCATGGGTGCAGACGTGAATCCGAGTGTGAACGTGAGCTTATATGTAGCTCTGCATGTGTGTGGGTAATGCTGAAGGATAGACCACCAAGCAGAAGGGCATCTCCTTGCCCCGCCTCAGTTTCCTCATCTGTAAAATGGGGACAACAATGGCACCTAACAGGTGGAACCGGCAAGGCACACAGTAAGTGTCATGATAGTAGCCCTTTTTATTAAGCTTCTCGGGGATGTGTGCGGATTCCACAAAATAAGAACGCAGAAAGGGACTGGCTCAAGAAATGTTTCTCCCATCATTCTTTCATCCTTAGGTCCAGAAGTATTTCTTCTGTTCTCTTGGTTTTATCACTGCAAAGGTAATATAACAACAGTGGAGGAAGTTTGAGAAGAAAACATGGGGAAGGGGAGATACCTGTCCCCCAAAACCCCACCACTCCCGACACAAGAAGGAATTTCATTTTTGCTTGTTCTTTTCCTGACTTTGTCCATGAGCCAGCATGGAGCTTGGCACACAGCGCCGAGCTCGAAAAAAATATTTGGATGTTTTAACAAATATATATTAGCTAAAATGACTACACTGAGTATTTTTCCATCCTGCATTTGTTCACACATCAGGGACATTTTCCATATGATAGCTGGTCTTTATAGTTATTATAATTATTATTATTATTTTGAGATGGAGTCTGACTCTCTCGCCTGGGCCGGAGTGCAGTGGCTCAATCTCGGCTCACTGCAACCTCCGCCTCCCAGGTTTAAGCGATTGTCCTGCCTAAGCCTTCTGAGTAGCTGGGATTACAGGCATGCACCACCATGACAGGGTAATTTTTGTATTTTTAATAGAGATGAGTTTTCACCATGTTGGCCAGGCTGGTCTTGAACTCCTGACCTCCAGTGATCTGCCCACCTTGGCTTCCCAAAGTGCTGAGATTACAGGCATGAGCCACCACGCCCAGCCCAGTATTTATAATTATTAAAGATAATAGGCCAGGCGCGGTGGCTCACGCCTGTAATCCCAGCACTTTGGGAGGCCGAGGTGGGCAGATCATGAGGTCAGGAGATGGAGGCCATCCTGGCCACATTTCACAATGTGGCCTAGTGTTTCCACATTGTGAAACCCCATCTCTACTAAAAATACAAAAATTAGCCGGGAGTGGTGGTATGTTCCTGTAGTCCCAGCTACTTGGGAGGCTGAGGGAGGAGAATCACTTGAACCCGGGAGGCAGAGGTTGCAGTGAGCTGAGATCATGCCACTGCACTCCAGCCTGTGACAAAGTAAGACTCTGTCTCAAAAAAAAAAAAAAATTAGGAACTACCTACTGCTATAGACGAGTCACTTGTATTAAGAAATGTTATGTCGCAGTAATGAACATCTTTTTCCATCTAGAATTTTTTTTCTTTCTTTGGAACAGGTTAGTGTTTCCACACTGGGAATAGGGTGTCCCAGAATTTATAAAGGGGATTCCACTGAAAAAAACCAGAAACATTAACCGTCAAGGCCATGCAAATCAAAGCCACAATGAGATCCCACTACACACCCCCACGAGGATGGCTACAATAAAAAAGACAAACAATAATAAGTGTTGGTAAGGAATCAGAGAAATCAGAACTCTCATACATTGCTGACAGGGATGAAAAAAGTGAACAAAGCCAGTCATAAAAGACCACAGGCCTGGACGCACTGGCTCATGCCTGTAATCCCAGCACTTTGGGAGGCCAGGGTGGGAGGATCACTTGAGCCCAGGAGTTCTAGACTAGCCTGGGCAACATAGGGAGAACCCATCTCTACAAACAATTTTTTAAAAATTTGCTGGGCATGGCGGTGCACTGTGGTCCCAGCTACTTGGGAGGCTGAGCAGGGAGGGTCATGTGAGCCCTGGAGTTCGAGGCTGCAGTGAGCTGTGATTGCACTGTTGCACTCCAGCCTGGGCAAGAGAAGGAGACCCTGTCTCAAAAGAAAAAAAAAAAGACCCCATGTTGCATGACTTCTTTTCTATGAAACATCTAGAAAGAGCAAATCCATAGAGACAGAAAGTAATTGGCAGTTACCTGGGGCCAGAGGGGGGTCGGCTGCAGGACTGACTGCTGATAGGTACAGGGTTTCTGTGGGGGATAATGAAAAAGTGCCAAAATTGATTGTGACAAATATATAAAAAACTATTGAATTGTACACTTTATCTGTTGTTGTTGTTTTTGAGACAGAGTCTTGCTCTGTTGCCCAGGCTAGAGTGTAGTGGCATGACCTTGGCTCACTGCAACCTCCATCTCCCGGGTTCAAGCGATCCTCCTGCCGCAGTCTCCCGAGTAGCTGGGATTACAGGCGCCCACCACCATGCCCAGCTAATTTGTGTATTTTTTGTAGAGATGGGGTTTCACCATGTTGGCCAGGCTGGTCTCGAACTCCTGACCTCAAGTGATCTGCCCGCCTCGGCCTCCCAAAGTGCCAGGATTACAGGCATGAGCCACCACACCCTGCCTGAATTGTACACTTTAAATGGGTGAATTGTATGGCATGTGAATTTTATCTCAATAAAGCTGTTATAATCAAGTATTTTTTTAAAAAGGATGGAGACCCAAGATGACAATAAAAATGCACGCCGTCATTTACTGGGAGCAGGGACTATCGCCAAGACTCATTAATCTCATGTATCTTTCACAATAACCCTATTGGCTTATTTTCCCCATTTTACAGATAAGGACGCTGAGATTCAGAATGACTAAGTAACTGGCCCAACGGCACTTAGTTTTTTAGCGGTAGAGGTGTGATTTGAACCCAAGCTCATGCTCAATTTGAAGTACTTTTGTTGCCTCTTTAGAAGGCACCAGGAGCTAACGCACCAGGCCGACAGCACAGACAGGGGCCCAGGATCGGGGCCTCCTCTCTCCCCTGCCATTATCTGGCCTGGGCAGCCACAGCTCACAATCAGGGCTCTCTATCTCTCCCTCAGGCCTTCTCCCTGCATCTCCCTGTGTATGGCCCCTCCAGTAGAAACCCAGTGGAGGCTGATCTGGCAAACAGATCTGACTCAGGCCTCTCCAAGGCAGCTCTCAATCCTGTCCACCAAGTAGCCTCCGAGACTTCCCAACTTTACCGCACAGAAATAATAATACGTGTGCACAAAGATGCACAGACAAAGATGTTCAACATAGCATTGTTTCTAAGAGGGAAAAACTAGAAAGAACCTAAATGTCTGACACTGGAGAACCAGTTATTCCACGACGTAATGCTCAGCCCTTAAAAATCCTATAGCAGAAGGATCCTTTCTGACATAGAAAAATGTTCACAGTATATCAAGTGAGAAAAGCAGAGCCCTCCTAGCCGCTGCCGCCTGCCCCCCAGGCCAACCCCTGTTTGCATCTACAATCCAGCCACATTAACCCCCTTCTGGTCCCCCAAATGCTCCAGGCTTTCTCTTCTCAGGCGTTTGCAGTTGCTTCTTCCTCTGCCTGGAATCCACTTCCCATCCCATCCCTTGTCGTTCTCTTTCAAGCTGGCTAACTCTGCTGCAGCCTTCAGGTCTCAGCTGAGCTCTCTCTTCCCCTGGGAAGGACCCTTGGGCCCTCAGGATGGGGCAGGGTCCCTCCTCTGTGCTCTCACGGCCCTGTGGGTCACCCATCATGGCCCCCATCACCCTCTCTGTGACTGGCCATTTAAATGTCTGCCGCCTGCATTTGACTCCAGAAGACAAGTCCAGACCTGTCTAACTGGCCTGACACTGCTTTCTTAGTGTCTTATCTCAGAGGAGGCCTCTTCCAGTGACTTCTGTGGCAACTGGAGCAAAAGCCAGACTGCTCTTCATGTTCTCCAAGGCCTTGCTTGGTCTGGCCAGTGCCACATGTTTTCCAACATGCCAAATGCATGCCTGCCTCAGGACCTATGCATTTGCTGTTTCTTCTGCCTGGAATAAATGAAAAATAAATAAATACTTTTTTTTTTTTTTTTTTTGGAGATGGAGTCCTTTCTGTTGTGCAGGCTGGAGAGTAGTGGCACGACCTTGGCTCACTGCAACCTCTGCCTCCCGGGTTCAAGTGATCCTCCCACCTCAGCCTCCCAAGTAGCTGGGACTACAGGCATGTGCCACCATGCTCAGCTAATTTTTTTTTGTATTTTTATTAGGGATGGGATTTTGCCATGTTGCCCAGGCTGGTCTCAAACTCCTGGCCTCAAGTGATCCGCCTGCCTCAGTCTCCCAAAGTGCTAAAATTACAGGCATGAGCCACAGTGCCCAGCCATAAATACAATAATTTTTTTTTTTTAAAGAAAATTTAGGCCGGGTGTGGTGGCTCACACCTGTAATCCCAGCACTTTGGGAGGCCAAGGCGGGTGGATCACGAGGTCAGGAGATCAAGACCATCCTGGCTAACATGGTGAAACCCCGTCTCTACTAAAAATACAAAAAATTAGCCAGGCATGGTGTCAGGCGCCTATAGTCCCAGCTACTTGGGAGGCTGAAGCAGGAGAATGGCGTGAACCCAGGAGGTGGAGCTTGCAGTGAGCCGAGATCGTGCCACTGCACTCCAGCCTGGGCGACAGAGTGAGCATCTCAAAAAAGAAAAAAGAAAATTTAGTGCTTTGTTGATTTAAATAAAATTATCCTTGGTATTTTAGTGAGGAAATACTTCAAAGCATGACTTTACCTATCTCAAAAGCAGATATTGTTATGTGCTATTAGGATATCTGGACACCCTGCCACCATAGGAGTTTGCCCTTGCAGGCATTACTAAATCGCTTCCTTCACCCAAAACATATCATGGCCATGAGTTGTGACTGCCAAGGAATGTGCCTTGCTAGTTTGAAGATGCAGTTGATTTTATTATTTTATTATTTTATTTTATTTTTTGAGACAGAGTGTCACACTGTCACCCAAGCTGGAGTGCAGTGACACGATCTCAGCTCACTGCAAACTCTGCCTCCCGGGCTCAAGCAATTCTCCTGCCTCAGCCTCTCAAGTAGCTGGGATTACAGGTGCCCACCATCATGCCCAACTAATTGTTGTACTTTTAATAGAGATGGGGTTTCTCCATGTTGGCCAGGCTGGCTTTGAACTCCTGACCTCAGGTGATCCGCCCACCTCAGCCTCCCAAAGTGCTGGGATTACAGGCATGAGCCACTGTGCCCAGCCACAATTGATTTTAAAATGGTGTCACCCTGACTCTGTTATGCTCCTGTTTCCCTAACAGTGTCACCATGGACCCAGCCTCTTGCCATCTTTGCACTCTGCCAATGTCAGTGTGTTGGCAAAGTGAGTTTAAAATTGTAGTCATTCATCTAGCCAAAGTGATGATTCAAATATTTCAAAAAGCAAACTTTTACTCTTTCATAGAGAGGAGACTGAATTTTCCAAACAATCAAAATGTCACGTGCGTCTGTGTGAAGAGACCACCAAACAGGCTTTGTGTGAGCAACAAAGCTGTTTATTTCACCTGGGTGCAGGCGGGCTGAGTCCGAAAAGAGAGTCAGCAAAGGGTGGTGGGTTTATTATTAGTTCTTATAGGTTTTGGGATAGGCGGTGGAGTTAGGAGCAATGTTTTGCAGGCAGGGGTTGGATCTCACAAAGTACATTCTCAAGGGTGGGGAGAATTACAAAGAACCTTCTTAAGGGTCGGGGGGGGGGTTACAAAGAACCTTCTTAAGGGTGGGGGAGATTATAAAATACATTGATCAGTTAGGGTGGGGCAGAAACAAATCACAATGGTGGAAAGTCATCAGTTAAGGCTATTTTCACTTCTTTTGTGGATCTTCAGTTGCTTCAGGCCATCTGGATGTATACAGGCAGGTCACAGGGGATATGATGGCTTAGCTTGGGCTCAGAGGCCTGACATTCCTGTCTTCTTATATTAATAAGAAAAGCAAAACAAAATAGTGGTGAAGTGTTGGAGTGGCGAAAAATTTTGGGGCTGGTATGGAGAGATAATGGGCAATGTTTCTCAGGGCTGCTTCGAGTGGGATTGGGGCAGCATGGGAACCTACAGTGGGAGAGATTCAACTGAAGAAAGATTTTGGGGTAAGGGGTGGTATTGTGGGGTTGTTAGAAGGAGCATTTGTCATACAGAATTATTGGTGATGGCCTGGATGCGGTTTTGTGTGAATTGAGAAACTAAATGAAAGACACAAGGTCTGAATAAAAGGAGAGAAATAGGTATTAAAGGACTAAGAAGTGGGAGGACCCAGGACATCCAATTAGAGAGTGCCCAAGGCTGTTCAGCGTAATTACTTGCTTGGTTGTTGAGTTTTTGGGCTGTATCCTTGACAGAGTCCTCCTTTTTAAGTTGGAGGCTGAGCTTGGTGAGGTGTGTCTTGAAAAGACCATTAGTCCGTTCCATCTTTCCTGAAGATTGAGGACGGTAAGGGGTATGAAGTTTCTACTGAATACCAAGAGCCTGAGAAACGGCTTGGGTGATTTGACTAATAAAGGCCAATCCGTTATCAGACTGTATAGAGGTGGGAAGGCCAAACTGAGGAATTATGTCTGACAGAAGGGAAGAAATGACCATGATGGCCTTCTCAGACCCTGTGGGAAAGGCCTCTACCCATCCAGTGAAAGTGTCTACCTAGACCAAGAGGTATTTTAGTTTCCTGACTCGGGACATGTGAGTAAAGTCAATTTGCCAGTCCTGGGCAGGGGCAAATCCCCAAGCTGGATGTGTAGGGAAGGGAGGGGGCCTGAACAATCCCTGAGGAGTAGTAGAATAGCAGATGGAACACTGAGAAGTGATTTCCTTGAGGATAGATTTCCATGATGGAAAGGAAATGAGAGGTTCTAAGAGTCGGGCTAGCGGCTTGTAACCTACATGGAAGAGGTTATGAAATGATGACAGAATAGAATGGGCCTGTGAGGCTGGAAGGAGATATTTTTCTTGGTCCAAGAACCATTTGCCTTGTGTGGGAAGATATTGATAGGTGGAAGTTTCAGCAGGAGAGTAGGTGGGAGTGACCCATGAGGAGGAGAAAAACTGTCTGTGAGGGACAGAAGTTGGAATGCTAGCTCTTTCTTTAGCTACCTTATCAGCATAAGCGTTGCCCTGAACGATGGGATCTGATGCCTTTTGGTGGCCCTTGCAGTGTATGACTCCAGTTTCCTTTGGAAGTAAAGCGGCCTTGAGAAGAGTTTTTATTAAAGAGGCAATAATGATGGAGGACCCTTGCGTAGTGAGGAAACCTCTTTCAGCCCATTTAACACCATGGTGGTGCAGGATATGGAAGGCATATTTAGAGTCAGTATAAATATTGATGCGTAGTGCGTAGTTCCTTTGCAAGAGTGAGGGCTCGAGTTAAGGCAATGAGTTCAGCTTGCTGAGAGGTAGTGGAGGTGGGCAGAGTGGTAGCCTCAATGATAGATGTGGAAGATACTATAGCATAGCCTGCCTTTGCTGGTGTGTGGCGATTAGGCCTAGTGGAACTGCCATCAATATACCAGGTGTGATCAGGGTGAGGAACAGGAAAGAAGGAAATGTGGGGAAATAGAGTGAATGTCAGGTGTATCATAGAGATACAGTCATGGGGGTCACGTGTGGTATCAGGAATAATGTGGGAGGCTGGATTGAAGTCCGGGCCAGGAACAATGGTAACTGTGGGAGACTCAACAAAGAGTGAGTACAGCTGAAGGAGCCGGGGAGCAGACAGTATATGTGTCAGGTGTGAGGAAGAAAATAGATTTTGGAAGTTATAAGAACTGTAGAGAGTGAGTTGAGCATAGTTTGTGATTTTGAGGGCCTCCAAAAGTATTAGGGCAGCAGCGGCCACCGCATGGAGACATGATAGCCAGCCTAAAACAGTAAGGTCAAGTTGTTTGGACAAAAAGCCTATAGGGTGCGGTCCCAGTCCTTGTGTACGAATTCCAACTGCACAGCCCTACACTTCGGCTGCGTGTAATGAAAAGGGTTGAGATGAGCCAGGGAGAGCTAGTGTGGGAGCAGTCTCTAAAACTGTCTTCAAGGAACAGAAAGAGGAGTGGGGAAAGGATTGAGAATCTATGGAGTCAGCTAGGTTTCCTTTTGTGAGTTTATACAATGGTTTTGTTAGGATGGCAAAACCAGGTATCCAAAGACAAAAGTATCCAACCACGCCCAGGAAGTAAAGGAGTTGTTGTTTTGTAGAAGGGCCTGGGGTTTGAGAGATCAGTCGGACACGATCCGCAGGGAGAGCGCATGTGTTGTTATGAAGAATTATGCTGAGGTAGGTAATGGATGGAGAAGAAATTTGAGCTTTGGACAGGGATACCCAATATCCCTTGGAGAATAAATGTTGAAGGAGCAGGAGGGTGTCTTGTTGAGAAGATTCAAAGGAGGGGCTACAAAGTAGAAGGTCATCAATATATTGAATAAGGCAAGAAGCAGAGGGGTGGAAAGAAAGTAAATCATAAGAAAGAGCTTGGCTGAAGTAATGAGGGCTGGCCCTGAAGCCTTGCGGCAGTACAGCCCAGGTAAGCTGCTGGGACTGATGGGTGTCAGGATCGGTCCAGGTAAAAGCAAAGAGAGGCTGGGACAAGGGGTGTAGGAGAATAGTGAAAAAAAGCATTTTAAAGATCAAGAATGGAATAGTGAGTTGTGGAGGAAGATATTGAGGACAAAAGAGCGTACGGGTTGGGCACCACAGGGTGGATAGGCAAAACAATTTGGTTGATAAGGCACAGATCCTGAACTAACCTGTAAGACTTGTCCGGTTTTTGAACAGGTAAAATGGGAGAATTGTAAGGAGAGTTTATAGGTTTTAGAAGCCCATGCTGTAGCAGGCAAGTGATAACAGGATTTAATCCCCTTAAAGCCTGTTGTGGGATGTGATACTGGCATTGAGTGGGGTAAGCGTGATTAGGTTTTAATGGGATAGTAATGGGCATGTGATTGGTTGCCAGGGAGGGAGTGGAGGTGTCCCATATTTGTGGGTTAAGGTCGGGGGATATGAGAGGAAGACCCAAAGGAGGCTTTGGGTTGGGAAGAAGGGGGCAATGAGATGTGGCTGTAGTACAGGAATAATCAGGGAAGCAGATAATTTGGTTAAAATGTCTCAGCCTAATAAGGAAGCTGGGCAGGTGGGGATAACTGAAAAAGAGTGCATAAAAGAACGTTGTCCAAGTTGGCACCAGAGTGGGGGAGTTTTAAGGGGTTTTGAAGCTTGGCCATCAATACCCACAACAGTTATGGGGGCGAGGGAAACAGGCCCTTGAAAAGAAGATAATGTGGAGTGGGTAGCCCCCATATCGATTAAACGGGATGGACTTACCCTCCACTTTAAGAGTTACCCGAAGCTCAGCGTCTGTGATGGTCCAGGAGGCTTCTGAGGCGATCGGGCTACGTCAGTCTTCAGCTGCTAAGCCGAGGAGATCTGGGAAGGAGTCGGCCAAGGAACATAGGGTTTGGGCTCCAGGGGCTTTAGGAGTGGCAGTGATGTGAGTCGGACAGTCCGACCTCCAGCGGGGGCCCGCACAGACAGGGCACGGCTTAGGAGGAATCCCGGGCTGCGGGCATTCTGAGGCCCAGTGGCCAGGCTTTTAGCATTTGAAGCAAGGTCCACGAGGATGTTTTGAAGGAGCCCCTGGGAGCTGTGGCTTGGATGTTCTGAAGTTCTTGTATGCTGGAGACGTGGTTGTGGGCTGTCTTACAGCGGAGGCGAGCAGCTGTAACTCAGAAATGCGTTGCTGCCTGGCTACCTCCTCTGTATTATTGTACACTTTGAAGGGGAGGTTGATTAATTCGTGTTGTGGGGTTTGAGGGCCGGATTCCAATTTTTAAAGCTTTTTTCTAATGTCAGGAGCTGGGTGATAAAATGCATATTAAGAATAAGGCGGCCTTCTGGCCCCTCTGGGTCTAGGGCGGTAAAGTGTGTAAGGGTTGCTGCCGAGCGGGCCATGAACTGAGCTGGGTTTTCGTCTTTACCTTGGGTAGTTTCTCTAAGTTTGTCATAATTAACAGCTTTGTAAGCTGCCTTTTTAAGCCCTTCAACTAGGCAGGAAACCATGTAATCTCGCCTAGCCATACCTGGGGAATCTGCCTGATAGTTCCATTGGGGGTCCTCTCGGGGAACTGCTCTACTGCCTTCCTGGAGGTCAGGTTCATGAAGCCGGCGGTTATCAGCGTGAGATTGGGCTAGAGAAAAAACTCTTTCCCGTTCATCTGGGGAGAGGGTAGAAGTCAGGATGACATTTCAGTCACTCCAGGTTAAACTGTAGGACAGAGTTAGATATCGGGATTCCTGTATATATTTAGTGGGGTCTGATGAGAAAGAGCCTAAATGCTGGCTGATTTGGGAAAGGTCTGATAGAGAAAAAGGCACATGTACCCTGACTATGCCTTCAGCTCCAGCCACCTCTCTAAGAGGAAATTGTTGGGCAGGTGGGGGAGAGCTAGCCGCAGAACGAAACTGAAAACCAGACTGGGTGTGGGGAGGGCGGGTAATAGAAGGGTTATAGGATGTGGGAGCAGAGGCTGAAGAAGAGTTGGAGGCTGATTCAGCCTGGTGGGGAGCGAGCTGAGGAGGAGCAGTCTGGGAAGAAGGTGAGACGTCAGATGGTTCAGTAGAAAAGGAAGATTCACAAGACTCAGCGACGCTTGGGGTTGGGACTGAAGGGACAGGTGGGAGGGAAAGAAGGAGGATTTGGGACGAGTCGCATTGGGAACAGAGACTAGGGAGGGAACGAAGTGTGAAAAATGCCTGGACGTAAGACACCTCAGACCATTTGCCCATTTTTCAACAAAAATTATCTAGGTCTTGTAGGACGGAGAAATGAAAAGTGCCATTTTCTGGCCATTTAGAACCATTGTTAGTTTGTATTGGGGCCAAGTGGTGTTGCAGAAGAAAATAAGATGCTTAGATTTTAGGTCAGGTGAGAGTTGAAGAGGTTTTAAGTTCTTGAGAACATAGGCTAAGGGAGAAGAAGGAGGAATGGAGGGTGGAAGTTTGCCCATAGTGAAGGAGGCAAGTTTAAAGAGAAGGGTAGAGATATGGAGAAGGGGGTGGGGAGCAGCCCTGGGCTGCAATGTGGGTGAGCAGCCAAAGCAGGCGTCCCCGCAATTGACTTGCCACCAAGGGAATGTGGGTGAATGACCAAAGCAGGCGTCCCTGCGGTGATCGGACACCAATGGAATGTGGGTGAATAATCAGGCAGGCGTCCCCGCAGTGATTAAATGGCAAGGGAAGACTGTCTTCCTGAGTCTGTGACCGGCCCTGGAGTTTTGGGTTCACGGATAAAATGTGTCTCCTTTGTCTCTACTGGAGAGGAAAAAGAACTGGAATTGGAAGGACAGAGAGATTGAAGGGTAGCAAGAGAGGCTGGAGAAGAGAGTGAAAAGACCACTTACCCAATTTGAAATTGGTGAGATGTTCCTTGGGCTGGTTGATCTGAGGACCCGAGGTCGTAAGTGGATCTCTTCACGGAGTGAGGGTGAGGACAGGGGACTGGTCTCCCGAAGGAGTCCCTCTGACCCGGGTCTTCAGCACCAAATGTCACACGCATCTGTGTGAAGAGACCACCAAACAGGCTTTGTGTGAGCAACAAGGCTGTTTATTTCACCTGGATGCAGGCGGGCTGAGTCCGAAAAGAGAGTCAGCAAAGGGTGGTGGGATTATCATTAGTTCTTACAGGTTTTGGGATAGGCAGTGGAGTTAGGAGCAATGTTTTGTGGGCAGCGGGTGGATCTCACAAAGTACATTCTCAAGGGTGGGGAGAATTACAAAGAACTTTCTTAAGGGTGGGGGAGATTACAAAGAACTTTCTTAAGTGGGGGGAGATTATAAAGTACATTGATCAGTTAGGGTGGGGCAGAAACAAATCACAATGGTGAAAGGTCATCAGTTAAGGCTATTTTCACTTCTTTTGTGGATCTTCAGTTGCTTCAGGCCATCTGGATGTATACATGCAGGTCACAGGGGATATGACGGCTTAGCTTGGGCTCAGAGGCCTGACACAAAAGACCTGAAAAAGACAACTTGAGACCAACAGAATGTCTCTCCCTCTCCCCCGTTTCTTTTCTCCTTTTTTTTTTTTTTAGCAGCAGTTTACTCAAAAGGTAAACAAAAAAATCTTTTGCTATCTCTTATTAATACTATATGAGGCAGGGTGCGGTGGCTCCCGCTTGCAATCCCAGCACTTTGGAAGGCCAAGGCAGGCGGATCACCCTGAGATCAGGAGTTCAAGACTAGCCTGGTTAACATGGCAAAACCTTTTCTCTACTCAAAATACAAAAATTAGCCTGGCATGGAGGCGCATGCCAATAATCCCAGCCACTCAGGAGGCTGAGGCAGGAGAATCACTTGAATCCAGGAGGTGGAGGTCACAGTGAGCCGAGATCACGCCACTGCACTCCAGCCTAGGTGACAGAACGAGACTCCATCTCAAAAAAAAAAAAAAAAAAGAACAAAAAAAAAACTATGTGACTATCTAGTTCAAAATAGAAAAATGATTCTACTTTTGCATCAATGCATTATAAATATAAAGCCTAATTTTAATAAAACCTTATAAATCATCTAATCTCAATCAGCTTTGACCACACGAGATAATATTTCTATAAACCTTTTATAACTTCTTACAATTTTTCCATTCCTCTTTCTTTTCCCAACTTTCTATATCCATTCAGTTAATCTATTTTATTCTTTCCTTCTTTTATCCCAATTTCATACAGCCTTTAAATAACCTCTAAACTAGGCAAAACCACTTTCTCTTTAACAAAAACCACATGCTTATGTCTTTCTTATAATCTTCCTTCCTAAAAAGATGTCTTACTTTCCTTACATATTCTGAATACAGAATTGTCTTCCTTCTGGTCTCTAGTGTTAGTTACCATATATTAGTCAGAATTTTAAATCTTAGTAATCTTAATTTATACTGAAAATCTAAGAAGTAATTTTTTTTTTTTTTTTAGAGTCTCACTCTGTCACCCAGGCTGCAGTGCAGTGGCGCGATCTCAGCTCACTGCAACCTCCACCTCCCAGGTTCAAGTGATTCTTCTGCCTCAGCCTCCCAAGTAGCTGGGACTACAGGCACACACCACCACGCCTGGCTAATTTTTTGTATTTTTAGTAGAGACAGGGTTTCACCATGTTGGCCAGTCTGGTCTCAAACTCCTAACCTCAGGTGATCTGCCCACCTCAGCCTCCCAGAGTGCTAGGATTACAGGTGTGAGCCACCGCCCAGCCAGAAGTAATTTTGTCACTATGTACTAACAATTGATTAATACACATTTTATAATATTTAGAAACACAGGCTTTCTAATGGAACAATTTTTCAGTGTGGAATAGGATACTTTTACTAGCGGATCTTAATATCTCTTTTTTTTTTTTTTTTGAGACAGGGTCTTGCTCTGTTGCCCAAGCTGGAATATAGTGGTGTGATTATAGCTCACTGCAGCCTCAAACTCCTAGGCTTGAGTGATCGATCCTCCTGCCTCAGCCTCTTGAGTAGTTAGGACTAACAAGCATGCAACACCACTCCTGGCTAACTTTAAAATTTTTATTTTGTAGAGACAAGGTCTCACTATGTTGCCCTGGCTGGTCTGTAACTCCTGGCCTCAAGCAGTCCTCTTATCTCAGCTTTCCAAAGTGCTGGGATTACAGGTATGAGCCACCACACCCAGCCCCTAAATATCTTTTGTTTCTCTGAAATAAGAAACCAAAAGTATATGAGCTTAAACTTATATGTAGTAATTAATGTCTTAGCATTATATCTTATTTGGAAATGATCTAGATCTTCAATAAATATTCATAGTTTAATTTAGCTTGGCAAAACTCTAAAGGCATAGTTACCAAAAAAATTTGAAAAACTTTTTCCCTTTTGTGGCCATCGCCAAAGCAGGAGTAGCCAAAATGAAGTTTGATCCCTTTGTGACTTATTTTTTTTTCATTTTTTTGTTTGTTTGTTTTTGAGACAGAGTCTTGCTCTGTTGCCCAAGCTGGAGTTCAGTGGCACAATCTCGGCTCACTGCAGCCTCCCACCTCCTGGATTCAAGCTATTCTCCTGCCTCAGCCTCCAAAGTAGCTGGGCTTACAGGCGTGTACCACCATGCCCAGCTAATTTTTGCATTTTCAATAGAGACTAGGTTCACCGTGTTGGCCAGGCTGCTCTTGAATTCCTGACCTCAGCTTCCCAGTGTTGGGATTACAGGTGTGAGCCATCACACCTGGCCTTAATTAATTTTATTAAATAACATATTTTTTTTAATGGAACGCTTCAGAATTTACATTTCATCCTTGCACAGGTGACATGCTACTAATCTTTTCTCTATCATTCCAATTTCATTTTATTTATTTATTTGTTTATTTATTTATTTTGAGACAGAGTCTCTCTCTGTCACCCAGGCTGGAGTGCAGTGGTGCAGTCTTGGCTCACTGCAACGTCCACCTCCCAGATTCAAGCAATTCCCCTGCCTCAGCCTCCCAAGTAGCCAGGATTACAGGCATGTGCCACCACGCCCAGCTAATTTTTTTATGTTTAGTATGGATGGGGTTTCACCATGTTGGCCAGGCTGGTCTCGAACTCCTGACCTCAGGTGATCCACCCGCCTCAGACTCCCAAAGTGCTGGAATTACAGGCGTGAGTCACTGCACCCGGCCTTCATTCCAGTTTTAGTATATGTGCTGCGAAGCGAGTACCTCACTGAATTTTAGACAAGGTAGGAAATTTACATTTCAAAGCACAGAGAATAAATTTAAGCTTTCCAGAAAGCTGCTTAAGTTTTACATTTTTTTTTTCCTTCAGCAAAAAATCACACCAACAAGAAAGGAAGCGAACAGAGAGAGGGACTCACCATATAATTAAAAGAGGGGTTTCAGTCACCTGAAAAAAAATTCCCCAAAACAAGATCCAAAATAGAAGAAGCAGAAAGGCTCTATTTTAAAAATTATAGTCTTAATACCTGCTTTTAATTAAGTTGACTTTGAACTACAGAGCTCTTAAGAAAATCTTTTTTTTTTTTTTTTTTTTTTTTTTTTGAGACGGAGTCTCGCTCTGTCGCCCAGGCTGGAGTGCAGTGGCGGGATCTCGGCTCACTGCAAGCTCCGCCTCCCGGGTTCACGCCATTCTCCTGCCTCAGCCTCCCAAGTAGCTGGGACTACAGGCGCCCGCCACTACGCCCGGCTAATTTTTTGTATTTTTAGTAGAGACGGGGTTTCACCGTTTTAGCCGGGATGGTCTCGATCTCCTGACCTCGTGATCCGCTCGCCTCGGCCTCCCAAAGTGCTGGGATTACAGGCGTGAGCCACCGCGCCCGGCCAAGAAAATCTTTTTATCAGGTTTTAGCCAGATAAATTAACACACATTCTCGATTTTGTTTTTGTTTTTGGCTTTTCCTCTCTGAAATTTACATTAAGAAGAGTTTTGGAGGAGGGGCATATTTGTTTGTAAGAGGTCTAGGGTAATCACTCTTTTAAGCTGTGTGTCTTTGAAATGTTTTAATTAAATGTGTCCTTTCTTTCTGAATATGTGGTTTCATTAAGCTTAGGAGAGAAGGCTAAACAAAACAAAAATTCCTATCGTAGTCTAAATAGAAACCAAAATTTTAAATCAAAGGTATACCTGCACAAGTTACTCAAAACCAACATAAATAGGTGTGCATGAGACCAACAGCAGGTGCTCATACAGCACCCAGCACGGAGCCCAGTACACAGTAAGCACTCAGTGCTGGCTAGCTGTTCTCATTATCATCATCATCATTGTCGTCCTCATATATGTATGAGTGGCTGATCAATCTCTGCGATCATGGATGAGGAAGACTTTGGAAGTCAAGACATAAAAGGAAACTTTGAAGAAGGGCAGGTTATCCCAGGCCAGGGCAAGATACTAGAGCTGCATTGTAGCACTGCAGAGCTATAATAAAATGGGAAGCAGCAGCCCATGATTTCTGGGGGTGCTGGGGAAGATGAGGACCCAAGGGGAAACCACCGACAGCTAGTGATCAGCTTGACTAAAGAACTTCCCACAACCAGAGTTTTGACCCAAGATAGTACAGGATTTGGAGGAGGGGTGAATTCCTCATCCCAGGAAATGTACAGAGCCGAGGCTCAGTGGACAGCTGTCATCAGGAAGAGGATTCCTGCACTGGTGACAGGTTGAAGGAAATGACTTATTAGGTCCTTTATTTGGTCTTGATCTCTCTGAATAAGGGTCCCAAGATTCCCTCCCCTGTTGTGGCCACATAGTCAGCAACAGTTCATAACATAATAAGTTATTAAACATGTTAAGTTACATGTAACATAATAAATATATTTATTTACATAATAGCATTACATTTTTGTTCATAATTACATAAATTAAAATTTACATTTACATTCATATTTTCATCAATATGATACATATCTATAATTATTTCATTCCTACATTGTGTTTGTATACTTTTACGTTAACCTCTTCATGTGACATTGATTTTGTAATGTCATTTTCTTTAGAGAGAATAAGAAGATACTTTAATCTTTTCTCTAGCACAGTTGACTAATTTTTTTTTCTTTTTTTTTTTTTTTTTTGAGACAGAGTCTTGCTCTGTCGCCCAGGCTGGAGTGTAGTGGTGCAATCTAGGCTCACTGCAACCTCCACCTCCTGGGTTCAAGCGATTCTCCTGCCTCAGCCTCCTGAGTAGCTAGGACTACAGGCACGCCTGGCGAATTTTTGTAATTTTAGTAGAGATAGGGTTTCACCATGTTGGCCAAGCTGGTCTCAAACTCCTGGTCTCAAATGATTCACCCACCTTGGCCTCTCAAAGTGCTGGGATTACAGGTGTGAGCCACCGTGCCCGGCCCCCATTTTTTTTTTTTTTAAGGCAGGGTCTTGCTCCATTGCCCAGGCAGGCATGCAGTTGTCTGATCTTTGTACACTGCAGCCTCAAACTCTTGGGCTCAAAGGATCTCCCCGTCTCAGCCTCCCAAGTAATCAGGACTACAGGCATGTGTCTCCACATGCAACTAATACTTTAAGATTTTGTAGAGATGGAGTCTCACTATGTTGCCCAGATTGGTCTTGAACTCCTGGCCTCAAGCCACCCTCCCACCTTGGCCTCCCAAAATACGGGGATTACAGGCATGAGCCACTGTGCCTGGCCCCAAATTTCTTATGGTCGATAAAGTTTCTTTCAGCTTTGCAACTTATTACTGGTACAGTAGCCCCCTCTTCTGCAAGGTTTTGCTTCCTGAGGTTTCAGTTGCCCATGGACAACCACAGTCTGACAATATTAAATGAAAAATTCCAGAAATCAACAATTCATTAAGTTCTACATTGCATGCTGTTCCGAGTAGCGTAATGAAATTTGGTGCTGCCCCACTCTACCCCACCCTGTCCCACCAGGGGTGTGAATTGCCCCTTTGTCCAGCATCTTCACTACCTGCCCATTCGTCAACTTAGTAGTTGTCTTGGCTATTGGATCAAAAAAAACATAGTCTAAATAGGATTCCGTACTATCCACGGTTTCAGGCACCCACTGAGGGTCTTGAAATGTATCCCTCGAGGATAAGGGGGGACTACTGGAAGGTCATAAAATTCTAGGATTGTTGTCAAATTTGGAAGAACCTCTATCAAGTTTCTTTCATATCGGAGCTGTAAGATTTCCGGACTTATTATGTTTCCTTGATGACTAATCTTAAAATTTTTTTGAATTGATGCTTTCTATTACATCCTTTTTGTAGTGGTGTATTTTGACTTTTGTTATTTTCATCAATGTCAGTATTCCGTGACAACTTCTCCTTAGCTAGATCCCCCAAAATGCCAGAAGCACTGGGGCAATACCCAAAAGAAGGGGAAGTATGACAGAGAGGGAAGTTGGAGTGAGAGGGGCAGCAGTCTTAATAAATTACAGTTAAAACATCTTACATTGGCAAATTCTACTAAAGCATGTGATCCTGAGTGTGCATTACTTGGCCCCTCCCAGGCCCCTGGAAGGCCCCTGGCAAGTGAGGGGCTCTAAGGCTTAAGCTGTGACTTTCACAGTAAGTTTGCTAAATCCATTTCTGCCTTTCCCCAGCGTGATGGGGAGATTCTGTCCACCTCCACTTAAGCGTTGTTTTTTACAGGAAGCCTCCAGAATAAGCTAGTTGCCCCTACCCCCACCCCATTATCTGCGTCATGAGGCTGGAGGTCATGACTACCTGGCTCCTTCTGTATCCTAAGTAGACTGAAGAGTGCCTGGTACATAGTAGAATCTTAGGCTCAGGGCTGAGGTGAGCTGCCAGGGTCATGCAGATAGGAACTGTCAGAGCTCGGGATCAGCCAGAATGAATGAGTGAAAGAACGAATGAATGCCAGCTTCCCAGACTCAGTCAGGGAAACCTCATTTCTTTCTTTCTTTCTTTTTTTTTTTTTTTGAGACAGAGTCTCCCTCTGTCACCCAGGCTAGACTGCAGTGTGCGATCTCAGTTGACTGCAACCTCCGCCTTCTGGGTTCAAGCGATTCTGCTGCCTCAGCCTCCCAAATAGCTGGGACTACAGGTGCACTTCACCACTCCTGGCTAATTTTTGTATTTTGAGTAGAGATGGGATTTCACCATGTTGGCCAGGCTGGTCTGGAACTCCTGACCTCAAGTGATCCTCCTGCCTCGGCCTCCCAAAGTACTTGGATTACAGGCGTCAGCCACCGTACCTGACTAGAAACCTCATTTCTTACCAGAACTCTTGATGGCCTGCTTCCCATCCTCCATCCTGGAAGACTGATCTGAAACCCCAGGAGGAGGTCCTCTGAGCCCTGAGGCAGAGATCTCTCACCTGGAAGATGGGTCTAATGACTGCGCCCCACACACACCAGAGAGGACTGCAGATAGTGCGGGATGAGAGGAAGATCTCTGGCCCTGGAGACAGCATCATCAAGCGGTAGCTTCATCTTTGGGAGCTGGGGCCTCTGCAGGAGCTTTACCCTCCTCTCTCCATGCTGAGCCTGTCTCAACCCCCTAACCTGCACCCCAGTCTTTTGGGGTCACCTCAAGGCTTTGGCTGATGCTTCTTTGCTGACGTCAACCAAGGTGATGGACCCATTTGTCCTTGTAAAGTAACTCTTGAACATACAGGCACTTCTCCCTCCCTCCTCTTGCTTTGAAGGGTGGGTGGGCACCTGCCACCATGGTCAGGGTGAGGGCCAGCCCCATACCCCCAATGTCAGAAGGCAGCTGCCCCTGGCCTGTGGGTTTATCTCAGAGGGGCCAGGTTTTCCTCACTGTGTGTCCCCAGCACCTAGCCTGGGGCCCAGCCCAGGGTCACACTCAGTAAATACTGGCTGAGAATTAAGGGGGAACTTTCTCGTTCCCCTCCAACACTTTTCTTTTCTTTTTTTTGAGACAGAGTCTCACTCTGTCGCCCAGGCTGGAGTGCAGTGGCGCGATCTCGGCTCACTGCAACCTCCACCTCCCAGATTCAAGTGATTCTCCTGCTTCAGCCTCCCGAGTAGTTGGGATTACAGGTGCCCGTCACCACATCCGGCTAATTTTTGTATTTTTAGTAGAGACGGGGTTTTGCATGTTGACCAGGCTGGTCTCGAACTTTTAACCTCAAGTGATCCACCCGCCTTGGCCTCCCAAAGTGCTGGAATTACAGGCATGAGCCACCGCACCTGGCACCAATGCTTTTCTGCAAGTGCTAGTGTGTGCCATAGAGACATCTGTGCATGCCCAGGGGCGGCTGAGGGGCCATAAGCCTCCTTTGACTCCATTATCTTGCCTGTGCAGGCCAGACGATTGCCTGAACCCACAATAGCTTCACCAGAAGAGGGGCTTACTCATCACTTCCACACAACCTGTGCCCCTCCCCCACTGGGACCAGCTGGGGTTGAGGGGGTGAGGGTCAGGCTGGGGAAGGCTCCTGGAGATTGCATTTGCAACCTACCCCTCCCCTGCCAACCTCTATTACCACACTGAGAGGAACAGGGAGACATCACTAAATTGAGGACCTAGGTAGAGAGAGAAGAAGAGAGTGTCCTGTCAGCCTTCAAAGGTTATTCAGAGCTCTTGGTGCAGGAAGGCCCTGCTAGAAAACTCCAAGAGTCCAGGAGGGCCTTGGGCATAAAAGCTCAGAGTTGTCCTCAAGAAGCAACTGCATGGCAGTTATATCAGATGCACATTCAACAATAATAATAGCAAAACCTTACACAGACCTACAAGCCCTTATCCACACTTCAGAGATCCCAGTGTTTCTGAACAAAATAATGTAACACCAAAACTCATTGGGTAGCCAAAACCTAACCTGAACAGATGTATGAATACTCGTATATTGTTTTCTGCAGAAATATTAATGTGTTTCGTTATGGGATGCTAAGCCAGATCCCACTACCCACTAGTGTGTTATATAAGTCATGTGCTTTCCAAAATCCCAAAACTCCCTAAATTCCAAAATGCATCAGGATCCTGAGACACTGGAGTTTCAGTTAAGGAGTTGTGACCTGTGTAGCTTCCTCCATGACAGGCACTGTTCTAACTGCTCTCCATAATATTAATTCATTCAATCCTTACAATGACCTGACAGAGTAGAACTTACTATTATTCTTCCAATTTTATAGATAAGGAAACTGAGGCAGAGAGAGGTAAAGTGACTTGCCCAAACACATACAGCTAATGAATGCTGCAACTGAAGCTTCCAGAGCCTAGTTCCAGAGCCCACTCTCCGAACAAGTCTACCATCTATTTCCCTTAAAAGGGCTGGTGAGGCCGGGCGCAGTGGCTCACACCTGTAATCCCAGCACTTTGGGAGGCTGAGGTGGGTGGATCACCTGAGGTCAGAAGTTTGAGACCACCCTGCCAACATGGTGAAACCCCATCTCTATTAAAAATACAAAAATTAGGTGGGCGTGGTGGCGGGCACCTGTAATCTCAGCTACTCGGGAGGCTGAGGCAGGAGAACTGCTGGAACCCAGGAGGCAGAGGTTGCAGTGAGCCGAATCCGTGTCATTGCACTCCAGCCCAGGCCAACAACAGCAAGAATTCGTATTAAAAAAAAGGCTGGTGAGAGGGGCGTGGAGGTTGAGGGGTGTGGTAAACTGTAGGAGATAACGATTTTATGTTGTGTGTGTGCTATGGTTTGGATGTGGTTTGTCTCCTCCAAAATGCATGTAGAAACTTGGTCCCCAATGTAATGGTATTGGGAGGTGGGGCCTTTAAGAGGGGATTAGGTCATTAGGAGGGATTAATGCCTTTCTCACAGGAGTGGGTTAATTCTCACAGAAGTGGGTGAGTTATTGAGAGCAGTTCATTACAAAAGTGAGTTTGGCTTCCTCGGCTTTCTCTTGCTTCCTCGGCTTTCTCTTGCTTCCTCTCACCCTACGATGCATTCTGCTGTGTTACAACACAGCACGAGGCCCTCACCAGAAGCTGACCAGATCCAGCCACCCTGTCTTGGACTTCCCAGCCTCCAGAACTGTAAAAAACAAACCCCTTTTCTTTGTCAATTACCCAGTCCCATGGGTTCTATGACAGCAACAGAAAGTGGACAAATTGTGTAACATGCACATGTCCAGGAGGGTGTGTGAGAGGTAATCCTGTTGTTACGGTTGTTCTGTAGGGTGACCACAATTGGGAATTTCCCTGGGACTGTTTTGGTTTTAGCACTGAAAACTCTGTATTTCAATAAACTACTCAGACCTGGTAAACCAGGATGGTTGGTCACCCTAGTTCTTGGCCTCTTTTCCTATGAGCAACATGAGGCTCATGACCCACTGAGGAAGATTCTAGGATCTGAAGATGCACTTTGTCTACATAACACAGCTTCTCAACCCAAACCAGGATCTCCAGCAGGCACTTACTCAAGACATGGGGAAGAAGCCCCGGAGAAAATGCTGGCTGTATCAGATTCAGTGAGGGACGATGCCTCTGTCTCCACCTGGCATCTTCCTAAGAGGTTTTCAAGGACCAATGTGACTCTATCAGGCTTTCACCTTGAGTGTTGATGCTGGCCTCCATTGTAAATACAGTGGGAATACACTTGATATTCTAATTTAGAAATGCCTGACTCTCATCCCCAGCTTTGAATTTTAACTCCTCAAAGTCCAAAGTGACTTCTTAGGAATGACCCACACCATGAGCTCATATCTATCTTCCTGAGGCCTGCCCAGACCTGTCGAAGTAGAGAGAAGAAGACAAGGCCCCTGCTCTTGAGAAGCAGGTATGGGCTATGGAGGCAGGACAGAACTATGCCCCAGGTTCAGAGAGTGGGGAAGAGAGTCCTGTGTGCCGAGGGCTCCCATGGACTCCTGGAGCAGGATAAGGAAGGAATGGGGGAAGGATGGGGATACCATACAATCCTCCTGAGGGCTGAGGATTCCCCCAGTCAAGAACTGAGGCTGGAGACTGCTGTTTAAACATGGCAGGTTGAACACACTTATTTCTCTCCATTGTTCTCTGAAATTCCAAGAAAATGACACAGGGATTTTTTTTTTAAATGCACATCTATCTACTGGGACAAAGAAAACGTATGAGGAAGAAAATAGCAGATGAGAAGAATCAACCAAATTCCGGAAGCTGGAAGGCAGATGGTGAGTGGGGACTGACAAGAAACCCAGGAAGTTGAAACCTGGCTGCTCACGGGGAGCCTTTAGGACAAAGCAAATTGCAGAATCTCAGGCTCAGGGATTGGAGGGACCAGAAATCTCTGAAGACCAAGTGGTGTCAGGTAGGGCAGAAGACAGAAGGGTGGGTTGGTTATCAATCTGGGAGACAATTGGATGTCCAGGCCTCCTACCCCAGCTGGCACAGGCAAGATGTGACCCCACCCCACAATAACACGAGGCCCACCCACCGGATAGGCTGGATGAAAAGAATAATCTGAGATGATGTTTGCTATGGTTTGAATGTGGTTCCCCAACAAGCATGTGTTAGAAACTTAATCCCCAATGCAACAGTGTTGGCAGGTGGGGCCTCATGGGAGGTGTTTAGGTCATGGGGGCTCCACACTCATGGGTGGATTAATGCTGAGTATAAAAAGGCTTGAGGCCGTGAGATCAATCTCTTGCTCCCTCTCTTACCCTCTCGGACTCTCTCATCTTCTACCATGGAATGATGCAGCAAGAAGGCCCTTGAATGATGCCAGCACCTTGATATTGGACTTTCCAGCCTCCAGAACCATGAGCCAATACATTTCTGTTCCATAAAAATTACCCAGTTCCAGGTATTCTGCTATAGCAGCACAAAATGGACTAAAACAATGTTGGCACAAGACTCAGTGCTGGGCCTGGCATGCAACAGGTCCTTGGTAAGTTGTCTCTATGATTATACTCAGGCCTCTTTCTATCTTGCTCTCTTATTTTCTTCTCCTGGTCAGAAAGAGGCTTAAAGACATATGATATGGACAGCAGAATCTGGCTTCCTGGTAACACTCTTTCCACCTATCCATATACCCTCCTCACCTACCAGGCTATTTGATGTGGCAGAAATGAGCAGCCTTCTAGATCTACTATCCTCTAATTTTTTTTTTCCCCCAATACGGAGTCTTGCTCTGTCCACCCAGGCTGGAATGCAGTGGCACAATCATGGCTCACTGCAACCTCTGCCTCCCAGGTACAAGCAATTCTCCTGCCTCAGCCTCCCAATTAGCTGGGATTACAGGTGTGCACCACCGTGCCCAGCTAATTTTTGTATTTTTAGTAGAAACGGGGTTTCACCATGTTCGTGAGGCTGGTCTCGAACTCCTGACCTTGTGATCGAACACCTCGACCTCCTAAAGTGTTGGGATTACAGGCATGAGCCACTGCAGTGGGCCTACTATCCTCTTCTTTAGTAACACAATCTCCTTTTTTTTAGCTGGGTACCTTGCCTTACAGGTATAAGACATTTCCTAGTTTCCTTTGCGATTAGATGTGGCCATGTGACTATATAAGCAGAATTTGTTGTGAGGAAAACCAGGTATCTAGATCTTTAAAAGACAGAAGTGGCCAGGCGTGGTGGCAGGCGCCTGTAGTCCCAGCTACTTGGGAGGCTGAGGCAGGAGAATGGCGTGAGCCCCGGAGGCAGAGCTTGCAGTGAGCCAAGATAGTGCCACTGCAGTCCAGCCTGGGCAAAAGAGTGAGACTCTGTCTCAAGAAAAAAAAAAAGAGAGACAAGCACTAGCTGCTGCATCCTTTCCTCAGCCCTGCTCTCTGGACTGCAGATGTGAAGGCTGGTGCCCCAGCAGCCATACTGCACAATGAGGATAGGGGCTGGATGCTAGGGATGGCAGAGCAGAGAGATAGAAGGAGGCATCTTCACAGAGTTGTCACATCAGTGGCATTGCCTGCCTCTGGCCTTTTTACACAACAGAGAAATAAACTTCTGTCTTTTTTCAGCCACTATTATTTGGGTGTTTTCTGTTGTGTGCAACTGATCCTAATCCTGTCTGATAAATGTGAGTGAAAGGGCAACCTGTCCCTTGTCCTCTTTCTTATTCAGAGATCTTAGAAGATCAGAATCAGCAGGGACCTTGGCTGTGTGGGGCAAAATCTGGCCCACAGATGTTTTCTTTGGCTTATACAAAGTTTTAAACATTAGGACACATTTGAATACAGTTTAAACATTAAAAGATGGGTCTCCGGCTTTTTTGGATGATTGGAGGATCTGGCAACACTGGATTTATGTTTCAGCACAGCAGCATCTTGACGAGGCATTTGCTCTCTCCTTTCCACAATCCCCACCTCTCCCATTGTGTGAGGATGTTCTTCTCCTCCTATGAGCGAGGCGTGTCTATGGTTTATCCTATTAATTAGTATGTATATGTTATCCCCACTACACAGATGAGAAAATCAAGGCTCAAAACAACTTTCCCAAAGCCACAGAGCTGTAAGTGGTGGAGCTGAGGCTCCTGATCATATACATTTTGATCTTGATTTTTATTTATTTATTTGAGACAGAGTCTCCCTCTGTGGCCCAGAGGGATTCTCATGCCTCAGCCTCCCGAGTAGCTGGGATTACGGGTGCATGCCACCATGCCCGGCTAATTTTTGTATTTTTAGTAGAGATGGGGTTTCACCATGTTGGCCAGGCTGGTCTCAAACTCCTGACCTCAGGTGATCCGCCCGCCTCGGCCTCCCAAAGTCCTGGGATGACAGGTGTGAGCCACTGCGCCTGGCCTGGAATAGATCTTGAACTAGATTTTTCAGGAGGGCTACATTGGAGGTAGAGAGACATTCTCAAACATACACAATCTCTGTTGTCTTCTCACAGGAGTGGCGTGCTGTGTGGATAATGAATATTGGGGAAGGCATCTCTCTCCAGCCCCTCTCAAGCTTTCTGTAGTCACTGGTCCACTCTGTATTGCTATGAAGAAGCTCAAGACCAGCCTGTATCACTCGGGGTCCTGGCAGGAACCAGGTGCCACACTCAAACTGAGTAATTGAAGAGGGTTTAATATGGGAGTTATTTACATAGGTGTGGGCTGGTGTAGCTGCCCATATGCCCTCAAAATCACCTCTACATGGCAATAGCTACTTACTGCTAACAGAGTCTCTCTCTCATTGCTGCAAATATTTTCTAGCCATGCAAGAAACTCAGCCGGTCATGTTGAACAAACTAAGAGTGCCAGGAAGTTAATGTCCTGGAAGCATTGCCAGAGGGGAGGGGGCAGTTAGATTCCCCAGCTTCCTCGCTCCTCTGCTGGGTTAAGCCTGCAACATATTCATCATCTCCCAGAGTGCTGCCCAGGGATAGAGCTCCAGGTGCTCAGTGTGGTGACCTGCTCATGTCAGCTTCTTCCCCTTTCCTGTCTTGTTTCGCACCCACATCCTTCCCATGTTTCCTCTTCCCAAATAAACTACTTGCATTGAAATCTTTGTCTCAGGCTCTGCTTCTGGGGAAACCTGAACCTAGCGAGGAGAGTTTAAGGAAAGCAACAACGGGTGGCGTGGGACTCTGGTAACAAAGGGAACCACTGCCTTTCAAGAAAACGGCAGGAGGCCAGGCACGGTAGCTCATGCCTGTAACGCCAACACTTTGGGAGGCCAAGGTGGGTGGATTATTTGAGGTCAGGAGTTCAAGACCAGCCTGGCCAACATGGTAAAACCAAGTTTCTACTAAAAATACAAAAATTAGCCGGGCATAGTGGTGGGTGCCTGTAATTCCAGCTACTCCAGAGGCTGAGGCATGAGAATTGCTTGAGCCCAGGAGGTGGAGGTTGCAGTGAGCTGGGATTGCACCACTGCACTCCACCCTGGGCGACAGAGTGAGACTCTGTCTCAAAATCAATCAATCAATCAATAGGCAAGAGGGAATCTGGAATGGGGAGGGTATGGAGAGGTGGGCCAGGAGGACTGACAGGAGATGTGGCCTTGGTAGAGAGACACAGTCAGCCCAGTGACTGTGCACCGAGGGAAAGGGGGAATGAATATCCTGACCTCTCTCCTCTCATCTGCTGTTCTCCTGCTGGTGCTCCCTGTTGACAAAACCCAACCAGAGCCAGAGGGCAGGAGAGCCCATTGGTCTCACCCACAGCAGCATGGCTGCCGGACACAGAGGAGCAGAGCAGCGTGCAGAAGGGTGGAGAGTGCACCTGCAGGGGCAAACAGAAGAACTGCATCACGCAGCCTGGCCCTTTGGATCTGACCCATTTGGAATGCAGAATTTTGATAGTCTAGGATCTGGGTAAAGGGTTTTCCAGGTGTCAGGATGGAAGTGACTAAGGTGCAGAGGCTGGAGGGCTGGGGCAGGTAGAAGCAAGCATTCCTGTTACCTACTGCTGTGTGACAATCTCCCCCTAAAACACAATGGCTTAAAATAACATCCATTTCATTACATATCTCAATACTATAGGTCAGGAATTTGGGCTGGGCTTACTTGGGTAATTCTTCTGTCCCACATGGCATTGACCAAAGCCTGGTTTTCAGTGGGCAGCTGGGCTGGATGGCCCAACACAGCTTCGCTAACATGATTGCTGTCTTCGTAGGGATGGTGGAAGCCTGGGCTCAGTGGGACTGTCAACTGGAATGGCCATATGTGGACTCTCTTAGCATGATGGTCTCTTCTAGAAGCTTGGGTTCCCAGAGAGAATGTTCAAGAGGCCCCAAAGGACACCACAAAGCTTCTTTATGACCAAGGCTCGGAAATCCAGGAAGCTTGCTCCCATCACGCTCTATTACTCCAACAAGTCACTCAGGCCAGCCCAGGTCCAAGAGGAGGAAACCTAGACTCCATCTTGCAATGTGAAGAATTGCAAATAATTTGTGTCACCCTTAAGCAACCAGCAACTCATCTAGGTTGATTGGCATTTCAGCAATGTGGTGGGAAGTGGTGGGACTGATGTTGAAGAGGGACTTGAATGTCATGAGAGGCTGGGGAGGCAATAAGGTGGGGAGTGAAGTTTCTCGAGTCAGATTCAAATTTAAACCCCAGTTTTGCCACTTACAACCCATGAGCCAAGCAGGCTGTCTCTCTATCTGAACCTCAGTGTCCTCATCTGTAAAATGAGGAGAACACCTCCTACATCTGAGGATGACTGTAAAGATGAAATGGGATGGGTGCTTATAAAGTGCTTCCCAGTGTACCTGGCTCCAAACCTGTCTCAGTAAATGGCAGCCCCTATTATTGAACCCGAGTAACACAGAGAGCCAAGAAAGGATCTTACAAAAAACTCCCCTGGCTTTGACAATGTATGAGACCCACTGATAGGGTTTGGCTTTGTGTCCTCACCCAAATCTCATCTAGTAGCTCCCATAATTCCTACATGTTGTGGGAGAGACTCGGCGGGAGATAATTGAATCATGGGGGATGGTCTTTCCCATGCTGTTCTTGTGATAGTAAATAAGTCTCACAAGATCTGATGGTTTTAAAAATGGGAGTTTCCCTGCAGGCGCTCTCTCTTTGTCTACTGCCATCCATGTAAGACGTGACTTGCTCCTCCTTTGCCTTCTGCCATGATTGCAAGGCCTCCCCACCATTGTGGAACTGTAAGTCTATTAAAGCCTCTTTCTTTTGTAAATTACCCAGTCTCAGGTATGTCTTTTTTTTTTTTTTCATGAGATGGAGTTTCGCTCTTGTTGCCCAGGCTGGAATGCAATGGTGTAATCTTGGCTCACCACAACCTCCACCTCCCAGGTTCAAGCGATTCTCCTGCCTCAGCCTCCCGAGTAGCTGGGATTACAGTCATACACCACCACGCCTGGCTAATTTTGTATTTTTTTTTTTTTTTTTAGTAGAGACGGGGTTTCACCATGTTGGTCAGGCTGGTCTCAAACTCCCGACCTCAGGTGATCCTCCTGCCTTGGCCTCCCAAAGTCCTGGGATTACAGGCATGAACCACTGCGCCCAGGCTCGGGTATGTCTTCATCAGTAGCATGAAAATAATGGACTAATACAGCCACCCTCTCCCTCACTCCCACATACAACCAAACCCCAAATCCAGCTGATTTTACACCCTAAATGCAGCTTGAATATGAGTTTCTCCACTTCCCCCACTGACATCACTATGCCCTACCCAGACCATGGCAGTTGCCTCCTTCCTGGTATCCTGTCCTCCCTCACCCCCGCTGGCCCCCTGTAATGCCCTCCCCTCACAGCAGGGAGCCCAGGCTTCTCAAAGTGCCCTGTGGGTGCGAACCACCTGGGGGTCCTGTTTGTATAAAATACAGATTCTACTTCAGTAGGTCTGGGATGGGGTCTGAAAGTCTGCATTTGTAGTCAGCTCCCAGGTGATGTGGGTGCTGATGATCCCTGGATCACACTTTCAGTAGCTGGAGAATATTTTTTCCAAATAAAAGGGTGATTTTGTCTCGCCTCCACTTAAAACACTCCACTGACTTCCTAGGAATCCCACACCATCGCTGGGTCCCACATCCCTGGCAGGATTCAGCTCCCATCAGACCTTCTAGCCCCTTGCTCTCCACTCTCCCACTCTCTCTTTCCCCCTTGTTTATGGGTTTGTTAATTTATTTATGATGAAATGAAATGAAGCTACCATCCACCCCAGTACTGGAACATTATCAATAACCTGTGTGTGGCCAGGCGTGGTGGCTCATGCCTGTAATCACGCCTTGGGAAGCCGAGGTGGGTGGATCATGTGAGGTCAGGTGTTCGAGACCAGCCTGGCCAACATGGTGAAACCCCGTCTCTACTACAAATCCAAAACTTAGCAGGGCACGGTGCCACGCGCCTGTAATCCCAGCTACTCGGGACGCTGAGGCCGAGAACTGCTTAAAATCCAGGAGGTGGAGGTTGCAGTGAGCCGAGATTTCGCCACTGCACTCCAGCCTGGGCGACAGAGCAAGAGTCCATCTCAAAAAAACAAAAACAAAAACAAAAAAACAAAAAACAAAAATTAGCCAGGCGTGGTTGTGGGCGCCTATAATCCCAGCTACTCGGGAGGCTGAGACAGGAAAATCGCTTGAAACGCTGGGGGTGCGGGGGAGCGGTGGGGAGGAGGCGGGCCAGAGGGGCAGAGGTTGCAGTGAGCCCAGATCGCGCCACTTCACTGCAGCCTCCGCGAAAGAGCGAAACTCCGTCTCAGTAAATAAATAAATAAATAAATAAATAAATAAATAAATAAATAAATAACCTGTACCCGCGTGTTATTTCCCTCCGTCCTTACCTCCTCCCGGCTCCTTCCCTTTCACCTGAGATAACCACTCTTCTCGTATCTATGCTCATCTTTCCCTTGCTTTACATTTTTTCCACCGATGCATGTGTCTAAACATACATACTTTTGGTTTTGCTTTTACACATTCTAAAAGTTGCACCATTGTATGCAGTTTTCCGCAACTTAGTTTTTTTCACTCAACATTGTTTCTGAGACATTGTTTCTGTTGTTGTCTGGCTGAAGTTCATTCCGTTTCACTGCTGTCTAACGTTTCATGGTGTGAATATTCCGGTTTATTTGCCCACTCGCCCGTGGAGGGGCATTTGAGGGTGTTTCCAATGTTCCTGTTATTCGGAATAGCGCTGGTGTGAACATTCTGCACAGGTCTCTGGCTGCGCCTGGGCGGGTTTCTTAAAGGTGAATGCCCAGGAGGGGACTGTCTGTGTTCTCCCTCCCTCCGAGCTCCAGCCTTCCTCGCCTCCTTTCACTCCCAGCTCCCTGGAGTCTCTCACGTAGAATGTCCTCTCCACCCCCACCCACCCCTGATGAACTCCTGCAGGTTCTGCAGGCCACGGCTGGCCCCCCTCGAAAGTTCCTTAACTATACAATTATGGTGTGTGTTTCTGCGACGAGCGTCCGTCTATCCGGTGGAAGGCACGCCGCTCGAGGCTTGCGATGCTCCCGGGGTCCCCGCTTCTAGCTTGGGCCTGGCGCACAGCAGCGCCCAGACTGCAGGGGGACGCTTGAAAGTTGCTGGAGGAGCCGGGGGGAAGGCAGCGCCCAGCGAGGCGGCTGGAGCGCGCGCCCACAGGTGGGTCCGGTCGGGCGCCGCGGGGCCGTAGTTTTCGGGTCGGCGGGCGAGGACGCCGGGTCCAGAATTCCAGGAAATGCGCGATCCAGGCCGGCGGGCGGGGCGGGGGCTCCGGCGAGAGGGCGGGCCCCGGGAACGGCGGCGGGCGGGGCGGGAGGCGGGGCCCGGCCCGTTAAGAAGAGCGTGGCCGGCCGCGGCCACCGCTGGCCCCAGGGAAAGCCGAGCGGCCACCGAGCCGGCAGAGACCCACCGAGCGGCGGCGGAGGGAGCAGCGCCGGGGCGCACGAGGGCACCATGGCCCAGACGCCCGCCTTCGACAAGCCCAAAGTGAGCGCGCGCGGGGGCTCCGGGGACGGGGGTCCGGCGCCTGGGCGGCCCGAGGGGCTTAGCGGGGCCCAGCCCGGGGCGTCCAAACCCTGGGAACGAACGGGGGCTCCTGCAGGCGAGTTCTTCCTTCGGCTTAGGCCGTGGCTTGCTTGCGGGCTAATCAGGGACAATGGGGCAGAGAAGGTCCAGAACCCGGAGGCCTCCAGAGTCTGCTTCTGCCCCTGACTTGACCCCTCTGGGTCTCAGTTTCGCTGTCTGTCAAGTGGGCATCCTAGCACCGCTGAGCGCTGTGTGGGCCTGGGCAGGGACTTGAGGTCTCTGAAGCTCAGCTGTATGATCAGGCCCGATGTCTACGCCGGATAGGCACCTAGTGCTGTGCCCGGCGCCTACTGAGTGCTCAGTGAATGGAAGCAGCTTTGTACGCCAGCGTTATGGTGGTGAGCGCCAAGGAGCTCAGGTTTGTGGATGCGCCCCGGGGAAGAACCGTGAGCCCTGCCAGAAAGGGGAGGGAGGGGAGCAGAGCACCCCCCTTCCCCCGCGCGGGAAGAACAGGAGCTAGGTAGGCCCTGGGTTTGGGGCCCTAGCAGGGTTCACTCGAGGCCAAGCCATGGCCACTGGCCCCAGGGGAGAATCCCCTTGTTTCTCCGCCCACCAGCTGTGGCGTCTTGGGACTGTTGGGGTCAGGGAGGGTCTGGACCCCCTTGGCCTGTCGCAGAGTCCGAGAGGAGGGGCCCAGGAGTCTGCCAAGCAGGGTGAGTCAGCCAGTAGGGTGTGAGAGTGGTTGGGGAAGGAGTCAGCTGCAGTCAGCCTCAACTTACCCTTCTAAGAAATAGGTGTGAGTGGCCCAGGAGGTTGGCTCACGCCTGTAATCCCAGCACTTTGTGAGGCTGAGGCGGGAGGATCATTTGAGTCCAGGAGTTTGAGACTAGCCTGGACAACAAAACTAGACCCCGTCTCTCCAAAAAATAAAAAAAGTTAGGGGAAGTGTGTGTGGTGGTGCACTCCCGTAGTCCCAGCTACTCAGGAGGCTGAGGCGGGAGGATCGCTTGAGCCCAGGAGGTTGAGGCTGCAGTGAGGTGTGATGGTGCCACTGCACTTCAGCCTGGGAGACAGAGCGAGACCCTGTCTCAAAAAAAAGAGAAGAAAAAGAAAAGAAAAGAAATAGGTGTGAATGATGATGACAGCTATCACAAAAGTGCCGGTGAGAATCCAGTGAGTGTGCATGTGTCAGTGAGGGAGACAGGCTGTGGAGAGCCCACCTACCTTCTGAGGAGGGTGAGGCCTGGCCCCCACTACTGATGCCCCCAGCCCAGGGAAAATGCTCAGCTACTCCCCGTCAGAAGCTGGAAGCACTGAGGTGCTGTACAAGCCCTCCTACCCCCACCCCTGCCTCCTTCACGTCTTACTGGAGCTGGGGCCCATGATTGGCGCCTCCCCTTTGCAGTCTTTTTATTAAATGCTCTGGGCTCCCTCTGCCCTTGGGCTGGGGACCCACTGTACCCTGATGTGAATCCTATGGCAATAGCAAAGCTCTTTGATTGGCGGGGTGCAGTGGCTCACGCCTATAATCCCAGCACTTTGGGAGGCAAAGGTGGGTGGATCATGAGGCCAGGAGTTCGAGACCAGCCTGGCCAACATGGCAAAACCCCATTTCTACTAAAAATATAAAAAATTAGCTGGGCATGGTGGCGGGCGCCTGTAGTCCCAGCTACGCAGAAGGCTGAGGCAGGAGAATGGCATAAACCCAGGAGGTGGAGCTTGCAGTGAGCCGAGATCTCGCCATTGCACTCCAGCCTGGGTGACAGAGTGAGACGCTGTCTCAAAAAAAAAAAAAAAAAAAAAAAGGCTCCTTGATTGCGAACATGTTGGGAGTTATGGAGAGAACAGCAGGGCCCACTTCTAGAGCACTTGTTGCAGACACCCATTGGATCCTTGCAGTTCTTCTGTAACAGCCCATCAAGGGAGGGGCTCATATTATTATCCCCATTTTTTGGCCTTGCTCAGTCCTCCCATCTGATTCAAGCTGGCAGATCATTTTCCCTATTGGGACCTCAGTGTCCACACCTGGAGGATGGAACATCAGCTGCTTATGTGGGTGTCCCGTGTCCTGAGTCCCAAGGCCACAAGGTGATGCTTGAGAGTGAAGGTAGAATGTTACCTGCCATGTGTTTGAGGCGTGACAAATCTTGTATGATTGTGAGGAGGAACTTGTGTGAGCTGGCAGGAGAAGTGGGAAGGAGTGTGAATCTCAGAGCCACTGTGACCAGAGCCAGCTCCCTGCCCTCTTGTGGGAGGGACAGATGACAGTTATAATTATTAGCATTACTAGCTGCAGCTAATGGAGTGTTGATGTTTCTGTGCCAGGCACCGTTCTAAACACATTATCTGCATTTTTTATTTAATCCAGGCACAGAGAGGTTAACTAGGCCCAAGATCACACAGCTAGGAAATGTCCAATCTGGGGTTTGAGTCCAAGGGAGGCTGGCTTCGAAATCCCATGCCTCTAACCATCTTTCCTAAACTACCTCTGCAGAAGCCTTTGGGGATAGAGGTGCCAGTGCCCCAGGTGCAAACCTCCTGAGACAGGAGCCTTTGCTGTGTCCTTCAGCTTCTCATACCTGCCACCAGCTGAGGCCTGGGACCTGGTCAGCTAGAAGAAAGCAGAGCAGGGCAGCGCTTTTCAAACTGCACTCAAGTGGCCTGACTTTTAATGTTCACACTGTGATTCTGTGTGGGTCGGGTTGGGGCCTGCGATGCTGCACTGCTGACCAGCTCCCAGGAAATGCTAATGTCAACGATCCAGGAACACACTTTGCTTAGCAAGGCCCTAGGCAGCTGCCTTCTGTTGTGCGGGACCCCTATTGACTCCAATGGATATAGCACCAGGTTCAAGAGGCTACCTTCTTTGGAAGAGGTAGCAAACAAGATACGGGGTTTTACTGGGGGCTTAGACACAGGGAAGAGAGTCCAGTGGCGGCAGACTGAGCAGAAGAACCGCAACCACTTGCAAATCATGCAGTTTATGTAGCATTTTCATTTAACACCTTCTCCCAACCATCTCCACCTAGTAACCTTCATTTAACCCAAAACAAAGGGCCTCGGTCCCTATACCCCTGTATGGTCAGTGTCCCGTGGGAATGGGGTGGGGCTCAGATGTTCCTCATAGATAACGACTGGATCTCCAGGTTGGCCACTCTTGGATTCCTTCGCTCAGAACTCTGAACACCCATTCAAGTGTGCCTGCCATGCAGGGTCATCGTCAGGGGATGCCCAAGTCAAGTTTGCCCTGTCGGGTGTGCCTCCCATACCCCCACCTGGTTTGACTTAGCACCTGCTGGGCACTGGAAGAAGTGGAAAGGGGGGTTGCAGGGGTGGCCCTTATCAGCCTATGTTCACAGGTGGCACCAGGCACTCAGGCATTCTGCATCCTGGAGGCCAGTGCTGATCACATGCCTGTTACAATAATCATAACAATAGCTGTCCTTGAAGTAGTCCTGGGTACCAGGTGCCTTCAGTGACTTTTTCTTTTTTGCCAGAATCTCACTCTGTCGCCCAAGCTGGAGTGCAGTGGCAAGATTTTGGGTCCCTGCAACCTCTGCCTCCTGGGTTCATGCGATCCTCCTGCCTCAGCCTCCCAAGTAGCTGGGACTACAGGCGTGTGCCGCAGTCTCACTCTGTTGCCCAGGCTGGAGTGCAGTGGTGTGATCCTGGCTCACTACAACCTCCACCTCCCGAGTTCAAGCCATTCTTCTGCCTCAGCCTCCGGAGTAGCTGGGATTACAGGCGTCCACCACCACGCCCGGCTAATTTTTGTATTTTTAGTAGAGACAGGGTTTCACCACGTTAGCCAGCTGGTCTCGAACTCCTGATCTCAGGTGATCCTCCCACCTTGGCTTCCCAAAGCGCTGGGATTACAGGTGTGAGCCACTGTGCCCGGCTAGTAACTTTTATCTCACGGAATCCTCTGGACGACTTGACAAGGCATGGGTCTTCATCCCCATTTACAGATGAAGAAACTGAAGCTTAGGGAGTGGAGGGACTTGCCAGGGCTACACAAAATCTGAGAGCCTTGAAGCTGTAGACTGGCAAGTGAACAGGTACAGGCTGGGACAGCAGTTTCTTTCTTTTTTTCTTTTTTTAGACAGAGTTTCGCTCTTGTTGCCCAGGCTGGAGTGCAATGGCACGACCTCGGCTCACTGCAACCTTCGCCTCCCAGGTTCAAGTGATTCTTCTGCCTCAGCCTCCCAAGTAGCTGGAATTACAGGCATGCACCACCATGCCCGGCTAATTTTTTGTATTTTTAGTAGAGACGGGGTTTCTCCTTGTTGGCCAGGCTGGTCTCGAACTCCCGACTTCAGGTGATCCGCCCACCTCAGCCTCCCAAAGTGCCGGGATTACAGGCATGAGCCACCGCACCCGGCCAAGGGACAGCAGTTTCTAAACTGTCCCTCTCTGATGCAGAGGGGAATTGGGGCTAAATCAGCAATGTGCCTTTTCTGTCTCATATTTGAATGTCTACTCTGCACGAGGCGCTGTCCTGCTTTGCATACAGTGACTCATTTAATGTTTATGTCAGCCCTCTGAGGAAGGTCCTGTCCTATTATTAACTTCACTTATTATGAGGAAACTGAGACTCAGAGAGGGGAGGGAACTTGCCAAAGTCACACAGCTGGCAAGCAGCAGAGCTAGACTTGAACCCAGATCTGCCTGCACTCAAGTAGAAGCTGTTCATTGCTTTGCTCATTTGCCAATTCCACTTTATGCAAAAAAGAGGGGGCAGTGTGGGGGGAAGAGTTAGAATCAGGGTGGCAGGGTGGGCCAGTGCATTAGCCCTGGGCTTCAGATGTACTGGGGTTGAATTCCTGCCTGCCGCTTAGCAGCTAGGGTACCTCAGGTAGACAACTCCTGAAACTCAGCTTCCCCCTCTGTAAAATGGGGTGACAAAACCAAGATCTTGGGGTTCTTGGGGAAACTGACATGCTGATTGGTTTTTGTACAGTGCCTGGCTGGTAACAGCAGGCCCTCAGGGGTGCGTTTCCTTCCTGGGGACTGGAGTGGGGGTTGCAGTAGACTCTGGGAGGCCTCTCCAGCTGCAGAATCTCCCTCCTCCCTCCTCCTTTTTGTCTTCCTGACACAAAACCCACCAGCTGCACTTCTTTGGGCTTGCAGTGGCTTTCAGTTACCAGAGCCACCTGTTAAAACAAAAATGTGCCTAGGAAGAGCCTGCCTTACCCATTTTGACTCACATGGCAGTTGGTGGTGGAGGGGAACAAAGGAGACTGAGTTTCATCGAAGCCTTTTGCTTCGGAGGAGGAAGGGAGGATCAGAGAGAGGAAGTGGTCTGTGTTCACACAGGGAGGCAGGGGAGGCCAGGCAGCTTCCCAATCCTGCATTCAACCTCAGGGTGGGCTTGACCTGGGTGGCTGGGGGCCCTGTGATCCAGGAGAGACTTGTCCACCTGCTCAGGTGTCTTGAAGGGGTCCCTGTGGTACCCCCTGGGGCGGGGCAAGGTAGTAGGACCATGGTCTGGCTGGGGAGGTGGAGAGGAGCAGGCTGTGGGCGCAGAGTGAGGTTGGAATCTGTATTTACCCAAGGTGTTGGGGGTAGGCTTGCCCTCAGCCCTTAATGTTCTCAGGCCCCTGAGCAGTTGTGGGGGATAACCTCTGCACTCCTAGTGACCAGGGAGCTAGAACAGCAAGGAATTTGAACTTGGACACCAGCTGGGGTCAGGCTCTCTGGGTCTGAGTCCTGATTTCCCACTTTCCAGCTAGAGGAGCTTGAATGAGTCATTT
The DNA here is from genome assembly GCF_000001405.40 of Homo sapiens. Classification (NCBI taxonomy): domain Eukaryota; kingdom Metazoa; phylum Chordata; class Mammalia; order Primates; family Hominidae; genus Homo; species Homo sapiens. Next base: position 44,645,782 of record NC_000020.11, on the reverse strand, counting down.
AACTTCACGGTGCCTCAGTTTCCCCTCTCTAAAATGAGAATTATACCCATACCCACCTCTCAAACACCAAGTGCAGGCCTGGCTCAGAGCAGGTGCTGCAGCAATAGCTGCCATTGGTCAGCATCATCATCATGGTTGGTAATGGTCCTACTTTGACTTTTGAGACAGAGTCTCACTCTGTCGCCCAGGCTGGAGTGCAGTGGTGCAATCTCGGCTCACTACAACCTCTGCCTCCCGGGTTCAAGTGATTCTTCTGCCTCAGTCTCCCAAGTAGTTGGGATTACAGGTGTGCGCCACCATGCCTGGCTAATTTTTGTGTTTTTAGTAGAGACAGGGTTTCACCATGTTGGCCATAACAATGGCTGTCCTTGAAGTAGTCCTGGGTACCAGGTGACTTCAGTGACTTTTTTTTTTTTTTTTTTTTTGAGCTGGAGTCTTCCTCTGTCACCCAAGCTGGAGTGCAGTGGCACGATTTTGGCTCACTGCAACCTCTGCCTCCTGGGTTCATGCGATCCTCCTGCCTCAGCCTCCCAAGTAGCTGGGACTTGGGATACACTTGCCCCCGCTGGTCCTCCCTTCCACCTCTGTGAAGAGGAGGTCTCAAACTCCTGGCCTCAAGTGATCCACCCACCTCAGCCTCCCAAAGTGCTGGGATTTCAAGAGTGAGCCACCGCACCTGGCCCCTGTTTAGATGTTAGCATCAGTGACCCAGCACCTTGCTATGTGGCATGCAGGGAGCGTGCTGCTAGACCTCCGGGTTTAGAGTCAAATAGCTTCCTGGCTGTGGTATGCATTAGACTTTCTAACTCAAGGTCCTCCCACTCTCTGAGCCTCAGTCTTGTTGCCTTTAAAACGAGTTTAAGTGTGCTGAGTCCCTATGCTGTGGCTCCACAGGAATTTCCCCAGGTGGAAGACACATCTTGCCTTCTGTGAAACCTCTCAGCAGCAGAGCTGTCAGGCCCCGTCAGCAGGAGACACTGTGGGGACTGCTCAGTCCCTTCCACTGTGTACCTCGGAGCTGGCGGAGCCTAGATGAGGCTGAGCATAGAGGGCTTCCTGGAGGAAGTGGAGCTGAAACAGTTTCTCAGCCCAGGGCTGCTCTGTCTCCTGGCCTCACACTAAAAGTCAGTTGAGAGGCCATAGTGGCATAAGTCACTGACCCTGGCACTGCCCAGCTCATCACCAAAAGCAGGGCTAGGGAGGGAGGGGACATTCGATTGGCAGTGGGCACCTGTGGCTCATCTGGGTTCTGGCCACGGTGCTCAGGTTCTGTGAGCTGACCAGGCAGCCCTGGCTCCTCTGCCCCCGTGTGGGTTCTGCCAGGTCCCATGGGGGCAGGTCAGCCCCTTCCTTGTTGCAGGGAGAGCACCCAGCATTGCTGACATGGGACAGGGAAACGAGGAAATAACGGTGTGGTCATTGAACACAGAGAGCACTAGGTGCTGTGCGAGGTGCTGAGGACACGACATGATGACACAGACAAGGTCCCCCCTCTCAGCAAACGGCTCATGAGGGAGACAGACATGTTACATACATGAACCCAAAAAGTCAGACGAAAACAAAACAGAGCGATGTGTTTGGGAGGCAAACCCAACTGCCGGAGGCGAGCAGGGCGTCTACCTCCAAGGTAAACCCAGTCAGATTAGTTGTCCCCAAGGCTCACCAGGGAGAACTAATCTGACTAGGTTTGCCTTGGAGGTAGACGGCCCTGCTCGCCCTCCAGCAGTTGGGAACGTGGAAACATGAGTCAGATCTGGGAGTATCTGTCCCAGGAGTCCAAGACCTGGGTCCTCATGGTAGCTCTGCCACCGACACACTGAGTGACCTTGGGTAAGTGAACCCACCGCCCTGGACCTCTCTGGCACGCATCTCTTGAGAGCAGGGACTTAGTGCATTTCCCGAGGGCCTCCACGGTGCCTGGCACATAGTGGGGCTTAGTAAATATTTGTTGGTAACTGAGGATGCTTCCTGTTCACATCAGCGCTGGGAGGATTTCCTGCTGTTCAGACAAATGCTGGGCTGGCTGTGAGTCAGCCTTGCAGAGAGCAAAGGCAGTGGGAAGGGGCGTGAGATTCCCCTCTGGAGAGGTCAGGAGGCCAGGCACTGTCTCGACATGAGTGCCAGGGAGGGGGTGTGGCCTGTGGGCAGGGCTTGGGCTGAGGCAGAGGGACTTGAGTTCCACCCTAGCTCTACCACCATCAATTTTGTGTAACTCTGGACAGGCCACTGAACTTCTCCGGGCTTAGCCTGGCAAGTCCATTTCCCCATCTGTAACATGGGCCGATATGTACATTGCCTAGGGATTAAATGAGATAAAGGGTCTGAAAACAGTAGGTAGCTGCTTTATCATTATTATTATTTCTGTATTATTGATGTCTGAGGCTAGGCCCACAGAGGCAGTACAGTAGAGTGGTTAGGAGCTCAAGAATCAGACTAGGGTTCAAATTCTGACTCCATCACTGACTGTTTTGGGGTACTTCTTTGAACCTCAGTTTCTTCATCAGTAAAATGGGAGTGAAGTCTCTACCTTGCTGGTTGTAAGGATGAAATAAGATAATGCATATAGATGGTCTAGCACATAGTAGATACTCAAAAGTTTGAGGCCACTGCTGACCCTTTTCCCTGAAAGGAGACAGGAGAGCGGGGTCGCCACCCCATTGTCATTGTCATCTGGAATAGGCTGACAGACTTCCCATGGTGTGTTGCAGTTTTCTAGAAAATTCAGTAGGAGGCCTGCCTGAGCTTGAGCCACCTGTGGAGGTGGCTTCCTGCCTCTGCTCCACACCTGAAACGCGTCTGGGCCTCTTCTCAGGCAGCCGTGAGAAGGGATGAGTGCTACTGGTCATGGTGGGCAGCTGGCTCTGCTTTCCCCCTTCCCAGAGGCGCTCCTGCCTCCTGCCCAGCTCCCTGAACCCCTAGCTTCTGCACCCCGGCACTGTCTGGCTTCTGCCCCGCTGAGCACCCACTGTCTCTGACGCTGCCTTGAGTACTTCCCGCATGTTATTCAAATCCCAATCAGATCTTCCCTCCCGCAGTAGCTGGTCTTCTGTTCTGGCTTCCTGCCATCCTGTCCTCCACACAGCAGCCGGGAAAGGTTTTTTTAAAGGGGACTCTCCGATTTAACACACTTGGGTGGAAAACCCTTTGCTTCGGCCTCTGCAATCTCCCTGCCCCCTCTCCACTTTGCCCTGGCCTCATTTCTCACCACTAACCTCACTCTGCACTCTGGCCAACTCCCCGCCTGCTTCCTGATTCAGACACTAAGCACACGCAGCTCCCCTGCCTGGAGCCATTCTCCCTCTCCTTCTTTCTTCTCCCTGGCGAACTCCCCCTTTAAGTGATCTTTTCCCAACACACTTTCTAAATTGCCCCCACCCCAGTGTGATTTTTCTTTATCTCATAGCACTTGGTCTGCTTCTTATCACAGTTTGCAAGGCTGAGTTCAGAAAGGTGTGTTTGCTCATTCTGAGGCAGGAGAGGCTACCTTGTGCTGCTGTGGTAACAAACAGCCCCCAGGTCTGAGGGGTCTGCAGAGACCCAGGTTGACCTCATACTGCTTGTCCCTCCAGGGCCTCCAGTGAGGTTTCGGCTCCTTGGATCACTCAGGGCCCCAGGCAGATGGGAAGATTCCACTCTGAACATTGCCAATTGTTGTGCCAGAGTAAAGCAGAGCTGGGAGGTGGGCTCTTGAATTGGCATTTAAATACTTTTGCCAGGCAGGGTAAGGCAGCTCACGCCTGTAATCATAACACTTTGGGAGGCCTAGGTGGGTGGATCACCTGAGGTCAGGAGTTCAAAACCAGCCTGGCCAACATGGTGAAACCCTGTCTCTACTAAAAGTACAAAAATTAGCCGGGCATGGTGGTGGGCGCCTGTAATCCCAGCTACTTGGGAGGCTGAGGCACGAGAATCCCTTGAACCTGGGAGGCAGAGGCTGCAATGAGCTGAGATCTTGCCACTGCACTCCAGCCTGGGCAACAGAGCCAGACTCCATCTCAAAAAAAAAAAAACAACAACAACAAATAAATAAATGAATAAATACTTTAGCCAGAAGTAGCCATGCAGACCTCCCCCCACCAGTCCCACCCACAAGCGGACGTGACTACCGCCCCCATTCACTGCCTGATCCTCCTGTTCTCAGGGGCTCCAAGGCCAGGCCTGGTTTGACCTTCTGACTTTCTGACTTCCTCCTACCTTCCCAGTAACCTCATGCAACTCCTTTCACTCAGCCTCAATCATCCCCATGGGTGTTTAAACTTGCCCAAGACATGCCCCTTTGAAAAAGCCTGCCATTCTCTTGACCCACATGCACGTCCTGCCCCCTCCAAGGCTGCTAGTTCCTTTAGGGGCAAAATTGTGAAAGAGTAGTCTAAACCTTCTTCCTCTTCTTACCTCCACTTCTTTCTTACCTTATTCCCATGTGGATTCTACCCTCACTCAGGCCTCTAGAACGGTTCCTCTACGGCAGTGGTTCCCAATCTTGACTACGTGTTTTTTTAAAAAAAGTCCTCCACCTGGGCCTGCCACCAAGGATTTTTCTTTAATTGACCTCAGATGGGGTTGAGGCCTTGGGAACTGGCCAGAACTTCCCGTGCTCCTAACTTGCAGCCGGGGTTAAGAACTACTCCTCTGAAGCCCCCAGTGCCTGCGCTTTTAGCCCGACGGACAAGTTTCTGCCCTTCCATCCTGTGACCTCCAGCAGGGCCTGACCATGTGAGTTTTCTGTGGCTGCCGTGACAAGTTGCCACACCCTGCATGGCTTCAACCAACAGAAACGTGTGCCCTGGCAGTTCTGGGGGCCAGAAGTCCAACATCAAGATATCATCAGAGCCACATGCCCACTGAAGGCTCTCGGGGGAATCCATTCCTTGCCTCTTCTGGTTGCTGGTGGCTCTAGGCATTCCTTGGCTTGTGGCTGCATCATTCCAGTCTCTGCCTCTGAGGTCACGTTGCTGCTTCCTCTTGTGTGTGTTTCTCTTAAAACTCTCTGCTTCTGTCTTATAAGGATACATGTGATTGCATCTAGGGCCCAACCAGATAATCCAGGATAAACTCTTCCTGTCAAGACATTTAATAATCACACTTTGCCATATAAGGTAATTTTTTTTTTTTTTTTGAGGTGGAGTTTTGCACTTTCACCCAGGCTGGAGTAAAGTGATTTAATCTCGGCTCACTGGAATCTCTGCCCCCAGGTTCAAGCAATTCTCCTGCCTCAGCCTCCTGAGTAGCTGGGATTATAGGTACCTGCCACCATGCCCAGCTAACTTTTGTATTTTTAGTAGACATGGGGTTTCACCATGTTGGCCAGGCTGGTCTCGAACTCCTGACCTCAGGTGATCCACCCGCCATAAGTTAATATTTTTTTTTTGAGAGGGAGTATTGCTCTGTTGCCCAGGCTGGAGTGCTAGTGGCTCAATCTCGGCTCACTGCAACCTCCGCCTCCCAGGTTCAAATGATTCTCCTACCTCAGTCTCCTGAGTAGCTGGGACTACAGGTGCATGCCACCATGCCTGGCTGATTTTTGTATTTTTAATAGAGAGGGGATTTCACCATGTTGGCCAGGCTGGTGTTGAACTCCTAACCTCAAGTGATCCACCCACCTCAGCCTCCCAAAGTGTTGGGATTACAGGCATGAACCACCACGCCCGACCCATATAAGGTAATATTTACAGGTTCTGGGGATTAGGATTAGCATGTAGACAGCTTTGTGGGGGCCACCATTCAGCCCACTATGCTAACCCTGTGAACCGTTGCTCGCTTCTCCTTGACATCTGACGGCCTGGCCTTCTGCATACCACACACCCTCCCACCTCTCTGGCCACAGTTCTGTAGGCTCAGCCTCCTCCGTAAGGCCATTAAGTGCTTGTGCTGGTCAAAGTTTCATCCTAGGCCTTTTCCTTACCTCCCTTGATATTTTCTCCCTAGGTGAGCTCCTTCAAGCCCACAGCTTCTGTGCTTACCCACACTCCTACCTACATTCCCAGCTTGGGCTTCTCAGGCCAGCTCTAGACTCTTGTATCCCACTGGGTTCTTCCACTTACCTTTGGATATCTCAAAGGCATCTCCAGTTGGCTGGGCACGATGGTTCACACCTGTAACCCCAGCACTTTGGGAGGCCGAGGTGGGCAGATCACTTGAGGTCAGGAGTTCAAGACCAGCCTGGCCAATATGGTGAAACCCCATCTCTACTAAAAATACAAAAATTAGCTGGGCATGGTGGTGGGTGCCTGTAGTCCCAACTACTCGGGAGGCTGAGGCAGGAGAATCGCTTGAACCCGGGAGGTGGAGGTTTCCGTGAGCTGAGCTGGAGCCACTGCACTCCAGCCTGGGCAACAGAGTGAAACTCCGTCTTAAAAAAACAAAAAACAAAAGGTGTCTCTAGTGTAACATAACTAAAACCAAACCAATCATGCCTCCCTCCCCCGCATCCTCCCTCCTGGAGGGAGCTCCAGGACTTGGTCTTCTCTTCCAGAGTTCTCTGTCTCAAACTGCGGGAATTGCTCCCCACCCAGGCCTAACCTGAAGTGTGAGCCTTGGCATCTCTTTCTATCCACCTGTTTTTCCTCTATGCACCTCACAACCCTGGTCCAAGCCACCGTCATCTTTCAAATGGCTGCAGTAGCCTCTAACTGGCCTTGGAGGAGCCATCCTCTTTCTCTAACCAGCTGCCAACCCTGCAATGGCCTCTGTGTGCTTTCCAGATAAAGCCTGACTCCTCGTGGCCCGCACAGCCCTGCCTGGGTGGTCCTATCCTGCAGCCTCTCCAGTACCATGAACCCTCCCTTCTCTGAACCTCTATTTAATCCATTTCATATACCCCGTTTTCTCCTGCCATAGGGCCTTGCACATGCTGTTCCTTCTGCCTGGAATTTTCTTCCTGCCTCCCTCCGCACCCCTGCCTTGTGTTGTGGGTTCCTCGCTATCCTCTAGCTTTTCGCTCAGGCTCATTGTTGGCCCTCTAGATGTATTCACTTCTCTTGTTTGTTACCCTCTGTCATAGGACTGTGTTCGTACTTCCCAAGGAGTCGTCTTGGTTTGTGACTGTACATTTTCCCATGTGACATTTGCTTAATGCCTCTCCCACTCTGGGGCCTGTACAAGCCCCAGGAACAGGACTTGGACCCTCCTGTTTAACTCTACAATCTAGCATCCAGCAGGAGCGCAGGCCTTCGTTGACTTTTATTTTATTCTTATTTTTTATTTTTGAGATGCAGTTTCGCTCTTGTCGCCCAGGCTGGAGTGCAGTGGCGTAATCTCGGCTCACTGCAGCCTCTGCCTCCCAGGTTCAGGTGATTCTCCTGTCTCAGCCTCCCAAGTAGCTGGGATTACAGGTGTGCGCCACCACGCCTGGCTAATTTTTTGCATTTTTAGTAGAGATGGGGTTTCACCATGTTGGCCAGGCTGGTCTCAAACTCCTGGCCTCAGGTGATCCACCCACCTCGGCCTCCCAAAGTGGCTGGATTACAGGCGTGAGCCCCCATGCCCAGCCTTCATTGACTTTTAGTTGACAACTATTTAGCATTTGCTATGTGCCAAGAACTCCCTGCCTACTAATGCAGTTAACCCTCATGAAGCCTAGAAGGAAGGACTGCCATTCTCCCCACTTAACAGATGAGGATGCCGAGGCACAGGAAGTGAAGTGACTTTCTCAGGGTCAAGCAGGGAGTGAGTGGAGGAGCCGAGATTCCAGCTCTAACCGCATGATGCTCTATACAGTGTGACTCCGGCTCTCTGGCTGGGCCCTCTCCATAGCCCTGTGAGGGTTAAGGATAGAAAACAGAGGCTCAGAGAGTTGAGGTCCCTTGCCTGAGGTCACACAGCTGGTTGGCCGTTCCCTGGGCTATAAGCTTCAGTATTCCCAATGCTGAGCATATTTTGAGAACCCGAGAAACAGACGTTTGGCTGGGTGGGAACTGAACTCATTTTGTCAGGGAATTCAACAACTAAGTTGGCCCTGAGACTGGGTGTGAAGACCGCTCTGTCCCCTGCCAGCTGGATGACCTCAGGAGAGATCTGATGACTCTGAGGTCCTGCTGATAGGACCTCTGGTGTCTCTGTTCCCTGCTGGCCTCCCCTGGGCCTGGGTTGGGTTTCCTCTGCAGGAGGCAGCTCATGTATGTGCTCCTAGACGCCCTTGGGCCAGCAGCTCCTTGGCTGTTCCTCCCTGAGCCAGGGCAGCCAACTTTCTTATCCAGCTCTCCATGCTCCCCACCCCAGCATGAGATGTCAGCTGAGAGTTTTCTGGATCTCCCCTAGCTAGGGGGAAAGCTTCCATCATTTGGAACAGGAACAGCAGGAACAGCAAAGTCCCTTTCCCCACCATCTCCCACTGCCTGCTGTGCTTCTCCTAACAGCTCATGGTAAACACCCTGACTGAGCGGCAGGGGCTGTTTCCTTTGGGCTATCCATGTCCACCTACACTGCCCTTTTTAATCCTTACAATTTTTCTTGGACACGGGGGCATAATATTCCATTGTTTTTCAGTTGAGGAAACTGAGGCTCAGAGAGGTCAAGTGTCTTGTCTGAGGTCACACAGCAGAACTGGGAGTCAAGCCAGATGGGCTGCCTCCAAGGATCCTACTCTTAAACTCTAGAGTACTAGAAAGATCTTCCGTTGCCTAATATTGATTCCTGATAGGCTATGCTTGAGTAGCATCTGCTTTTGAAAATGGAGCCTGGGTCGGTTGCGGTGGCACATACCTGTAATCCCAGCACTTTGGGAGGCTGAGGTGGGTGGACACCTGAGGTCAGGAGTTCGAGACTAGCCTGAGCAACATGGTGAAACCCTGTCTCTACTAAAAATACAAAAATTAACTGGGCGTGGTGGCACCTGCCTATAGTCCCAGCTACTCCGGAGGCTGAGGCACAAGAATTGCTTGAACCCAGGAGGTGGAGGTTGCAGTGAGAGGAGATCATGTCACTGCACTCCAGCCTGGGAGACAGAGCGAGACTCCATCCGTCTCAAAAAAAAGAAAACGAAAATGGATCCTGAATTTTGAAATATGCTGTGACTCTTCCCTAGTTTGGGACATCTGGGTCAATCCCTTTTGTTAAAGTAGTTTATTTAGTTGGCTGAGAGCGGGAGCTGCCTACGTGACCTGGAGCACAAGCTTTGGAATTGGGCTTGGGTTAGAATTCCGCCTCTGCCACTCACCAGCTGCGATTAAGAACAAAGATACTGGGTTGGGCTCCTGCCTCTATTACTTGCAATCTGTGTGGCCTTGGATGAGATATTTAACACCTCCGAACCTCAGTGTCCTCAATTGTGAAAGAGATCGAGATAACAGCTGAACCCACATCCCAGGAGCGGATTAAATGAGATAGTGCAGTACAGAGTTTACCGAAGTATATGGGGTCAGCAGCCAGCCAGTAAAATGGTGGCTAATGGTTATCATGATTAATGTTAACATTAAGCTCTGAAAGGTCCTTCGTGAACTCATAGGTATTTGTTCTCTCTCTCCCTTTCTCTCTCTCTTCCCCCTGCCCCCTTGCAGGTGGAACTGCATGTCCACCTAGACGGATCCATCAAGCCTGAAACCATCTTATACTATGGCAGGTAAGTCCATACAGAAGAGCCCTCTCTCCCTGGGATTTGAGTGGGGTCCCCAGCTCCACCCAGAGGCCCCTGGGGAATTCCAGGGTCACTGTTCCTTCCTGTCTCCCTGTGGGAATCAAGCCAGCTCCAGGCCAGAAGTGGGACTGTGAGGACATGGAGGCCTCAGCACTGAGCTGGAGACCCGCAGACCAACTCCTGAGCTTTCTGGGCCTCTGAGTCTTGTCCTCCTGGTGTCAGGTGAGCCAGGCCTGAGCCTGCTCTCCCCACCCACCCACATACGTGCATGAAGGTAGTTCCCAGGGCTGAATCCGTCTTTTTTTTTTTCTTTTGAGATAGAGTCTTGCTCTGTCGCCCAGGCTGGAGTGCAGTGGCATGATCTCGGCTCACTGCAACCTCCACCTCCTGGGTTCAAGTGATTCTCCTGCCTCAGCCTCCTGAGTAGCTGGGATTACAAGCACATGCCACCACATCCAGCTAATTTTTGTATTTTTAGCGGAGATGGGGTTTCACATGTTGGCCAGGCTGGTCTCGAACTCCTGACCTCAAGTGATCCACCCAGCTTGGCCTCCCACAGTGCTGGGATTACAGGCATGAGCCACTGTGCCTGGCTCCTGTCTTTTGACTTAACTGAGAGCCTATATATAGCAGGTGATGTGCTCACATGAGATGCCAGTACAATTTCTTGAGCATCTCCTAGAGCTGGGCTGGGCTTTATCAGCTCATTGAATTCCTCCACGCTTGGAAGAGGAGGATACGCTCTCTGCATTTTACTGAGGAGGGAATGGGCTCAGCCAAGACAGTTGTCCACGGTCACACAAATTAATAGCAGATCAAGAGTTGAACCCAAGGCTGTCTGACCCCTAAGGCTTTACTACATCATCAGGGTCATAACCTGCTAGGAGTCACGGAAAAGTGGCTCCCCAACTCTGGGCCTAAATCTCTGCATCTTCCAAGTGAGAACACACTTCCTGCCTCAGCTCTCAGAGATGCTAGGGGGCCAGAGGGTCCCCCTGTTCCCCAGCGAGGAAGGTTCTTCCCTTCCTACCCAGACCTCAAGGGCTCACAGCAGCTCCTCTCTTAGGACCAGCTTTTAAGGGCAGGGACTTTAAAGGCCAGTGGATCTGGATTCAAATTTGGACATATTATCTCCTGTCTGCGAACTTGGTCTCTATCAACTGAGGCTAAGAACAGGCCCTCCCTAGAGAGATGACCTAGGAGCTAGGGGCTCCTTGTCCACCCAGCCCTGCCCCCGCAGACCTGTGTTCCTCGGATGTTTGCACAACACTCATTTTGTTTGGAGCTGAAAGAACTCAGCCTCTCTGTCACAGTCTTGAAATTCAGCTCGGGACCCAAATTTGAACATTTCTGCTCCATAAGCCAGAATCCTGTTATTCAGAGGCCTGCCCTCATGGAGAGAATGAGGGATCCCGGGGGGTTGCCCCCAACTCTCGGGAGCATCTCCACCAACTCCCTGAGAGATTTCTGGTAAGTCCACTATTCTCCATCTTTTCGCACTTCCAGGGACCTTCTTCTGCCCCAGGAAGCTGCCATTGATTTAATTCCTATTTAACTGCAAGGCATAAGCACAGTAGCACCTCCTGTGTGCCAAACACTCCTTTAAGTGCGTTACCCGGGTTAAGTTATTGAAGCCTCACAACAATTTGTAAGATAGGAACTCTATTGCCGTCATTTACAGATGAGGAGACTGAGCCGTGGTAGGTGGAGTAAGGTGCCCAGTAAGCACAGGGCGGAGGTTTGAACCCAGATAGTCTGCCCCCGAGTCCATGGCCCTGGCCATTACCCCCTGTCAGTTAGAGGTTTTGGTAAGTGACGCCCGTAAAATGCTTAGTTCAGGGCCTAGCACACATTAATGTGCTCCATAAATGTCACTTAATGATAATATTCTTATTAATTGGAGCTTATATCTCTAAGTGGGGTGAAACCTCTTGGCTTATCTCTGCCTGGCCTTTGCCCATGTCAAGCCGCCAACTTGCCACAAGGCCCCTAATGAGGTCGTTCAGTGGGGCACCAAGATGAGATCGAACCCAGGCACTCATTAAGGGGTCACGGAGGGCTCATCAGCTGCAGCCAGGGGCTGGGAGCGCCGGGTGGGGCTAAGAGAAAGGGGAAAGGAGCCGCCGGGAGGGGCACTGGTCTGATCGTCCATTCCTCACACCACCTCTGGGCCTTGGAGATGGCGTGCGGCAGGTGCCAGCTGGAGCTTGGCCTGAAGTCAGCAGGCAGGGGACTGGGGAGTTTGTCACACTCAGATATGGGTGTCTGTAAATGCACACAAATATGGGCTAAGAATGGAAGGAGGAGGGGAGCCCCTGGCCTGAGCCCTGCTAGGCCCAATTCAGTGGCCCTTTTTCCAGCTCTGGGACTCAGGCCTGCCTCATTAACTGTCCTCACCCATTTCTCCTTCCTCCAGTTCCCAGGATTCTGGCCTTTTCAGGGGCCTCTCCAACCTCTTTCTCAGTCTTGTTTATAACCCTGTCAACTATTTCTACAGAGATTCTGAAACTGGCTGCTCTTTCCTCCGATCACTGCCCTGGTCTGGGCCACCACTGCCCCTCCCTGGTGCTGTGGCCTCCTGATTGGTCTCAGCCATCTACTCTGGCCTTCCTCTCTACGGGCCCTGCAGTGCTGTAGTTGGAGCAAGAGCCTTAACCCATGGTCTTCCCAGCTCATTCCCCAGCTTCCCCATCTCACTCAGAGTCAAAGCCAAAGTCCACACATGGGCCTTAAAGTTCTGCAAAGCCTGCATTGCCTCTCTGACCTCTCTAAGGCTCCTTGCTTAGTCCACACTGGATGTTTTTCAAACATGCCAGACCTAGGAAACAGAGAGTCTGGGTTACTTGCCCAAGGTCACACAGCCTTTAAGTCACAGAGCTGGGATTCAAACCCAGACCACTGGGCTTCAGAGTCTGCTCTTTCTCATGACACACAAAGTTTCATTTCTTCCTCTGTGCACCCCTACATGGAAAATATTATGTTTTACTGACAAGGGCACCAAGGGCCTTAGAGGGGAGCGCTCCTGCCTGGGATGATGTGGTAAATAGGGGTGGGAGATGGACTTGACCTGCAACCCCTGAGCTCATCCTCCCTCCCTCCCTGGGCTCCTGATGGTGGGCTTCTTGTGACTGTGTTGCCCACCAAGGCCGGAAGAGGACCAGACAGTGCCCCAGCACAGCAGCTGTGGCTGACCAGGGAGTAGGGATCATCTAAGAACAGAGCGTGCATGGTGGCTCACGCCTGTAATCCCAGCACTTTGGGAGGCCAAGGCGGGTGGATCACCTGAGGTCAGGAGTTCAAGACCAGCGTGGCCAACATGGGGAAACCCCGTGTCTACTAAACATATAAAAAATTAGCCAGGCATGGTGGTGGGCATCTATAATCCCAGCTACTTGAGAGGCTGAGGCAGGAGAATCACTTGAACCAGGGAGGTGAAGGTTGCAGTGAGTCGAGGTCGTGCCATTGCACTCCAGCCTGGGCAACAAGAGCAAGACTCCGTCTCAAAAAAACAAAACAAAAGAAAAAACAGAGGGTGGCCCTATGAGGAGCCTTCGCTTGTGTGGGTGGCCAGGGACAGCAAGAGGTGCCAGGGCCCTAGGAACAGCTCTTTCCTGCTTCAACTTTGGGCTCCAGATGGGCGCTTTCCAGCTCAGTCTGAGCAGCTTCGGGAAGCTGTGTCCCATGGGAGACACTGGGAGTCCCCTGTGCTCTTTGTCTCCTGTCGGGCCCCCACATTAGCTCTCTGGCCTCAGCTCTGGCTTCCCTCCAATTTGTTTCCCACGCAGCAGCCAGAGGAGCTTTCAAAAAGGTAAATTATTTCATGCTAGTCCCCTGCTTGAAATCCTACAGTGCCTTCCCAGTGCTTTCAGCCAAAGCCCCAGTCCCTTCCTAAGCCCAGCCTGGCCCTGCCTCCCTGGTGCATCATCTGCACAAATGCCTGCTCTCTGACCTCCAGCCACCCTGCACTTCCAATGCCCGCGGCTTCCTGCCTGCAGCTTTAGTACAGACCCCTCCCCTGCCCAGAACTGCCCCCACCCCAAGGCTTCTGCTGAAATGTCACCTCCTCAGAGAGGCCTTCCCTGGCTGCTCTGTCTAAACTCTGTGTTGAGAAGTTCCTTCTTGATGGTTGTTGAGGAGGGAGGCTGGAGAAGAAGAATCGAAGAGGAGAAATAGAAAGCAAAATAATTTGTTCTAGGGGACGGGCTGGTGCTGGGCACGGGGAGGCGCCCGTCTCTGGTGTGGGCAGCTGGGTAGATGGAGGAGCCGTATTTGGAAATGTGGAACCCAGGAAGGGAGTGATCTAGAGGGAGGGGAAAGGTGGCGCGAGATGCCTGCCTCTCAACAGGTAGCCAGACACATGGGTCTGTCTTGGTCACTGCTATCTGCCCAGTGCCCAGCACATCACAGGCCCTCAGTGGTGGTGTATGGGCATAGAGAATTAGAAGCTGTGGACCTCTGGATCCGGAGCTGAAAACCACCAAAGGAGATGAGTTGGCCTGGCCAGGTGTGTAAAAGGCAGAGTCTGAGAGAGAACGACCAGAGGGCAGAGCCCCCGCAGGTGGAGTTCTGGGGGCTGGAGGGAGACCATTAGGAGAATCGCACATGGCTGGCGCAGCAGGTCCCAGGCAAATGTGGCCACTGGGTTTGGCAATATGGGAGCCAGAGCCCTAGTGTCATCTCCCTGCCTTCTACCCAGCAGTTCCCAGAGTGATATCCCCAACAGTGTTTGACAACTGGTACAGGCTCTTCAGCGGCCACAGTTACTGGGCAAGGCCTTGTGAGGGTGACTTTGGGGCAGCTGGCCAGCAGTGGGAGGGGAAGCAGTCTCAGGGGTACCTGAGGCACTGAGCTCCGACCTCCAGGTGCCAATGCCGCACCAGGGCACCGTTCCCCTGCAGGCTCTTACAGGGATTAGGGGCTGGTAAGGAGCAGTGATTAGGGGCTGACTAGCAGGCTGGTGGGCACCAGCATGACCCCTTGGTGGTACCCTCTGGGCACTCATGGGGACTTGGGCTAACAGATGGGGAAGGGAGCACATTCAGGGGGCTTAGGAAACATATTTATGTAGGGAAGCATTTTAATATTTTAGTAACAGAAGCTATTAAAGGACTTACAAACTTACTTACATACACTAAAACACTATTTGGTCAAACTTCTGTTTCTTTGGCACTTTCCTCCTTTATTCTTTTTTATTTTTTTGAGACAGGGTCTTGCTCTGTCACCCAAGCTGGAGTGCAGTGGTGCAATCTTGGCCCGCAGTAGCCTTGACTTCCAGGCTCAGGTGGTCCTCCCACCTTAGCCTCCCAAGTAGCTGGGACTACAGGTGCACGCCACCACGCCTGGTGAATTTTTGTTTTGAAGGGGTTTCACTGTGTTGCCCAGGCTGGTTTCAAACTCCTGGGCTTAAGTGATCCGCCAGCCTTGGCTTCCCAAAGTACTGTGATTACAGGTATGAGCCACTGCACCCGGCCTCCTATTTTTCTGCTTCTGCTTTGTGGATAATTGGATGCTTGGACCTCCTGATTTAATCTTCTAATTTCCTTAACTGTTTACTCCTATTTTTCATCATCTTGTCTTTTTGTTCTACTTTGTGGAGGATTTCTTCACTTTTAGCTTCCAGTTCTTTTCTTACATCGTGACAGTTGCTGCCGCATTCTCTTGTAAATTTCCGAGGGCTCGTTCTTGGGTTCTGAATGTTCCCTCCTTTCAAGGATCTTCTCATCTCTTTGAGGATATTCATGTCTTTTTTGTTTTGGTTCTTAGGTTTTCATCTGTTCTCTGTGCTGTTTCCTCGGAGTGCTTTTGTCTATTCTGTTGTTTTGTCCCTCATGTTAGAAGCATTTCTTTTTTTTTTCTTTTTTTTTTTGTGATACAGAGTCTTGCTCTGTCACCAGGCTGGAGTGCAGTAGCATGATCTCGGCTCACCACAGCCTCTGACTCCCTGGTTCAAGTGATTCTCCTGCCTCAGCCTCCTGAGTAGCTGGGATTACAGGCACACACCACCACACCCAACTAATTTTTGTATTTTTGGTAGAGACGGGGTTTCACCATGTTGGCCAGGATAGTCTCAATCTCCTGACCTCATGATCCTCGCACCTTGGCCTGGGAGGCCAAAGTGCTGGGATTACAGGCGTGAGCCACCATGCCCAGCCTAGAAGCATTTCTTAATGTCTGGTGTTCTCTGGCTGTTGTATCTTAAAAAAAAAAGGGGGGGGAAACTGAGGCTCGAGGTGACCTTGTGAGCTGGAGCAGAGCCGGGATGGGATGAGGAGGCAGGAGCGTGTGCAGAAGAGAGGGAGCCCCCCTGAGCTCGCACCCTGCTTCCCGTGGCTGGGAGGGGAGGCCGAGATGCTTGGGGAGAAATGGAGGCTCCAAGCCAGAGGGGCTGTTTCCAGCACGCTCTTACTGAGCGCTGCTGTAGTCCAGCTTGGTGTGGCGGCTGTGGGCAGGGAGGGGAGAGAGGTCTGAGCTGGCTGGCGGCCCACTGGGCCCCTCCCCTGAGCCTCCACCGGCCCTCTCCCAGTGCGCTGGGCTGGGCAAGCCTCTGATGTGCCAGCCAGATGGAGGGTGAAGTCCTGATGCCTGCCCCTACCCTGGGAATTGTGATGCTGCAGTTACTGCCCCTGATAACCCCTGACTGGGCATAGGACCAGCTGGCTGAGCCAGCTCCTGGGGCTGAGGAGGAAGCCATGAACTTGACCTGGCACTTTCCTTGTCTCCAAGCATCAGTCAACCAAGGATATGGAGGGGGTGTGTGCATGTGTGCACACATACACACACACACACACACACACTTCAACCTGTTTATCCCCCTTGAGATTTGCTGACTTGTGCATTGGGGGTAGAAGGTGCTGGAAAAATTCCGGTCCTGGTTCTCAGTTTCCCCATCTGTCCAGTGGGAGCAGCTGGACTGAGAGACGCCCATGTCTCCTGCTGTGGTCCTGCAAGGAGGCTGGCGCTCCTGAGTCTGCTCCATCCTGGCCTGTCAGGCCTGCCTGGATCCTGCCCCGGGTTGGTCCACCACTCACTGTTTTGTTTCCAGGAGGAGAGGGATCGCCCTCCCAGCTAACACAGCAGAGGGGCTGCTGAACGTCATTGGCATGGACAAGCCGCTCACCCTTCCAGACTTCCTGGCCAAGTTTGACTACTACATGCCTGCTATCGCGTGAGTTGCCCCCAACCCACAGGTCCTAGGGCAGCATTGATCCCTATGACTAGGACCAGGCCTGTCCCTCAGCCTGTGGGGGCCAGAGAAGTTGCTCTGAAACCACAGCTGTCTTTCTCACCATTGTGTACACTTAGTGAGTCTCTCCAGTGCCTTTAGGCCTCAGTTTTCCCTTCTGAGATGTGGGTGTGATGGACTGAAATTGCTTCAAGTTCTACAGAGAAATGGCAGAATATGGGAGCTAAGAACACAGGGTCAGAGGCAGTGCAGGGCTTGAACCCGGGCCATCTATCTCCTAGTTCAGGGCTTCGTGTTGTGAGGGGAGGAGAGGCCTGAATATAGGGTGGGGGCGGGGAGATGTGGGGAAGATTCTCCAAAAGGCTTTTTCTTTTTCTTGTCTTGAGTCGCCAGGGAACAGCACTAGGTACCGAAAAGGCCCAGAAGGGGTATGGGCGAGTACTAGAGAGAAATTTCCATGACTGCTTTATTTATTTATTTATTTATTTATTTATTTATTTATTGAGACAGAGTCTCACTCTGTTGCCCAGGCTGAAGTGCAGTGGTGCGATCTCAGCTCACTGCAACCTCCACCTCCCAGTTTAAGGGATTCTCCTGCTTTAGCCTCCCAAGTAGCTGGGATCACAGGCACCCACCATCACACCCAACTAATGGTTTTGTATTTTTAGTAGAGATGGGGTTTTACTATGTTTGCCAGGCTGGTCTCGAATTCCTGACCTCAGGTGATCTGCCCGCCTCGGCCTCCCAAAATGCTGGGATTACAGGCGTGAGCCACTGCGCCTGGCCTCCATCCTCATCCTGAAGATGCAAGAACTTCTGGTGACCCCTTCTCCTGAGAGTGGCCTGATCTCCCCTGGGCAGGGCACTTTCTTCCCACGCTGGGCTCTCCCAGCACTTGTGTGCCTTCCCTCACACATTCTAGTAACCACTTCATTTTCACTCTTCATGGTGGGAACTTCCAGCTAAGCACAGTCCACCGTTACGTGATCAACACAGTGGCCCTGGCAGGCCAATTTGTGCCTTGCTTCTGGAACAAACATGCAGTAATAACAACGAAAATGTTTTGAGCATTTGTCCGCTCTGCTCCAAGCACTGACCCGGGTGGGGTTTATGAAGTTTGACTCATTTGTCCCCGCAATAACTCCTTGACCTAGGTGTCAGAGGGTGACTAACCAGGGGTCACACAGCAGATAAGTGTGGGCACAAGGATCCAAGTCCATGACTGTATCCCACGTGTCTCCCACATCCAGGCATCCCTCTGGACTTGTCCAGCTGTGTCCTTTTCTCTCATTTCTCTTCCCTGCCAGCCTTAACTCCATCACCAACAAATATTGGGCTACTCTGTCCTAGGCATGGTCCTCAGCTGAGAGGTCGCAGCCATCCCAAGACAGAGGGGTCCTTGCCACATGGAGACTGCATTCTAGTAGGGAATACAGCAAACTGGCTGATAAGCCATATGACACACAATGTTGAGTAGTGATAAGGACCTGGGAGAAAAAGAAAGCCCAGGAGAATGGTGGAGGGGCCGTTTTAAGATAAGGCGGTCTGGGCCAGGTACAGTGGCTCACGCCTGTATCCCCAGCACTTTGGGAGGCTGAGGTGGGCGGATCATGAGGTCAGGAGATCGAGACCATCCTGGCTAACACAGCGAAACGCTGTCTCTACTAAAAATACAAAAAATTAGCCGGGCGTGGTGGCATGCGCCTGTAATCCCAGCTACTTGGGAGGCTGAGGCAGACGAATCACTTGAACCCAGGAGGCAGAGGCTGCAGTGAGCTGAGATGGCGCCACTGCACTCCAGCCTGGGCGACAGAGCAAGATTCTGTCTCAAAAAAAAAAAAAAAAGATAAGGTGGTCAGGGAAGGCCTCTCTGAGGAGGTGAAGCTTCAGCTGGCTCTAAACCAGGGGAGCGGGAGAGACGCAGTGTAGGACAGTATCGGGGAAGAGCAGGCCTGTGTCTTCTCCGGTGGCCTCAGGGAATGAGGGAGAAGGAAGGTGCTGGGGAGGCTGGCAAGGCCTGGAGGATGCAGGCCTTGTGGGCAGGACCTGGGAGTTGCGATGTCACTCTCCGTGGCAGGAAGCTACTGGGGCTTCGAGGGGAGAAGTGATATGCTTTGATTTACCTTCTTAAAAGATTGCCCCAACTGCTGGGTGGAGAACAGGATGACAGGGGCAAGCATGGAGACAGGGAGGCCAGTTAGAGATGGCGTGATTCAGGCCAGGATGGAGGGGTGAGAACTGGTATGCAGTTCCAAAGTAGAGCTGATAGGACTTGCCCAGTGTCTGGGATCTTATCCAGTGGATGCCCAGAGCTTGGGTCTGGGGGATGAAGTGGGTTTAATCTGCCAAGGGTTGGGGATGTCATTTGCTCCTGGAGCTCCCAAGGGACTTGGGGAAGGTTGTTCCCAACCCCTTTCTTCCCTTCCCAGGGGCTGCCGGGAGGCTATCAAAAGGATCGCCTATGAGTTTGTAGAGATGAAGGCCAAAGAGGGCGTGGTGTATGTGGAGGTGCGGTACAGTCCGCACCTGCTGGCCAACTCCAAAGTGGAGCCAATCCCCTGGAACCAGGCTGAGTGAGTGATGGGCCTGGAAGGGGCCATGCTGAGGGTGTGGCTGGGAGGCTCAGCTCTGAGACTGGAAGGGCGAACTGCTGGGAATCCCTGACCCAAGCAAGACCTTGTTCTTGCCCCCAGTCTGGTCCATGGCCTCAGAAAGATGGGTTTAACTCTGTCACAAGAGACGTGGTTCCCATCCTCCCTTTGCCGTTATGTTCTTACCTTGGGCACAAGTGTTTGGCTGTGTCTTGCTCTGGCCACAGGCCTGCTGTCCAGGAATGTTAACCTGCTTAGCCACCCAGGATTTCTGAGGGGTCTCCCTTGTCACTGATGCTGATCAGATCTCTAAAGGCCCTAAAGGTCCTGCTCTAACTTCATAACTGAAGTGAGTCTGGCCCATTTCTAGCCCCCTGCCTGGGCCCCCATGGATCTCTAAGTGGTATCACAAAACCACCCTGCCCCATTTTCTGAGCCATGATTCTGATACATATAGAATGTGAACATCATGGCAGGCCCAAGCTTAGCAATGCTGTCCATCTGGGGGTGGGGAGGGCCATGTTGACACCCCACACCTCCCACTAAGATCTAGGAGCACCCAGCTGCTTTAAGAGCTAGAGGGACATGCTAGGGCCTGGGGGCATCTCTGCCAGTCTTTCCTCTGAGGCAGTGGGTCAGTGGGGGAGGAGGGTCCTCCCCAAAGCCTCCTCTTCCTCCTCTGTCCCAGTCCCAGAGCTGCCCTTTAGGCCTTCCTTTTGCCTCAGGCCCATCCCTACTCCTCTCCTCACACAGAGGGGACCTCACCCCAGACGAGGTGGTGGCCCTAGTGGGCCAGGGCCTGCAGGAGGGGGAGCGAGACTTCGGGGTCAAGGCCCGGTCCATCCTGTGCTGCATGCGCCACCAGCCCAGTGAGTAGGATCACCGCCCTGCCCAGGGCCGCCCGTCTCACCCTGGCCCTGACCTCCTGGCCTAGCAGTGGGGCTGTACCTGATCTCCCCTGTGCCCCACAGCCCCATGGTGTCCCCTTGAGCCCACTGGCATGAACTTGGGGCTTCATGAAACAACTGGAGACCTCCTAGGCAGGCTCAGAACTTCTGGAGATGTTCTCCCCAGGGACACCATGCCTTTATAGCCACCCTGCAGGAAGCTCAACACCAAATAGGAACGTAACTATTGAAAAAAAAATCTAGGCTAGATTCTGATCAGCCCATAGTCCTCCCTCGAGACCCAGTGGACCAGGCCCCATCCTGTCTGGGCCTGAATAGGTCTGATTTCCAAGATTTCTGAGGGGTCTCCCTTGTCACTGACGCAGATCAGATCTCTAGAGTTTGTGCCTCATGGTGCACAGCCTCACTGTGTGATATTGGGCAGGTCACACTGCTGCTCTGGTTATGCACCAAGACACCTCAGTTGTGCACTGTCACAAGGAGATGATCACACTTACTTCATTCCTCTACCCTCAGGATTAGTAAGAACCAAAGAGCTACCTGCACGCATTTCCTCTAATCCTCGCAGCAGCCTGCAAAGCAGAACTACCATTGCTTAGTCCCATTTGACAGATGAGGAAACTGAGGTGGAGTGAGGTGCAGCCTCTTGCAAGGCACAAACCCTGGATTTGTATCCGGGGACATCTAGTTCCAAAGCCTGTGTTCATTCATTCTTTCTTAAACACTTCAGAATAACTTTATTGGT
This sequence comes from Homo sapiens, assembly GCF_000001405.40. Taxonomy (NCBI): domain Eukaryota; kingdom Metazoa; phylum Chordata; class Mammalia; order Primates; family Hominidae; genus Homo; species Homo sapiens. Next base: position 44,624,784 of record NC_000020.11, on the reverse strand, counting down.
TAAGAGTACCTAATACATTAGCGAGATACTTCCCAATACTAGTGTGAGTTCTATTTTAGATGACGTGTTAAACGGTCCTCCGTTTCCTCATCTGCGCATGGGAATAAGCCTACCATGAGTGTTGTTGGAAACACCAGGTGAGAGAAGGGTCCGTGTCATTTACTGAGCTCAGGCCCCGTCCTTGGTGCTTTACACACATGGCCTCGGCAAAGCCTGGCCGTGACCCTGTGCAATAGCTGGCAGGGTTCTTTCTGAAAAGGGCGGAAACTGAGGCCATAAGCAGAGCAGTTTTCCGCAGGCCATGTGGTTAGGACATAGCAGTTAGGATTTGAAGACACTGAGCCCTGTTTTGTGCTGGCCTCCCATGGGGGGTTTGGGTGGGACAGCAGGCAGGTAGGCTGGGAGGTCTCTCCATGGTGCTGGTGACAGAGCCTGGGTGGGCATCTCGCCCACAGACTGGTCCCCCAAGGTGGTGGAGCTGTGTAAGAAGTACCAGCAGCAGACCGTGGTAGCCATTGACCTGGCTGGAGATGAGACCATCCCAGGAAGCAGCCTCTTGCCTGGACATGTCCAGGCCTACCAGGTGGGTCCTGTGAGAAGGAATGGAGAGGCTGGCCCTGGGTGAGCTTGTCTCCCACCCATAGTTGGGAGAAATCACAAGAACCAGGGACCATGGTGTCTCCTGAGTTCTGAAGTGTGTCTTTGTTGGGTCTTAAGGCTTGGAACTGGAATCCCCCTGGGCCAGGCGTGGTGGTTCATGCCTGTGATCCCAGCACTTTGGGAGGCGAGGCAGGAGGATTGCTTGAGCCTAGGAGTTTGAGACCAGCCAGGGCAACATAGTGAGATCCATCTCTGCAAATACAAAAAAAAGTAGTCAGGCATGGTGGTGCATGCCTGTAGTCCCAGCTACTTGGGAGGCTGAGGTGGGAGAATTGCTTGAGTCCAGGAAGTCAAAGCTGCAGTGAGCTGTGATAATGCGACTGCACTCCAGCCTGGGTGACAGAGGGAGACCCTGTCTCAAAAAAAAAAAAAAGGAAGAAAGAAGAAAGAGAAAAGAAAGAGAAAGAAAGAGAGGAAGGAAGGAAAAAGAGGAAGGGAGGGAGGGAGGAAGGAAGGAAAGAAGGAAGGAAGGGAGAGAGAAAGAAAAGCCTCCACTTGGTGTTGGGAGTCCTGTGCTGAGCCTGCTTCTGGCTGTGATTTGCTGTGTGAACCTGGGCAACACTGTGTCTTCTCTGGGCCTCTGTTTCTTCTATTGGGATGACTGAGTTGGAGCCGACATCTCAAAAGTCGCTTCCAGCGTGATGATGAATGGGCCTCCTGTGGAGGGTGCAGCATGGTGGAGAAGTCAGGGCTCTGGAGTCCCACTGCCCGGGCTCAGAGCTTGGTTCCACACTTCCTGTCTGACCTTGGTCACATTACTTGAATCTCCTGAGCTTCAGTCCTTCATCATAAAATGGGTGGGATAATAGTTGTGAATATTAGATAATGTATACAAGTCACTTCATATACTACCTGACACATGGTAACTGGCTAATGAGTGACAGCTACCACTTAGATAAGGACTTGGAGGGTAAAAGACCAGGTTTCCCCATGCTGTTGAAGCAGGCAGCATGACTAGGATGGTTCAATCTCCACAGCATGGTCAAGGCAGGGCCTGCCGGGGCCCTCCCGCTAGGGCACCCATGACCTGGCTCTCCCCCTTCCAGGAGGCTGTGAAGAGCGGCATTCACCGTACTGTCCACGCCGGGGAGGTGGGCTCGGCCGAAGTAGTAAAAGAGGTGAGGGCCTGGGCTGGCCATGGGGTCCCTCCTCACTGCCTCCTCCCATACTTGGCTCTATTCTGCTTCTCTACAGGCTGTGGACATACTCAAGACAGAGCGGCTGGGACACGGCTACCACACCCTGGAAGACCAGGCCCTTTATAACAGGCTGCGGCAGGAAAACATGCACTTCGAGGTAAGCGGGCCAGGGAGTGGGGAGGAACCATCCCCGGCTGTCCCAACTTCCTGTATAGAGAGGCAGAAAGCAGGGCGGGTCCCAGGAACTCGAGGGGTGGCCCCAGGCCCAGACATGGGGGGAGGAATCAGCATGGCCTGGGGCCATCCCTGCCAGCCACACACCTGCTCTTCCAGATCTGCCCCTGGTCCAGCTACCTCACTGGTGCCTGGAAGCCGGACACGGAGCATGCAGTCATTCGGTGAGCTCTGTTCCCCTGGGCCTGTTCAATTTTGTTCCAGGAAGGCCAAAGAGGGAAGAAACTTTAGGGATTGGGCATCAGCCCATGCCGCGTCTTTTAGATATGAAATCTCTTCGACACCCTGGGAAGCAGGCATTGCCGTCCTCATCTTACAAATGAGGAATCCGAGGCCCAGATGTGCTGTGGCTTGACTGGGATTACCCAGCTGCTAACCAGCAGAGCTGGGGCCCTACAGCTCATCAGCTGGAGCAGAACGCTCCATTACTCTGAGGGAAGCTTCCACACTTCCAATTCTCCCAACTCTGCCCCCTGGGCATCGCATAGGAAGCAGGAGTCCCTCTGGCCAGCATGTTCTCTCTTCCTGACACCTGGCCCTTGGGACCCCTGGGCATTCCCCTGAGCGCCATCTTGAAGCTTTCCACCGGAGGGTCTGTTCCACCCTGCCTGGCTCCCATCCTGGAGTCTAACCAGGGTCAAGGCCCTCCTTCCGTCCTGTCGCCAAGCCACAGGAGCAGTATCAGGCCTTAGGAAAAAGCCGCCTTCCCCAAGACAAGGACAGCAAGAACTCAGGGTGACCATGGTCAGGCCAGCACTTATCCATCTGCCAGGCATATGAGAAGGGGAGGGGCTTCGGCTCTGATGTTCTGATGACAAGGGGGTCTTGGGGCTTGCCTTAGGGACACGTGGCACCTGTGGAGGTTCTTGGAGGCATGTGGGTATACCATGGGCTGGAAAAAGATCCAGGAGTCATCTGCACAGATATGGTGGCTGAAGGAGAAGCAGTGGCCCCAGGAGGTGGTGGAGCAAGAAGGGCCTAGGATAGAACCCAGAAGGACAATGGTATTTAAGGGACCAGCAAAAGAGACAAGTAGGAGGAAAGTCAAAAGTGTGGTGTCACAGAAATCCAGGGAAAAGGTTTCAAGAAACAGTCAACAGTGTGAAATTCTGCTATGCAAGTCGATTATGGTCAGAGCTAGGAAAGATCCATTAGATACAACAAGATGGTGGTCAGGGATCGTGCCAAGAACAGCTTCCATGGTATGTTGGAGTAGCCAGCTCCCAGTGGGACTGAGGAACAAGCAGGGTAGGGTGCAGAGGGGAAGGCTGGAGAGGGTGGCAGCCGGAGGGGGATGTTGCTTTCTTGGCTCCCACCCCCACGCCCCCACCGGCTGCCATTCTGCCTGGTTCCCATGTCTGGCCCCTCTGCTGCCTTTGCCCAGCTCTGGTCTTCAGGATGGGCTGGATTCTGGACTTTCTGGTTACATAGACTTGAACAAGTCACCTAAGTTCTGAATTTATTTCCCCCTCTGCACAAGGATCAGATCTTTCAGATCTGTTTGAGGCTGCTGTGAGGATCAAAGGCGGGTGAACGTCAATGTGTTCTGACTATTTATGTAAGAGTAAAAGGAGGCTGATTCTCTCCTCCTCCCTCTTCTGCAGGCTCAAAAATGACCAGGCTAACTACTCGCTCAACACAGATGACCCGCTCATCTTCAAGTCCACCCTGGACACTGATTACCAGATGACCAAACGGGACATGGGCTTTACTGAAGAGGAGTTTAAAAGGCTGGTGAGTGGGTGTGAGCCATACTGGCCTTGACTCGGGTTTGGGAGTATGGTATCTACAGGTCCAGTCCGGGGCCTGGAATCTTTGGAGAGAGGGAGTGAGTCTGCCTCAACAGTCCAAGACAAGCCCAACCTAGACACTTTCCACAGAGAAGACATCTTTGTGTTGACGTCCTGACCTAGGACCAGGTTTTTGATCCTTTGCTTGGGTTGAGTGCCTTTAAAGAATCCAGTGAAAGCTGTCAACCCTCTCCCCAGAAAGGTGTGTGCAGCAGCTATGAAGTCTTGCACACTCTCTTCAGGTTGTTCTTAAATCCCAGGCTGAATAAGTCCATTCCTGCACGTGTCTGCGAGGTGTCTCTGGCCCCCTACATGCCACCCTGTCTCTCAAAGGTTTCTCCAACTTCCTTCTCACAGCCCTTTTTCATGTAATGACAAATTAAGAACACGACCTCATGGTCTCTACTCTGGCACTTGCTGCCGTGTGACAGTGGACAAATCCTTCCCCCTCTAAGCGTATCTGCCCATGTTGAGTGAAGAGGATGGACTATCACTACATTGCTAAGAGCTGCCTTCTTTGTTCTCTGGTTCCATGTTGTCTGCCATTCTGGCCTTTCCAGAACATCAATGCGGCCAAATCTAGTTTCCTCCCAGAAGATGAAAAGAGGGAGCTTCTCGACCTGCTCTATAAAGCCTATGGGATGCCACCTTCAGCCTCTGCAGGTAGGTTCCTGTCTGGGCTTCTGGGCAGTTGCCCTGTCCTGGCCCCAGTGTGGCTTTCTGTGGGACTTCTAGCAAGATGCCCTTCCATTCTTGGGCAGCGCCATGAATGTGTGATGACTCCCTGGTTTCTGGGCCCTGGCTGGGAGCAGCGTCTCATTAGATCGGTTTGTTTTCTATAAAAGTTCTTGAGAGGCTGTTCTAAGGGGAGACTTTCTGAAGCCCAGTCCCAAAGGTCTGGGCAGTTGGGGACACCTCCATGGCTGCCCAAAGCCAAGGGCAGGGAGAGGGGCCCAGGCCTGTTCTGCTCCTTTCTTCCTATGTGGTCTTGGCAAGGCATCTTCTTGCCATCATAGGAAGGAGTTCCTTTCTGGTTCTGGTGTTCTATGATTTTTACAACATCCTGGGTACTACAAGTTGCCTGATCTTTTTGCTTCTCTGAACCAACGAGCAGGGCAGAACCTCTGAAGACGCCACTCCTCCAAGCCTTCACCCTGTGGAGTCACCCCAACTCTGTGGGGCTGAGCAACATTTTTACATTTATTCCTTCCAAGAAGACCATGATCTCAATAGTCAGTTACTGATGCTCCTGAACCCTATGTGTCCATTTCTGCACACACGTATACCTCGGCATGGCCGCGTCACTTCTCTGATTATGTGCCCTGGCCAGGGACCAGCGCCCTTGCACATGGGCATGGTTGAATCTGAAACCCTCCTTCTGTGGCAACTTGTACTGAAAATCTGGTGCTCAATAAAGAAGCCCATGGCTGGTGGCATGCAGCAGGTGGCATGTAATTTGGTGGTCTTGGGCGGGCCGATGTGGGCAGGATGAGCATGGAGGGAGCTGGGTCAGCCTGCTCAGCAGCAGGGCCTGAGCCTAAGGGTGGCTGTGAATGCCAGGCCAGAGATCCCAATGCTGTGGGCCAAGAGGGGTCCAGAGGCTGTCCTCCTTCCAGAAGAAATAAGGCTTCTCTGGTTGTTGCTCAAACATTCCCTGAACTCTCAGCCCCTCCTAACTCTAGGTTTTAAGGAGTAAAGCTTCCTTTTGGGTTCCTGAAGCTGGCAGTTGGGGTGAGAGCAGATGAGATGGAAGAGGGCTCATCAGACACTGGCCTTGGAGGGTGCTGGCCTCTGCAGAACGCCAGCATCTTCTCAGAATCGTATGTTCTAGAAGCCTGGGGCAAGTCCGGCTAATTGTGGACTTGGGGAAAATAAGGCCCAACCCCTGTTTTTGCAAGGTTAAGGAGAAATAATCTTAAACCAGTCACACAAATCATCGGCATTTATTTCCTGGGTCCTAGGTGTCACTTATCCTGGTGGACAGGGCAGAGGTGGTCAGATCGTTTTGAGCCAAAATCCCTTCCCTAAAAATGGATCTGTGGAGCTCCATGAGGGAACCTCAGAGATGCACAATGACAGTTTAGCTAAAATGGCTTAAAAAATGTGAATTGATTGTCAGCTCTCTCCATATCTGCTGAAAAAAGGTTTAAAATTTTTAAAAAGTTTAAAAGTGTTTTCTAAAAAAGGGACAAGCAGGTCTGGACCCAGAAGATTGGGCTGGAGAGGAGGTGTTGGTGTTGGGACAGGGTCCCTGCCCGGGCCGCTCGCGAGAGGAGCGTTCCTGTGTGGGCTGCTCACTGTAGGGCAGGCCCCGCCCAAGTCCCGGCGCCAGCTCAATAAATAACATCTTGTGGTTACAGTGTCTTGAAAGTGTACCTGGGCACGGTGCGAAGGTGGTGGGAATGTGAAGCCTGTGGGTGTGGGCAGAGGGCTTTCCCGGAGTGGAGGCCACAGAGGCCTCTGGGGAGCCTTCTCAGTCTGGCCTGGTTTATCTGGGACATGGAGCTCAGAGAAGAGGCTGCTGGGCCAGTGCCAGGGTTCCCCCTCTGGGAGGGGACAGAAGGTCTCTCGTCCAGCCTTCTTGGACAAGGTCAGATTCAAGACGAGGTGGTCCCATCGCTGCTCTGGGGCTGGTTGCCAGCTTCCTTGTCTGGGGCGCTTCCCTCCACCTGTCCTTCTGGAGAGGAGAGAAAGAGGTTTTTCTTGGGCACATATACACAAAGTAATGCACAGAAGGAGGTGTGAAAGGGCCCAGCCAAACTGATAGCAGTGGATATGCCCTGGGGAGCAAGACGAGCTGGAGCTGGACTGAGGTGGTGGTGGCCTATGGACTTTAGCCTGGTCTGTAACATCTTTTTACATGGAAATACACATAGTGTTTGTTAGTATAATTAAGAGTCAATTAAGGGCCATTATGGATGGGTGCTTAAAGCATCAAGTGAAGGGCTCTTGAAGGTTGCTTTGTTTGTGCAGGTTCCCCAGAGGGAGAGGCCAGATGTTAAGTCCCCAGTGTGTCACAGGTGCTCAGCAAATGGCAGCTGTTCTGTTTGTTTGTTTTTTTTTTAATTTTTGTATTTTTAGTAGAGACGGGGTTTCACCATGTTGGCCAGACTGGTCTCAAACTCCTGACCTCAGGTGATCTGCCTGCCTCAGCCTCCCAAAGTGCTGGGATTATAGGTGTGAGCCACCGTGCCCGGCCAATGTTCTTCTAAGAGAGTAAAGAGCACTGAACCAGGCCAGCTCAGGGAGCGCCAGGGTGTGGCCTGCATCAGAGTCTGTGGGGGCCAACCGTGCATCATGGGGTGTGTGTTGTACCTCCTTCTCAAATCCATCCTGTCAGACATCTTGGTGGGGTGAGGGGCAGCAGCAGGCTCACAGAGATGGAGCACCTCACTGAGGGGAGTCAGGATACAAGCCAAGTCTCCTCACTTTCAGCTTCCCTTGAGCCCCCCTGTGCAAGGTGGGACAGGCAGCTCCTGCCACCCACTGGACCAGCAGTGCAGGTTGAGGGGAGTGCCAAACTCACACCCAGGCCCCAGTCTCCATGCTTTCCTCCTCAGGCTGCATGATAAACAGGTGTCTTTTCATAAGGTGCACCACGTGGGGCCTGGCATGTGGGCAGAGCTCAATAGGTGGTACATTCTTAAACCCCAGTGACACTGTGCAATGTTACTAGGTGCCCTACAAGCTCACTGAGGGCCTGAGTTCAAATCCAGCCCAACCAGACCACACCTTTTTATCCTTCAGGCTAAGCCCTTCACAGAACCAGGAGAATCACCACCCTATAGCAAGCTCCAGGGTCTGCAGATGGATGGGCACTTTCTCGTGCAATGCACACAGTAACATGGAGGTGTAACTAGGGTCATGATATGCATGAGAAAACCGAGGCCCAGCGAGGTGAGCTGATTTGCCTGGATCAAGGGTGGAGAGCCCTGCCTGCCACCAAGGCTAGTACCCCTTCTACCAAATTTAACCTCCTCCAATAAGCAGCATTCCTGAAGGTTTATAGAGGCCTGACATCAGCACTGCCTCACTGTGCCCCTGCGGCAAGCTAGGAAGTGGGTGGTAGCTCGGGACCCTATTCCGAGCCCGCTGCCTGGAAAGCCTGCTTTTATTCCCAGCGGGGTGGCGCCTGGAACTCTGTACTCCCCCTGCCTTGGGGAGTCGCTGGAGTGGGCGTGGCCCGCAGCCCCGCCTGTGAAACGGAACTGCTCCCTGCGGGCTTCCTGGAAGGCTCCTTGGCCAGTCACTCTTGCCTGGACGCCACCGTGAGTGTTTCCTTTCCTTCAGTGAGCACTGTTCTTTCCTCAGGCCCCCTTTTTAAATGTCAGTCACCCTGGCAGGTGAATGTCATGTAGCCAGAGGACCCATACTTTAGGGAATCTGAGTCAGGGAAAACAGGTGTTAGGAGAGCCTGGGCACATGGGCCAGCAGCTACAACTGCTGAGGGAGAGAGAGACAGAACAGAGCTCACCAGAGCTGAGGGTGAGGACACAGAAGCCTTGAGAGAGAGCCCAGGGCAGCGTGCCCAGTGTGGCAGCTGGACATGCTGGTCATTCAGTCGGTCAATGAACAGCCATTGACTCGGTACCTCCATCATGTGCCAAACACCACCAGGCACCGAGGGCACAAGACACAGAGCCTGTGCTGGAGAAGCTCAGTCTAGAGCAGGGCCATTATGCTCAGTGGGCTCATGGAGGCAGCAGGGAGAAGAGGTGCCTCCCCGGTCTGGGAGGGGTACTGCGGTCAGGGAAGGCTTCTCAGCTGAGCAGATGCCTGGGTCTCTAAGAATGAAGAGAACCCAGCCAGGCAAGGGGAGGGAGGGGAGAAGCAAACAGAGGTGCAGCGTGTGAAGGCCCACAGGGGCTTCTGAGCGATCAAAGTACTTGACTATGGCTGGCGAGAGGATGAGAGTTGATGCTGGAGAGGCGAGCAGGGTGAGCCTGTGGAGGTTCTGCCTGGGCCACGTGACAGAGGAGAATGAATAGATTATGGGACAGGGAAGGCTTTTGGGGTGGGGTTCCGTCGACAGGGTGCTGGGGGCTCTCTCTCAAGCCGGCCAGATTCTATGTTAACTCCCTGGGTGGCCCAGAGCAAGTCCTCCAACTTCTCTGGGCCTCAGTTTGTCCATCTGTAACATGAGAGGGCTGGGTCCAAGCCCCGGCAAAGTCTTCTCTGTTCTGTACTTTTGATTCACTTCTGGCCAGTGAGGGGCAAGAAGACTAGGGCTACCCAGGGAGGGGCAGGGCTGTGGCCCTCCGGACAGCCCACGGGGAGACAGTTGCAGCCTGATGGCTGTGCTGTGAGAAGCACACACGGCCTCTGTGGCGCTGTGAGAGCAGGAGGGAAAGGCCTCAGCCGTGCAGGGGTCAGGGAAGCTTCCCAAGGAAATTCCCAGGCTGACTGTGGACTTGAGCCAAGGGGTTCTCTGGGGGAATGGAGGGGGTGGGGGTGTTCCAGCCAGGACTTGGGTGGGTGGATGCTGTTTCCTTTTGTCATTCGGTCTGTGGTTACCAAGCACCTGCTGTGTGCCAAACAGAATGCAAGGCCTCTGCCCTCCCGGCGCTCACATTTAGACCCCTGAGACCTTGTCAGAGAGTGATGAGGGTCATGTGATTGGGGAAGGCTGATCTAGCACTCAGAGAAGGCCCCTTGGAGAGGCTTGACTGAGAAACAGACCAAAGGTAGATGTAGCTGGAGGGTGTCAGGGAGAGGAGTGGCACCGGGTGAGACTTGGGCAGGGCCCGGCCTACAGCAGGACTGCCCCAGGGCAATGTGACAAGCTTAGCTTCACTCAGTGAAGCCACTGGGGGATTTTTTTTTTTTGGCAGAAGCATGATGGACAGAATGGTTTAAATGGGGTCTGCTGGCTGCTGCATAGAGCTGAACAGGAAGGGCGGAGATGGGTGTAGGGAGCCCAGGGAAGCCGGCCGCTAAAGTCAGCCAGGTGAGAGCTGTGAGTGGCCAGAGCCAGGTATAGCTGTGGGGATAGCGAGAAGTGGAGGGACCTGGGCTAGGGGGCAGGGGGACAGGAAGAGTCCCGGATGCCTGTCCAGAGGAGTCCTTGGGGCCTGAGACTCAAACATCTTCCAACCTAGAGATTGCTGGACTCTGCCACTGACCATGGGGCAGGCCTGACTTAAATGTGGTTTCTTCTCTAAGAAAGTATGGGCAGTCTAGGACTTGGAGGCTAGCCCGGGGCCCGGCAGAGGGCCTCTGGCATGCAGTAGTGCCAAGGACCTGCTGGCTCTAACCTGCCCCCTCGAGTGCCAGCTCGCCCATGTCTCCAGCCAGCTTCCTCACGCTCACAGCCTCTGAGTCTCCCTGGATGTCAGGGACCGCATTCCGACGGCCTGTCCGGTCACAGGAGATGAAGTCCGAGTAGGAGGACTCGACCTCCATCATGCCTGTCGCATCGCTCCTCAGGCCTGTGGGGACAGAAGGCAAGGGGGCAGAGGTAAGTCCAGATGCATTCTGCAGAGAGGACAGCTCCAGTTCCCCAGCACAGTGGCTTCTGTCAAAATGACAGTTATTGCCTCTTATTGAAAACAAAGCAAAAAGCACAGAAAAGTACAAAGAACAAAACAAGTCACTCATAATTCCACACCCAGACAACCACCATCAACATTTTAAAGAACATGGGCTCAGACTTTTCTTTAAATAAAATTATTGACAAACATGTACACACATTTATTAATACCATGCGCCAGGCACTGGCACAGATACCACCATGAACAAACTGGCCATGGTCCCTGGCCTCACAGAGCTTACCATCTACTACAGGTGGCATAAAGTCACCTCGTACCTAAGTCATGGCCTTGGTGCTCAAGGCTTCAAGGGAGAATGCAGGGTGCTGGAGTGATCACTGGGACCTGATCAAGGCTGGGGGTCACAAAGTGACATTTTAGCTGAGAACCAAGGAGGACGAGGCGTCATGCAGATGAAGAGTGAGGGGAAGAGCACTACAGAGAGGGGAACAGCATGTGTGAAGGCTCTGAGGGAGGGAGGCATGAGGGCTTGGAAGGACAGAAAGAGCCAGCAGGCGGGAGCATGGCAGAAGAGGGACAATGACACCAAGGACACTGCTGAGGTAGGCAGGAGCCAGACCACATCTGGAACTTGGTTCCTGAGGGGCTTTAGGCAAGGCCATGAAGTAGCAGCCGTGCATTTTCAAAGGTGACTGTGGCGGCCGGGCACAGCAGTGCTGGGAAGGGGCAAGTTAGGAGGCTCCTGTGAAGTTCAGGTGCCAAGATGGTGGGTGGAGGAGGGGGGCAGTGGGAAGGATTCTAGATATAACTTGGAAATCGAACCAACAAGAAGTAGTGTTGGATTGACAGGTAATTTAGGTTTCTGGTGTGAATAAGTAGGTGGACAGAAGTGTGGTTTGCTGACATATGGAAGAACAAAGGAGGAATATTTGAGGGCATAAAGTCCTGTTTGGCCTATTCGGTAACTTTGAGATGCCTGTGAGCCCTCCAAGGGGAGAGGTAGGCTAGGTACATGGAACTAGGAGGCTGGAGCTCAGAAGAGAGGTGGAGTGGGGAGGAAAGATATGAAATTAGTAGTTCTAGATCAAGACCATCCTGGCTAACACAGTGAAATCCCATCTCTACTAAAAATACAAAAAAATTAGCCGGGCGTGGTGGCGGGCGCCTGTAGTTCCAGCTACTCAGGAGGCTGAGGCAGGAGAATGGCATGAACCCGGGAGGCAGAACTTGCAGTGAGCCGAGATTGTGCCACTGCACTCCAGCCTGGGCGACAAAGCGAGACTCCATCTCGAAAAAAAGAAAAAATAAATTAGTAGTTCTTACTACAGAGACAGCAGTTAACAGCCCTGGTGCTTGGTAACACAGTCTAGAGAAAGGAGAGAAGAGTGCCACATATATAAAGAAGAGCCACATACATTTAGAAATGATTTGGGACCATACCTTATGTTGTGTTTTGTAGCCTACTCTTTGGGACGCTTTAGAACATGTCACTAAGTCTCCCTCCACATGAATTTTGTGCCAGCATGCTTGGATGGGCCATGATTTACTCTAGGATGAGGCCTCCAGAAATGAACACAGAGGTACTTCCCTGTTTTCTACCGCCACACACAGCACTGGGACTTTATGAAAGTCTCTGTGCCCATCCCTAATTGTTTCCTGAGAGTATATCCCTAGAAGTAGAACTGCTGGGCTAAAGGGAAGGGTGAAATAATTTTTAGATTTTTGACACATTTCCCAGTTGCCTTCCCAAATAGCACAGTGGTATTCATGATGACAAAAAATTGGCAGAAAGACTTATAAAGTCAGTGCTGTTTTTATTTATATTCCCACCAGTAGCACACAAGATTGTCCATTTATGTACTCTTGGCAACAAGAAGTACTGCTACTATATTAACAAAAGGTTAATTTGCGAAGGGGATACTAGTATCTCTCATTGAGCACCTATGGTTTTCTGAAGGCAATTAGATAGCAGTCATTGCATGGACTCTGGCTACCTCGCAGACCTGAATTAGTAAGTGGGAGGGGTGGTCTAAGCACTGGCCTGACTTTAGGAGTTCATAGTCCAGTGGGGTGGGCCCATGGGCCCACCCAGCAAATCCTAGTTCTAGACCCACTCAGGCAAATGCCCAATGTTTTCTCTAGTGTGAGGATGTTTACTGCACCTGGTCAGTAATAGCAGCCTATAGGAAACCACCCAAATGTCCACCAGGAGGTTAGGCATCGCGTGAATTATGAAGTAGTCATAAAAAAGAAATGTGCCATACAGCCACTATGGAAAACAGTATGGAGGGTTCCTGAGAAAATTAAAAACAGTACCATATGACCCAACAATCCCACTACTAGGTATATATCCAAAGAACTGACATTGGTATGTCAAGAAGACATCTGACCTCCTATGTTTACTGCAGCACTATTTATAATAGCCAAGATATGGAATCAACCCAAATGTCCAACATGATTGAATGGATACAGAAAATGTATATATACACAAAGGAATACTATTCAGCCATAAAAAAGAATGAAATCTTGTTATTTGGGACAAAACGGATAAACCTGGAGGACATAATGTTAAGTGAAATAAGCCAGACACAGAAACACAAATACTGCATGATTTTACGCATACATGGAATCTTAAAAAAAAAAAAATTTGTTATCGGCTAGGCACAGTGGCTCACACCTGTAATCCCAGTACTTTGGGAGGCCGAGGCGGGTGGATCACTAGGTCAGGAGATCGAGACCATCCTGGCCAACATGGTGAAACCCCCTCTCTACTAAAAAAACAAACAAAAATTAGCCAGGCGTGGTGGCAGGCGCCTGTAGTCCCAGCTACTCAGGAGGCTGAGGCAGGAGAATGGCGTGAACCCAGGAGGCGGAGCTTGCAGTGAGCCAAGATCATGACACTGCACTCTAGCCTAGGTGACAGAGCAAAACTCTGTCAAAAAAAAAAAAAAAAGTTGATATAGAAGGAGAGAATACAACAGTGGTTACCAGAGACTGGGGAGGGGAGAGGAGAGGAAAGGATGGAAAGCTGGTCAACGGGTACATAGTTACAATTAGATAGGAGCAGTAAGTTCCTGTTCTATTGTACAGTATGGTGATGGTTAACAATAAGGCATTCTAGGCCGGGTGCGGTGGCTCATGCCTATAATCCCAGCACTTTGGGAGGCCGAGGCGGGTAGTTCACCTGAGGTCAGAAGTTCGAGACTGGGCTGGCCAACATCGTGAAACGTCGCCTCTACTAAAAATACAAAATTAGTCGGGTGTGGTAGCACACGCCTGTAGTCTCAGTTACTCTGGAGGCTGAGACAGGAGAATCTCTTGAACCCATGAGGCGGAGACTGCCGTGAGCTGAGATCACGCCACTGCACTCCACCCTGGGCAAGACAGAGCGAGACTCCGTCTCAAAAAAAAAAAAAAAAAAGGCATTCTATATTACAAAATAACTACAGAAGCTTTTGAATATTCTCATCACAAAGAAATAAATGCATGAGATGATGGATATGCTAACTGCCCTGATCTGATTATTATACAACATATATGTATCAAAACATCAAGTTGCACCCCACAAATATATACAATGACATGTCAGTAAAAAAAAAATAATAAAGAAATGTGCCAGATGGGCCTGTACTGACATAGGACAATGTCTGAGATAAACTGGCAACTGAAAAACAGAGGTTGCAAAACAACACCTAAAATAAAACCCAGTTCCTGTGGGGAAAGATAGCAGACATATGAAAAAAAAATCTGAAAAAACATCTATCAACCCTGTCAACTGTGGTTCTTTGTGATTAAGGGGAACTTTCGTTTTCTAAGTCTATATTTTTTCAATGGTTGAAGTTTTATAAACCCAAATTATTGTGCAATGCTTTTAGAAGGTAGCTGACATTGGCAGAAGTGCCCAGAAGGCACCCAGGGTGGGGTTGAGCCAGTAAGTGCTGCAGGTGTGTGTGTGTGTGTGTGTGTGTGTGTGAGAGAGAGAGAGAGAAGAGAGAGAGAGAGAGAGAGAGAAAGAGAGAGACAGAGAAGAGGATCAGTATGGAGGGCAAGGCCCACATCCCCCCACAACACCTAGCTCAGAAGAAACACCTAAAGAATGAATTAGGGGCCCTCAAAGATCAGACAGGTGAGACAGGGAGGTGTCCTATGGTAGAAAGAGCAAAGAATGAGACACGTGACCTTAAACCCAAGCTCTGCCACCTAACCCTGGGCAAGACCCTGCCTTTCTTGGGGCCTTCATTTCCCCTGTGTAAAATAGAGGAGGGCCAGGACACTGTCCACGGCAATTCCCCCCGGCTACAGCAGATGGCGCACCCTGCCTATCTTCCTAGCAGCCTTGCGCGCTGCCCTAGTCACGCTCTGGCTCCTCCTTGGCTAAAAGAATTCCCGGAAGTTCCAGAGGTGGCTCCTTCTACAGGTCACGGAGGTTCACTCCTGCGCTCTGCCTCTGGGGAAACCGCTCAATGCTTCAGGACAGGAAAATGGCTTATGATAATAACAGTAATAACAGAGGATAAAAATGATGCTGACAATTCCTACGATAAGGAAAGGTACCATGGCCCAGGTGCCTGTGTTTTCATACACATCACGCACTCAGTGGCCACAGCTGCCCTCTGAGGTGAGTGAGGCCGGTTTACAGCCACGGCTCAGAAGGGCCTCAGCCCCACCTGAAACCCGCTGCTCTGGAAAATGACAAACCCCGAGCAGGCCACACTGGCTCCCGGAGCCTCCGAGTCCTCGGCTCTTCCTCAGTTAGACTGTCAGCTCCACGGGAACAGGAATTTGGTCTGGATTTTTCCCATGTCCAGCTGAAACCTAATCCTGGCAGCTGAGCCAACAGGTTCTGGCCGCTGCATTCCCTGATTCTCATCCAGCACCTGGTAAAGAGCAGGCGCTCCATGCACACTCGCTGGATTTCACTCTCGGGCCTCTGAAGGAGAGGGAGTTTGTGTCTATCCCTCTTCTCCCCTGCTGCCCGCCTGTCCTCTGTGGGGAGGAGCCGCAGTTCCTTCTTGGGGCTGTTGAGAAGGGCCTCCGTGCACCGTGGAGTGCTGTGCAGGTGTTCTTGTCCTAGGACCTGACACCATGGGATGGAATTACAGGCTCTATCTGAAAGGCCAGCTTCATGCTGGAATGTCTCCTGGGGCTTTGATCTCACAATGCCATCTGATGTTACAGGCTGCCCAGTGCAGGCCACTGGCCCTCGGGACACAGAGACAGCAAATGCCACACTCAAAGACCAATCCTAGAAAACATCAGCTGGGCCAACATGCTCTGGCTACCATATCCCCTCAGGGAACAGCAATTCCAAAGACGGCTCTGGGGAGCTCTCCAATCGAAAGCAGAAACACATCGTTTTATTTTTCTCCCATATTTATATTCGTCACTCACCCTCTCATCTTTAGAGTCAACAGCAAATGGGGAAATAAAGAATCCTCAGAGTTGGAAATCCTGTCAGAAAATGGTCATTCTCAAACCCTGTTAATGAGACTGTAAACTTCCAAGACCTCCTTGGGCAGTGACTTGACAGTGTGTATCCAGAAACCTCAACTTTTTCCATATCTTTTAGCTACTAAATCAGTTTATAATAATCTATTCTAAGAAAATAATCCAAGATCTACATGAAGATAAAATGTACAAAGATGTTCCTCATAGTATTTTTTTTTTTTTTTTTGAGACAGGGTCTCGCTGTGTCACACAGGCTGGAGTGCAGTGGTACAATCATGGCTCACTGTAGCCTCAACTTCCTGGGCTCAAGCAATCCTGTTGCCTCAGCCTCCTGAGTAGCTGGGACTATTCCATGTCTGGCTCATTTTTTTTCAGGGATGGGAATCTCATTATGTTAACCAAGGTGGTCTCAAACTCGTGGTCTCAAACTCCTGGGCTCAAGTGATCCTCCTGCCTCGGACTTCCAAAGTGTTGGGATTACAGGCCTAAGCCACTGCGCCTGGCCCACAGTATTATTTATAATAGCAGGAAACTAAAGACACCAAAATGAGTTCCTAAATGGATGTGTCACATGTCCTAAACGGACAATGGAGAATTATTAATATATACATACTTAACTAATTTGTATCTAAATGAAATACCATTCAGGCATTAAAATGATGTTTGTGAATATTTTTTAAAGAAATGGCAAAATGTTCACATATAGTTAAATGAAAAAGAATACCAGTGATATAATTACATACATTAATATTTTTATAAGTAATTTTAAAATCTGTTATATTTCCTTTTTATAGTGAACACATTCACTTCATCTTAAAATTACTTAATTTTAGATTATGTGTGCATGTGGTCTAAAACTCAAAAGGTCCAAAAGGACAGAGATAAGAGCTTAGTCTCCCTTCCCATCCGATCCAGACACCCTCCCCAAGGCAAGCACGTTTTGGTGTCCTTCCAGACAAAATTTATGCAATATATATGTTCCCCCTTTTTCTCCTTCCCTTCCTTTTTCCTTTATTTAAAACAAAATTTTGGCCGGGCATGGTGGCTCATGCCTGTAATCCCAGAACTTTGGGAGGCCGAGGCGGCGGGGGGTGGGTGTGGATCACGAGGTCAAGAGATCGAGACCATCCTGGCCAACATGGCGAAACCCCGTCTCTACTAAAAATGCAAAAAATTAGCTGGGCGTGGTAGTGGGCGCCTGTAGTCCCAGCTACTCGGGAGGCTGAGGCAGGAGAATGGCGTGAACCCAGGAGGTGGAGCTTGCAGTGAGCCGAGATCGTGCCACTGCACTCCAGCCTGGGTGACAGAGTGAGACTCCGTCTCAAAAAAAAAAAAAAAAATTTATTTTCCATCTTGCCTTTTTTTCATTTAAAAATGTGTCTTGGCTTTGGGAGGCTGAGGCGGGTGGATCACCTGAGGTCAGGAGTTCAAGACTAGCCTGGCCAACATGGTGAAACCCCATCTCTACTAAAAATACAAAAATTAGCTGGGTGTGGTGGTGCACGCCTGTAGTCCCAGCTACTCAGGAGGCTGAGGCAGGAGAATTGCTCGAACCCGAGAGGCAGAGGCTGCAGTGAGCCGGGATTGCGCCACTGCACTCCAGCCTGGGTGACAGTGAGACTCTATTTCAAAAAAAAAAAAAAAAAAATATATATATATATATATACACACACACACACATATACACACACAAACACACACACACACACACCTTGGAAACAACTGTAGATCACTCTGAAGCCACTGCAGCACTGATTACATCAACACACTGAAAACAAACCCAAAGTAATAACTAAATTGTTCCTTTTATTGTCTGCATGATACTCTGTTGTCTCACTGTTGTAGATTGATTTAATTACTTCCCTGTTGATGGACCTGAGGATTGTTTCTATAAAAGTGGAATTGCCACCTCAAAGGATCTGTGACTTTTTTATTATAACAGGTATTGCCAACTTCTCCCCACAGAAGTTAGTTCCTGTCTCTCAGTCCGTTTTGTGCTGCTACAACAAAATATCTGAGTCTCAGTAATTTCTAAAGAACAGAAATTTATTTCACACAGTTCTGGAGGCTGGGAAGTCCAAGATCAAGGCGCCAGCCTGTGGTGAGGCCTGCTCTCTGCTTCCAAGAGGGCACCTTGAACACTGTGTTCTCACAGAGCAAATGGCAGAAAGGCAAAAAGGGGCAAACTCACTCCCTCAAGCCCATTTATTTATTTATTTGATGGAGTCTTGTTCTGTCGCCCATGCTGGAATGCAGTGGCATGGTCTCGGCTCACTGCAACCTCCTCCTCCCAGATTCAAGTGATTTTCCTGCCTCAGCCTCCCAAGTAGCTGGGCTTACAGGTGTGCACCACCACGCCCAGCTAATTTTTATATTTTTGGGAGAGATGAGGTTTCACCATGTTGGCCAGGCTGGTCTTGAACTCCTGACCTCGGGTGATCCAGCCACCTCAGCCTCCCAAAGTGCTGAGATTACAAGCGTGAGCCACCATGCCTGGCCTCAAGCCCTTTTATAAAAGGTGCCTAATCCCATTCACAAGGAAGGAGCCCTCATGACCTAATCACCTCTTAAAGGCCCTACCTCTTAATATTATCACATTGGTATTTTGGAGGGAACACATTCAAACCATAGCAATCCCCAGTAGGTATATCAGATGAGCACTTTCCTTCACCACAGTCTTCTTAATGCTGTTTTGTTCCTAATCTAAAAGGTGGTTTTAAAACCAGTGCCTGATTGTTTTAGTTCCTACTGCTCCTAGGAGTGAACCTGAGCATCTTCCCACTTGCATCTCCTTTTCTGTTTACTGTTTCTTCAAATTCTTTTGCCCACTTCTAATGGATTTTAGGTCTTTTTCTTATTGATTTGTAGGAGTTCTTAATATATTAAGGCAATTAGTCTTTTGTCTAATTAGGAGTTACTAGTATTTTTTACTTGTCATTTGTACTTTGACTTTATTTTTCGGCACTTCTCCCCACATACATATTTTTATATTCATTAGTAAAATTGATCTTTATTTTATTTTATGGTTTCTGGGCTTTGTAACATAATTAGAAATGTCTTCCCCACTCTAAGATTAGTAAAGAAATCCCTTTGTTTATTTCTGGTACTTTGTTTTTTGAGACAGGGTCTGGAGTCACCCAGGCTGGAGTGTAGCGGTGCCAGCCTAGCTCACAGCAACCTTGAACTCCTGGGCTCAAGAGATCCTCCTAGCTTAGCTTCCTGAGAAGCTGGGACTACAGGTGCATGCTAATGTGCCCAGCTAATTCTTTTTTTTTTAAGAGATGGGGTCTCACTATGTTGCCCAGGCTGGTTTTGAACTCCTGGGCTCAAGTGATACTCCTGCCTGAGCCTCCCAAACTGCTGGGATTACAGGTGTGAGCCACCACGCCTGGCCTCTCTAGTACTTTTATGGCTTCCCTTTTCACATTTAAATCTTTGATCTAGAATTTATCTGTAATAAGGTATGAATTAGCGAGCCACCTTAATTTTTTCTACCTATCTCAAATCATTTGTGGAGTAATCCATCATTTCCTCATTGATGTAAAAAGCTATCATTGTTACATACAAAACTGTGTATTGGGGTCTGTTTCTGAATCTTTTTTTTTTTTTTTTTTTTTTTGAGACGGAGTCTCACTCTGTCGCCCAGGCTGGAGTGCAGTGGTGCAATCTGGACTCACTGCAAGCTCCGCCTCCTGGGTTCACGCCATTCTCCTGCCTCAGCCTCCTGAGTAGCTGGGACTCAGGCGCCTGCTACCACACCCGGCTAATTTTTTGTATTTTGTTCAGTAGAGACGGGGTTTCACCGTGTCAGCCAGGATGGTCTCGATCTCCTGGCCTCGTGATCCGCCCGTCTCGGCCTCCCAAAGTGCTGGGATTACAGGCGTGAGCCACCGCACCTGGCCTGTTTCTGAATCTTTTAATCTCTCCAGCTGATCTGTCTACTCATATACTAGTATCATGTTGTAGGATGGTTTCCTTCTCATAGCTCAAATCTTTTTTGACTTTAGATTTTTTTTTTCTGGCTGTTTTTGCTGATCTATGTTTTCTTATAAACTTAATAGTCATTTAACTTGTCCCCCAATTTATCTTGTATTTATCAGGACTGCATTAAATATATATAGTAATATCTGGTACCTGAATGTAGATAGAAATCACATTTTTATGATATTGAGTCTTCTTTCTTTCACAATTCCTCTCCCACAAGGTCAGGCACTCAGACTTCCCTTTTGCTCCTCTGTGTACTCCAAAGGGCTGGCCCAGCTGCCTGGCATATGCTGGTGCTTGACTCTTACTTACGGAATGAATGATGAATTATTGCATGAGTTCTACTTCTGATATGCAAGGTAAGTGCCTTCCACACATTCTCTCATGTAACCCTAAACACAACGAGTAGGCACGATTCTAATCCTCATTTTAGAAATGAGGAAACTAAGGCTCAGGCAGTAAAGCAACTGCCTTCAACTTCTCAGAATGCTCTTTTACATTCTCCTAGTCCAACACCTTGACTACTTGTATATCTCCTTAATTCCATCCTTTACTCTCTTCTAATGTTTCTCTAATTGTTCTACACGTCTCGTTCTCTCTCATGACATCATCTTCCATTCATTTCAATGTCGATCCCCTCATTGCTGAGCTGCAGACATCTAGATGAATCCTCCCGGAGGATATCAACAAAATTATGCTCTCCCTCCTCCAGGACTCTCTCTCATTCATTCCCTTAGTCAGGAGCCACCTCCACAATCAATTATGCAAGTCAAAAACCTATTACCCGTAACTCATGCCTGACTTCTTCCTCTCTTTAAGAAGGCATCCTGCACCTTAAAGCTCAATTACCCAGGTTCAATTATTTTCTCTCTTCAGGTCCATCTTCCCATTTTCTCCATGCAGTAATCATGGCCTCAGTTACGCTTCATCATCTCTATCCAGTCTACTACAACCTTCCCCAACTGGCTTTTCTGCCCCCAGTCTTCTCACTTATTCCTCACCACCCCCACCCCCAATTCATCCTCAAGCCCTCTGTCCTCTACTTCAAGAGGGACATTCCCCAACATCAGTTGGCTCATCCTCATGCTCAGTTCAGAAACCTTCAATGATTAAAAAGAATCAGGCCAATCCATTTATGTATATTGACACGGAAGGATGTTCTCAATATATGATTACTAATATGCCCTAACACATGGGTCTACAGTCTTTTCTCTCCTGAGTTCTAAACCTTTACTTCCAACAGCCCATGACCTATCTCCAGCAGGGAGACAGCTTTGATTCATTCAGGACCATCACAGGGCAAATACCTGTTCAATTAATGAAAAGTTGTTGTAGAATCTAACCGAAAGACATCCCAGAGCTCATCTAGACAAGCCTCTCATCAACAGCTGCGGAAACGGAGGCTCAGAAAGGGCAAGGCACTTGCCCAGGGTTCTTGATCTAGCGGTCCTAACTCCCGGTCCAGAGCTCTTTTCCCCACATCACACTGCCCCCTTGGGAGTCCCTGATGACATTACAAATCTCTGAGGGGAATGGGTGGCAGGGTAGAAGGCATCTAGGGTGCTCGTCCAGCCCAGCTTTGTTGTTTACCAGCTGTGGGCCGTGCACAACTCCCCTCACCTCAGCAAAGCGGGGCTAACAGTCACACCCTGCAGTTCAGGGGGCTGTTATGAAGATTCAATAAGATGGTGATGCAAAAAGTGTAGTAAGTGATGGGGAATGTAAGTGGAATGCAATTAATAAATGATTAGGATGGTTCATTTGGGGGCTGAGTTAGTAAAACCTGCCTTTGGACATTTCATTCAGCTCCTTTGTTTTTACTCTGTTTAACGGTGCTACAGAAGATTAAAACTTCCTTCTTTGGTGCTTTATGGTGTTGTGTGGTAAGAATATAAATTCCCCAGAAGTGGTGACCCTGGCTGGTGTGTTTACTGTTACGTCCAGAAGGCCCTGCACATACTTGAAGCTCAATGAATAGCTGATGAACAAGTGAATAATAGAAGATGTTCTAGATTACAGGGAAAGAAGAGCAAAGAATGTGCGGCCCTGCATCATAACAGTGGCTGAAGATCTGGTTCAATACCCGCGCAATAGGGTGACCCTTGATGAGTCCCCTTCTCTCTCAGCTTCCTTTCCCACCATCTAAATAATGAAGTTTGAAATATGATCTCCAAGTCTTCCAGTCTTTTTTTTTTTTTTTTGAGATGGAGTCTTACTCTGTCGCCCAGGTTGGAGTGCAGTGGCATGATCTCTGCTCACTGCAACCTCCACCTCCCCGGTTCAAGTGCTTTTCCTGCCTCAGCCTCCCAAGTAGCTGGGATTACAGGCATGAACCAACATACCCGGCTAATTTTTTTTTTTTTGTATTTTTAATAGAGATGGGGTTTCACCATGTTGGCCAGGTTAATCTTGAACTCCTGACCTCAAGTGATCCACCTGCCTCGGCCTCCCAAAGTGCTGGGATTACAGGCATGAGCCACCGCACCTGGCCTCCAAGTCTTCCAGTCTTGATATTTCATTTATTCATTCAATGTACTGAGCAACTTCTACATGCCAGGCACTGTGCCGGGCATAGGGTATATACTGGAAACTAAAAAAGATATTTACAATGTGTAAAGAGAAAAAGGCACTGCAC
Organism: Homo sapiens; assembly: GCF_000001405.40. Taxonomy (NCBI): domain Eukaryota; kingdom Metazoa; phylum Chordata; class Mammalia; order Primates; family Hominidae; genus Homo; species Homo sapiens. The sequence continues at coordinate 44,602,406 of NC_000020.11, read as the reverse complement.
AAGTAAATGAATCTTATCACAGATTATGGTATGTGCTATGGGAGAAGAGGAGAGGGTTCTCTGCATGTGGATCATGCAGTTAATGGCTGTATGATCAGGAAAGGCCTCTCTGAGGAGGTGGTTTTTGCTGAAATCTACAGAAAAGTTGGATAGAGAGGGACCCAGAGAGCCAACAGGCAATTTGAGTCTAAAAACAATCTAGAATCTTCTAGCTCAGCCTGAGCCCTACAGGGTGCTAAAGAATGAAGCTCTTTCTTTTCCTCATCCTCAGGAGGTTTTGGTATCTTGTGGGATCTGGATGATTGCCAGACATGTGATTGACCTTGAATGCCCAGGACAAAGGGTGAAGCCCTTATACTCTGTCCCCAGGCCTTTTGGGGCCCTGGGGTCAGAGGTTACAGTGCCTGCAGGTGCCTGCTCTGGGCATTTCCCCACAGGAAGCCACTTCTCCCGTGGGTTTCTAATACTCCCCCCAGCTTTGTAAACTGAAGAGGCCCCAGGCTCTGCCAAGAGCTACATGGTCTGTTCCAAGTCTGCAGCTATTAGTCCTCATTGCTCAGGCAGATTCCATTACAAGCTCCAAATTGTTTTCCAAATATACTAGAAAGGTCATTTCCTGTTTTTTTTTCTTTTTCAAAAATTCAGTATTTGCAGAAACCATACAAAAAGCAAACAGACTTTTGCAGAAGACATGAAGCACAGAAGTGGGACCTGGTCTTATGGGAGAAGTTTTATCAGGGGTGGGCAAAATGCTCTCTAAGGCTTCTCTGAGGGACGAAAGGGCCGTGGAAACAGAAATGCCAGGGCCTACTGAACAGGCATTCATCAAATTTCAAGGGTAGCGGCTTCTCTCTGTGATAGAAAGCCAGAAAAGAGAGGCACTGAGGCCAACAGAAAACTCAGAGCCCCAAAATGAGAATATTCCAAGAACCTGGGAAAAGGGAGGGCTGCCGGTTCTATCCATGTGTGGCCTGCCTGGGGCTGGCTGCAAAGCCCTACCCAGCGCCTTGGGGCACATCCAGCACAAGGTCACCAGAGAGGAGCCTGTCGCCTGCCTGGGCAGTGCCTGTTGCCATTCAAAGAGTGGCCCTGGGTGAGGCTTTGTTTGGAGGCAGAGAGGCCGGGCCTTGGCCTCTGCACCTGCCAGGCCTAGACCCAAGCAGGCCTGGATGCAGGCAGTGATAGGAAGGGAAGGTCAGGGTGCTCAAGTCAGACAAGGTCCTGAGTGACTTCTACGGTGCCTATCCCCAGGGACACCTTTCTGTCCTCCTCTTCCAACTCATTTCTTCCCGGACCATTCTCTTCATGGGACTTCCAGACACCACACCCTTTGGGCCTCCCTCCAACCAGTCTGCACAGGCACCTGCTACTGCCGGGACCTTTGTGTTAGGACGCCAGTCTCTTCTGTTTGCTCCCGAGGGGCTCTTATCCTTTCCCGAAATAATCTATGTTGGTGACCTTCAAAGAGCTGCAACCCTCTCTTAAGAGTTCTAGATTTCTGACTCAGCCTATTGAGCGTGTCATTTGGCTATCCCACAGCACTGCAAGCTTCAGACGTCAAGTCACCAGCCTGCTCGCCACGGCCTTCCCAACTGAGCAAGGGCACCACCATCTGCCCAGCTGGAAACCCAGGACCATCCCTGACCTCGCTTCTTCTTCACCACCCATGGACAATTCTTTACCCAGTCCTGTCATTTCTTCTTCTTTTTTTTTTTAATGTTTTTGTAGAGACAGGGTCTTACGATGCTGCCCAGCCTAGTCTTAAATTCCTGGCCTCAAGCAATCCTCCCACCTTGGCCTCCCAAAGAGCTGGGATTACAGGCATGAGCAACAGTGCCCAGCCTGGTCCTTTTGTTTCTACCTGCAAAACAGAGCTTGAATCTGCTGACCTCTCTCCTCCACATGCACCACCCAGGCTCCGGAATGTCTCACCAGGACTCTGAGCAGAGACCCTGACCAGAGTCCTGTGTCTCTCTCACCCCTAGCCCAGGGTCTATTTTTTATATGGCAGGCAGGGTAACGTTCTCAAAATGGAAATTGGATCACTGGAATTTCCCTGCTTCGTTCAACTTCTGATGCTTTTCTATTTCACATCTAGTGAAATCCACTCTCCTGATGCCAGTCCCTGAAGCCCTGCATTGACCTGGCCCTGCCTGCCTCTGCAGATGAGCCTTTGTCTCATTTCTACTCTCTTCTTGGTCCATTTTGCTCTGGTCACACTGGGCCTCTCTTTAAATCCTCAAACCTCATTTAATTCCTGACCTCAAAGCCTTTACTAGACTATTTCCTCTGTGTACAACATTCTCTGTAACCCTGCTCCCTATAGAGCCTCCTAAGTGGATAAATGGATTCCTGGCCTTGGTTTTTCAAATGTTCTTGCTCTAGGACCTGACATGGGGCTCCTGTAGGGCACAAAGCCTCCTGAGTTCCTCTGCCCCCAACTATTGCATGTCAGGAAAGCCCTGGCAGAGCTGCCCGGAGGGTAATGTGGTGTGGTGGATGCCACAAGGACTTCAGAGTCTCAGCTGCTGTCCCTACAGTGGCACATGATGCTGGGCACCTCACCTAACTGCAGACACCCCTTCTATAAAATGGGAGGGCTCACACTTGTCTTAAAAAGTGGCTGTGGGGATTAATTGGAGCCAACAGTTATACAGTTTTTTTGTTTTTTGTTTTTTGTTTTTTTGAGACAGAATCTCGCTCTGTGACTAGGCTGGAGTGCAGCGGCGCGATCTTGGCTCACTGCAACCTCTGCCTCCCAGGTTCAAGCGATTCTCCTGCCTCAGCCTCCCAAGTAGCTGGGACTATAGGTGTGCGCCACCATGCCCAGCTAATTTTTGTACTTTTAGTAGAGACAGGGTTTCACCATGTTGGCCAGGATGGTCTCGATCTCTTGACCTTGTGATCCGCCCGCCTCAGCCTCCTAAAGTGCTGGGACTGCAGGCTTGAGCCACGGTGCCTGGCCTGTTACACAGTTCTTTCTTACTGCATGCCAGACTGTGCTAAGCATCTTACAAGCATTTAATTTTATAGCAACTCTATGACAGAAAGTATCATTATCCCATAGTACAAAAGAGGCAGCTGAAACTCAGCAAGGTTAGGGAGCTTGGAGCCAGATGGAGCCTGTGCTATTAGGCTATAAAGCAGGGGAGTGAATTAGTATTATGCCTGGCATGTAGTATGGATTTACTGAAAAGTACCCATTCCCTTTTCTGACCTTCTTTTTCCCCTGCCCCCAGCTTCATAATAAGGCATTTCTTAAGGAAGGGCAAGAAAGTAAGCAAGTCCCTGGAAAACATAGTACAAGGCTGTCTAAAACATACACCAGATGCATTTTACCCATGCTTAAGCAACATCCTGTTTTGGATATTCAGCTGGATACAAACCTTCAGAATCTTTTCAGTGATGTTGGGTTGACTCTCTTGATTCTACCACCACATTCTACTCTTTGGTATCTAACTTCACAGCAAGAGTAAAAATAATTATTTTGGGGTATGAATTTTTTAAAACTCTTACCTCCTCAGCAGCTATATCCTACTGGCAGGGCGGTGTTACTACTTCACACAGGGCCAGGGCTAGGGACTGGAATTGTGACACAAACTCTCTTCAACCCATGGAAGTCTGTGCTTCCATGGAGGTCTCTGGAAAGCTGCGGAACAGTCCAGCTGCATCACTGCTTGGTGGCCGGGCATGCTGGGTCCTCCCCAGGCCTCCTGCTGTGTCTGTATTATCAAACTTGCTGAGGCTCAGCTACACAGCAAGGTTCCCAGAGAGTGGCAGTCTCTATCTTACTGTGAGGGGACAGGAAGGAAGGGAAAGTGAGATCACTTCCTGGCAGGCCTGCCAAAGGCCTAGGGGCTGGGTCACACTCCAGGTCTGCCCATGCCAGGCTGGGCACCTCTGGACAAGGCTCTTCCCCTCAAACCTCGGGAGTCTCAAGTGTGGAATGAAGGGGGAAACTGGGTATCTCTGTGGTGGTTCTGAAACATGTCTGCAAATTATCTGACATTCCTCCTCTCGGGAGGTAGAGTTTAATTTCAATTTCCCCGAACGAGCTGGCCTTAATGACCTCTAACAAATAGAATGCAACAAAAATGATTTTGTGTCACCTCCAAGATGAGGCTATAAAGGGTTATACAGCTTTCACCTAGCTCTCTCTGGGGAAACCTGCCTCTAGAGCATTGAGCTGCATATGGGAAATCTGAGGTGGCCGTGCTGTGAGGAAGCCCAAACAGGCCCTATGAAGTAACCACAGGGGAGAGGTCCTGAGACGGCCAGGAAAGAGCAGCAGCCGGCCAGCCTTCAGCGGTGCTGGCCCCAAGCTGCTCCAGTTCCAGCCACCATCTAACTGCAACTGCATAAAAGATCCAAGCCAGAACTGCCCAGCCAAGCTGTTCCCAAATTCCTGACCCACAGAAACCATGAGATATAAGAAACTATTGCTGTTGTTTTAAACCACTGAGTAACAGGGGTGATGGATTATGCAGAAGTGGATAACTGAAGCAATCTCTAATGTTACTTCTAGCTCTGGGGTAAGGGAGGTAAGAGTCTTCTAGCTCTGAAGGAAGGGCAGGAAAGCAAGGAAGTCCTTGGAAAACTGCCCCTCCTTTCACAGTAGGATGGAGACTGCCACTCTCTGAGAACCTTGCTGTGTAGCTGAGCCTCGGCAAATTTAGATCATACATCCGCAGCAGGAGGCCCGGGGAGGACCCAGCATGCCCAGCCACCAAGCAGTGATCCAGATGGACTGTTCTGCTGCTTTCCAGAGACCTTCATGGAAGCACAGACTTTCATGGGTTGAAGACAGTTTGTGTCAATTCTAGTTCCTCTAATTCTATAAAATGCATCTCCAAAATACACCGTGGAGAATGAAAAGAAGCAAGATATTATCTCTATAGTATTCATCCATTCCTTCAGAAAAATTTCACTGATCCCTCAGTGTATACTAGGCTTGGGACTAGATACCACAGATACAAAAACAGTAAGATACCATTGTGCCCCTGAGGGAAGTCCATGGTCTAGTTAGGGAGCTCAGTTCATAAGCCCGTAATTCTTAACCAGTGGTAGTAGGGGGGCAAAAATCACAATTAACAGAATCACTAGAGGATAGTTTCTCATAGTAATTCTAATAAAGCCAGGTGGGGGGATCTGGTGGGGGATTATTATTATTCTAATAATGCCGGGTGGGGGGACCTGGTGGGGAATTATTATTATTCTAATAATGCTGGGTGGAGCGACTGAGGGTGTGCTCTCTAGCTAATGATCACTGTCCTCATCAGCTGCTGTTACTGATGGTTGGGTATCACAGCCCACACACATGATGAGAGAGAGGAGTTTAGAAACCACTTCTGCATATACATCTAAGTATGCGAGGCAGAGGGCACAGCATGCAAGAGGCAAGGGGAGCCTGCTGCCCAGAAAGACTAATAAGAGGCCATGGGGCTGGGGAGCAGTGAATGGGAGAGGAGGTGAGTGGAATGACAGTCACTGGGGACTTTCAGGGTCTTGAGGGGCAAAGAGCAGACTTTAAATTTTGCTCTGACTTTGATTTTACCCTTAATATGTGAATGCTTCCCTTCCAAGACAATATTCAGAGGCTTCTCACTAGTGTAGGGTGAGTGAAGCCCTTCAGACAGTAAGGGAGTCTCTTCACACACTGCTCAGACACTGCACTGTGTGTCCACGGCCACTGCCAGCAGTGGCTGGGGCTCTGCCGTCTTCAGCTGCAGGAGGGATGTCCTTCCATCCTTCCTGCCTCCTGAGAGAAGTAGGGTTCCGAACCCAGAACTTGCTACATAGGTAAATACCGGTTGAACAACAGCCTCCCTTGGAACCTGGAAGAGCAACATGTTTGCAAGCCAGGGACCATCACTACTTGAGCAGAGTGTAGATGTCATCCGTACCTCTGGCCCACATTAACATCATTTACTCAAGGTTCCTAAGCCCTTGGTTGTTCAGTATTCCAGCCCTCCCCCCACACCTCCAGTCTTCATGGGAATGCCAGCCCCCTGTAAACAGTCCTGTGTAATTCCTGGCAGCCTGGGGCGTAGGCCCTTTAGCCTGAGTCCCTCTTCCTCTTCCCTGACCCACCAGAAGAGATGAAGTTTCCTTGCCTGCCACCTGCAGCACCTTGACTTCTTCCTAATAATGACTCAGTCGAAATTCATTCAACAGTCATTCGACAAATACACACAGAAATGTCCCGTGAGCCAGGCATGATGCTGATACATTTGTTCATTATCTGCCATTCCAACTGATTCCAAGAGGGTAGGTACCCTGCCTTTCTTGTTTGTCACTGTATCTTTGAAATATAGCACAGCTCCTGACATATAGATTTTAATCACTCAGTGACTAAATAACCATCTGATTCCTGGCTCCTGACCAAATAAATAATAACAATGATAAGAGTAAAACAAAACAAAAATGTGTTTAAAATTAATTTATTTAATATTTAATAAAATAAAAAATTGGCTACCACTTATGGGGTGAATATACTATGTTCAAACATGTTGACATGTTTGGGGTGCTGGGCATGCATTTTCGTGGTTGTACTTGGGGCATCCACAGGACAGTTGTACTTTTACAGCACCAGGGGCACCAGGCGCAGTGGTTCACACCTGTAATCCCAGCACTTTGGGAGGCCAAGGCTGGCGGATCACGAGGTCAGGAGTTCGAGACCAGCTTTACCAACATGGTAAAACCCCATCTCTACTAAAAATACAAAAATTAGCCGGGCATGGTGGTGCACGCCTGTGATCCCAGCTACTCAGGAGGCTGAGACAGAAGAATTGCTTGAACCCAGGAGGCGGAGGTTGCAGTGAGCCAAGATCATGCCACTGCACCCCTGCCTGGGCAACACAGCGAAACTCCATCTCAAAAAAATAAATAAATAAATAAAAGTACTTGGGGCATCCCAAAGGACAGCTGTACATTTATAGTTATAATTGTGAACTTCAGCAATATTTGATACTGTATCCCAGTTCATGCCTAAGCAGAAACACTAGAGGCCTGGTGTGCTCTCTCAAGATTCTGGCATCTGAGAGGCTGGTGGCCAAGGGAGCACAGTGGCCCACAACACTTTGGGTTCTCTCTAGACCAGTGTTCTTAAACTTTAAGGGTCACAGACACATTTGAGAGTTTGAGGGAAGCTACAGATACTTTGCCCAGAAAAGTATATATTCTCTGCGTGTGTGTGTAACCATACCTATGATCACAGGGGGCTCTTAACCCATAAGCCCCTGGCTAAAAACTCCAGCTCTAGACATCACATAACCCTGCATTCTTAAGGTTTGGAGGCTCTGGACCTCAACTCTCCCAGCACAGCTGGAACAGAAGCCTTCCTAAAATGGCCTTGGCCAGAAAAAGAGTCCTGGGAGCCGACTGCTGCATCCTAGTCACTGCAAACATCTGCACCCAGGGGATTCCCAGGGGCCCTGAGTCAGAACAGGTCACAAGATGGGTGGCTTGGAAAGTTGCTATGGCAAGGCCCTGAAGCCTTGCTGATAAGCAGCCAAATAGTTCCAACCTCAAGGCAGCTTCCCTCCAGATGAGACCCTTGCTATGACAACAGTGAAAAGGACTCTTAAGAGAGGTGCTGGAGGCAGAGTAGAGGCCAAAAAAGGGAATTCAAAGGAGCTGGAAATCCCCCAGACTCCCAGGACTACTAGGACCTGGAGAAATAAAGGCTGGATTTTCTGCCCCCATTGCAAGGAGACAGAGCCGAAGAGGGGTGAGGGGTGGGAATGGGGGAGGCAAGTAAGCTTAAGCTATGGGTCAGAGCCTGTATGAATCGGGGCTCCACCAATTGCTAGCTGCATGACGCTGAGCAAATCACTTAACATCTCTGAGCCTCAGTTTCTTCTTTTGTAAAACAGAGATATCAACCCCCAACCCTTAGGGTTGTTGTGAAATTAAAGGAAATTCATGCATAATTTTTTTGAGTCCTTTCCTCCTAGGAACCTGAAAAGGTAAGGAATGAAGGAAGTACAGGATGATAGTTGAGAGCTCACTCTAGTCTCAGATGAAATCTGTGAGGCAAAATTCCTGACCTCTCTGAACCTCAGGTTCTTCATCTGTGAAACGGGGACAATGATACTTTACTTGTAAGGTTCTACTGGGATTGGAAATAATGGATGTATAATGCCTGGCTCACATGACAAGATGCTCAATAAAGGGTGGTGGTTACTATTATCAGAAAAGCAAAGCTAAATTAAAGAAGTCGTTTTGGTGTAGCTGAAAAAATAGAAGATGTGGAGCTAAAAAAAGCTCAAGTGAAATCTTAGTTATGCAACTTTCCAGCTCTGGTACATTGGCCAAATGATGTAATCTCCAAAAGCCTCAGTTTCCTCCTTGGTAAAACATGGATAATAACAGAAACTACCTAATTAGACACTGGATGTAAAGGTTTAGCCCAGCGTTGGCACAAGAGCACTCATCCATATGCTATAAACCATACTCTTTGAGCTTACACAACAGCTCAGGGTATGACTGATGGCTTCCTGTGACCTGGGCAGATTCTTTAAATTTTTTTCAGTTTTATTAAGGTATGAATGACAAATAAAAATGTTATATATTCACACTGTGACATGATTATCACAATCAAGCTAATTAACATATCCACCACCTCACACAGTTACTTTTTGTGACGAGAATACTTAAGATCTACTCTCTTAGCAAATTTCAAGTATACAATACCATATTATTAACTGTAATTACCATGCTGTACATTAGGTCGCCAAAATTTATTCATCTTATAACTGCAAGTTTGTAACCTTTGCTCAACATCTCTCCATTTCCCCAACAACCCTTCTACTCTCTCTGGAAACCACCCTTCTACTCTCTCTTAGTTCAACTCTTTTAGATTCCACATATAACTGAGATCCTGTAGTATTTGTCTTTCTGTGTCTGCCCTATTTCACTTAGCACAATGTCCTCCAGGTTCAACCATGTTTTTGCAAATGTCAGGATTTTCTTTTTTAAGGCTGAGTAATAGTCGTGTGTGTGTGTGTGTGTGTGTGTGTGTGTGTGTGTGTGTGTGTGTGTTGATTATTATAGCATTATAATTTTTTTTTTTGAGACATAATCTCACTCTTTCAGCCAGGCTGGAGTACAGTGGCATGACTACGGCTCACTGCAGCCTTGATGCGATGCCTGGGCTCAAGTGATCCTCCCACCTTGGCCTCCTGAGTAGCTGGGACTACAGGTGCACGCCACCATGCCCAGCTACTTTTTGGATTTTTTTTTTTTCTTTTATAGAAACAGGGTTTCGCTATGTTGCCCAGGTTGGTCTCGAACTCCCGCCTCAGCCTCCCAAAGTGCTGGAATTACAGGTGTGAGTCACCATGTCCAGCCTATAATATTTGAAATCAGGTTGTGTGATGCCTCCAACTTAGATCTTCTTGCTCAAGATTGCCTTAGTAATTTGGGGTCTTTCATGGTTTCATAGGAATTTTAGGATTATTTGTTCTATTTCTGTAAGCAATGCCACTGGAATTTTGATAGGAATGGAATTAATTCTGTAGATCGCTTTGGGTAGTATGGACATTTTGACAATATTGATTCTACTGGGCAGATTCTTTAAATGGCTTGGTATGGACACAGCCTTAACTCTTTCCAGAACAGGCTGAACTGCCTGTTCAACTAGGCAGGATTCTCACTTTTTACTCTCTCCACTGGCTTCAGAGGCTCCTCTCAAAGGAGTTTTCCTCATGGCCAGGAGACAGGGAGTGACTTCAGTGTCCACGGTAAACCAGATTAGGGGGTGGCCTTCTGGCAGAAGGAGTAACTATGTGCTTCCCTGGATGCACGGCCTGCCCTCCTTGCTGAGGTGCAAAGGAAAGCAGCCTGGGAGATGAGCAGGCACACTCCTAGCTGCCAAGCAGTTTGCCCATAGGGTGGGAAGGCAGCTGCCCTGTTTAATGCACCTGGGGAAAAGGACTGATTGAGAGAAGTGCTAAATGGGCATGTTGGCCCCAGGATTCAGTTCTGGACCACGTTTTGGTTATCTGAGGGCTCTGTACAGGATTTTCAAGGTTTGTAAGAGAACAGCTGTCCCTTGATTCCTCTGTGTCCTCTGCACTGTCTGAAAGGTCTGAAGGAGCACCAGCAGAATGGCAGATGCTACCCACAGAAGTCAGAGAGCACGAACTCCAGACTCCGGCCCTTCTCCTTCTTCCCAATTGTGTCACTACCAGCAAGCAGTTCCACCTCTTTGAGTCTCGGTTTCCTCATCTATCAAATGGAGATAATATATATGTACTTCATAAGATCAAACTAAATGAGGCTGAGAAGGATGTAAGTGCTTATCACATCTGGCACATGGCTTAAATAATAGTTCTAGCAGCTCTGCCCAAGCACTCTTTTGTCTGTGGGTGGTGCCAAGCACACACCTGGCCTTCGGTCAGTGTTTGCTCCCTCCCCTCTGTAGACCGGTCCTTCTTGGCTGCAGGGAGAGGGAGCTGTGAGACTGATCCTGAGGCTAGGGCTTCTTCACTGCTCTCATCCCAGGCGATAAGCTGCAGCGACAGGATGCACTTAATGTGCGCTTGAGGATTTCAACAAATCCTTACATGGCAAACGAAACAGAGAGATTTCTCTGGAAGCCCTAGCTGGGCATGTAAAATATCCATGATATTTTAAGATATCATGATGATATCTCATGAGATGAGAGAAAAGAAGAGTAATACTTATTATCTTCATTTAATAGATAAGGAAGCTGAAGCTCATAGGTGTGAAGTGACTTGTCCAAGGCAACCTGTACACTCTGCTTTACACTGGGTGCCCCCACCCACCCACCCAGCACCACTTCCTCTTTTCTCCCCAAGGAGTCTATCTTATCTCAGACTTCGGGCTCTGTCCTTTGCCTTCTTGAAGTTCCAAGGGAAGGAGGAGCACAGGCGCTAAGAAGAGAGGTGATGAGAGTGGGCCAGGCAGAGTGCGGAACTCTCTCAGTCCCTTAGAACTCTCTCAGTCCCTTACCCAAACTGAAGCTAGACAGTCTCCTTCCTAAGCCTGACTCACAACTCTCCCCTGCTTAAAGCCCTCCAGCGACTTTCCATTCAGAGCCATCAGGATAAAGTTCAGATTCATTCATGGACACCTCCAGACTCAACTCCAGCCAGGGAACCCCCTCTGCACTGTGTTTGGCCCATGGAATTTCCATGGAGTGCTGCACCCCCCAAGCCTCCAGGCCTTCGCTGTGCTGCTCCGCAAGCCCCCAGCCTGTCCCCGCCCACTCTTCTCCAAGTCATCTCCTGCATACCTTTCAAGCCGCAGCACCCTCTGCCCACTAGCCCTCTGGACCTACCGCAGACTACTGCTACTAGTCTACTGTCAGCCAGACCCACAAGCTTCCTGAGGGCAAGGACTGTGCCACTTTTGCTTTGTTATCTGGTGTCCAATTTATAGAAGATGCTCCATAAATACCTGCTAAATTAATGTAAAAATGAAAAAAACTTTTCCTGGCTGAGGCAGGAGTCTAAACTGAGCTGCACCAGACACAGCTGCAATGTGCCCCCTACAGTGCTGAAGAGAGAGAAAATCACAAGACCTTCTCTCTCCCATGCAGCTTTCAGTCCTCACACCATCCTTAGCTTATGGACAGATGCACAGTGGATTCGGCAAGCTCTTCAGAGCGATGCGCTCATCCCCAGGCTCTTTAGCCTCTTTGTGAAAATTCCAGCTATGGAGAAGGTCCAGGTGGGTGTAGGCCAATCTAGAATAGCCTTCAATTCTGATACCTTAACAACCACATCCATGGATGCTGATGGATGCCTGGTGGGTGAAAAGATCTCTGTGGACCCAGTACTTCCAACTTGACAATTCAAAGAAATTCACCAGATTTGTTGATAAATACTGCTGCTTTAGGTAAAAAGTCGATTATTATGTTACCCTGAGTTTAAAATTATTAACTTATGCCAGAAACATTTAGATATCATAAACTATGGACACTGGACCCAAGGTGGCCATACTGCCAGGTGGGCCACTTGTGCTCTTTGAATGGCAATTTGTTCTCAGCTGGAGGGACTGCATCTTCATCCCTTCTCACCAGACTACTGGGCCGAACCCATTTCTTTGGGTTGGGTTTTGCTGGCTTTTGCTCCTCTATTACAGCATTAAAATGAAAATTCCCATAATGTGCCCTGGTCTTTGTGAAAACAGCTTTACAGCAAACACTTGGTGGAGAGGAAAGCTGGCACCAGGCCCAATGTTGCTAATAACTCCTGTGTATGATTCCACCTGCTTAAGCTTAAGTACATGGCCGGGAAACCCATCCCCTCTTAAGCCACCAAAGGTAAATTTTCTTTCTGATGCTATTAAAAAAAAAACGCCTGAAAACAGAATCTTGACTGTGAAATTGTAGCATGCTGTTATGTATATAACTTCTGAAAAGAGCCATCCTGCCTTTTCTTCATAAGGTCAAAATCTCCCACTAATTTAGTTTGGAACTTACGTATTTTCTTCCTTCAACCAGAAATAAAGATATTCAGGCAAAAACGTGTGCTGCTCTGGCAGTAGAGTATGAACAGTGCCACTACCTACCTGGTTTAATTTCTTTTTCCTGCTTGCATCTCTTCAGATTTTCCACTGTTGACTAATCAGTACGGGAATTCTAAGGAACCAGAAGAAAAACAAAAATTAGAGCCAGACATACTCTGGGATTATAAATTGAAACAATCTTTTGGGAAGACAAGTTGACAATATCTATTAACTTGTTAAATGTGCATACATATCCTTTGGGGTCAAATTCCTAGACACGTCACATTCCTGAAATGTCCAGGAATTTATACTACAGATATATTTACCTAAGTAAAAAGATACTCAGTGAAATACTGTATAGTAGCAAAACCAAGGGGCGAAAACAACTTAAATGTCTATTAATAGAAAAATAGTTAAATTATGGTGTATCAATATCATGAGAAACTATACAGCAACTTCAAAGAATGAAGGAGATTTCATTGTACTGATGTGGAAAAAAGTACATGCTTGATTGTTAAAAAGCATATTGTAAAATTGCATATATTATCATTTTTTAATTAAAAAAAGAACTTTACATTTTCTTTTTAATTTTAAGAGACCAGGTCTCACTCTGTCCCCAGGCTGGAGTGTACTGGTGCAATCATAGCTCAATGTAGCCTCAAACTCCTGGCCTCAAGCAATCATCCACTCTCAGCCACCTGACTAGTTGAGATTACAGGTGTGAACTACTGTGTCCTGCTCAAATGTGAACATGATTATTTATGTTTAGAAAAAAAAAAAGTACAGCATTTGTGTACGTGCACATTTTTAAAAAGTATACATACTTTACACTTTAAACAATTTTCAGTATATATAGAAAAGGGCAAACTGTAACCAATGGTTCCCCCTGGGAAACTTCTCTCTTTTGAAAAAAATTATTCTCTTTTGAGAAATTGTGAGAAAAGAAATGAAAGACTTTCACTTTGTACATTATCTATTTCTGTTTTGATTGAAAACTTTTAAAGAGGCATGTATAACTTTCACATTCATTACACATGCTATGCAAAAAATTCTATATCTAGCTAACATATCAAGTGTGAGGGCAAAAGATATTTTCAAACAAAGACTGGGCAAGTTTACCATTCACAGACCCCAAGAATATTCTCCAATAGAAAGGAAACTGAATACAGAAAATAAGTGAGATTTTTAGAATCAATAATGAGCAAAGGAAGGAATAATCCAGCACCCTTCTTTACTCCCTCTCCCTCCTTTACTCTTGGTATAAGTGACTCCATTTCTTTTTTTTTTTTTGAAAGTCTCACTCTGTCACCCAGGCTGGAGTGCAATGGCACAATCTCAGCTCACTGCAACCTCTGCCTCCCAAGTTTAAGCAATTCTTCCGCCTCAGCCTCCCAAGTAGCTGGGACTGCAGGTGCGTGCCACCGCGCCCGGCTAATTTTTGTATTTTTTTAGTACAGACGGGGTTTCACCATGTTGGCCAGGCTGATCTTGAAATACTGACCTCAGGTGATCCACTCGCCTTGGCCTCCCAAAGTGTTGGGATTACAGGCATGAGCCACCGCGCCCAGCCCTCTTCTCAGTTTGAATACCACCTTTTCAAGGAAGACCCCAGCCACACTCTCCTCTTTCACTCCCCCTGCTTATTGACTTCTTAACGCCACCATTTGTGCTTGTAAACTTCATGCAGGTAAAGGCCATGCCTGTTATATTTAACATCATCCACCTATCACCTTGCCCAGTGCCTGGCGGATATTAGGTTCTCAACAAATATTGGCTAAATACATGAAAAATTTATTGAAGGCTCAGCTCAAATGCTACTGCTCCTCCAATCTCTTAGGCTTTCTACAGGACTCTGTCCCCATCTTGGGGCACATTTTCACAATGTGTTCATGTTATCTGAGTCTTTTTTTCCTATCCGGCCATGAGCAACCTCAAAGTCTTATTTACCTCGACATTCCCCACCGCACCTTGCATAATGCCTAACACATAAAGGGTTCTTAGCAGTAGATGAATCTACACACACGTCCAGGAAAGTATAAATGATGGCCGCAGGCTCTAACCAATTGCAGATAGTAGTGATTGGAGCCCACAACACAAGCACCTTTGAGATATGCAAACAAACATGAGACTTTGCCCAGGGAGAAATTAAAATTAGAGCTAAACTTGAAATACAGCGGTATGTGGGTGGGGGGATTGGGAGACAGGCCCTTATTCAAAAACAGAGAAGTGAAATCACTGAGTGATGATTTATTTTAAGTGTGTTTTTCTGTACTATCTAGCTTTTCTTCCCTTGAACATATTCTAATTTTGCAATCAGAAAAAAAAAATCCACAATAAATGTTATAAAAACAAACCAACGGAAAATCAGTGGTGATTTTAGACTACAAAAGTCACCCGTCCCTCTGTTTCCTTACTACAACTTTGGACTTCAGATTCAGGGCCCTCTCAGGTGGGGCCCATACATTTTGTAAGGAAGTGTTCTTTCCACCCCTCTGAAGCCACGGGGGATAGGAAGGTGCCAGAAATGAGTGCTTCAGCAGGGGCAGCTCTCAGTTGCTCCCTAATGCAAATGCTGGCAAAGCTCCCAGAGCCAGGAATTGTAGGGAGAGAGCAGAAGGAATCAACCCAGCGCAAGATCAGGACCTCCACAATATGCTGATCCAGTGTCTGGTGTTTTGTAGCACTTGTGCATATTTCTTTTGCAGTACTTTTCACGTGCCATTAAAATTATTCACTCCTCTGTCTATCTTCCCTTGTTGCACAGAGAATTCCACAAGACCAGAGGCAGTGTCTTTACCCTGGTCCTCTAGTTCAGTGCTTAGTACTAACAGGTCCTCAATGTACATTTATGGAATGTTAAAGACTACACTGATAAAGTACTAAAACAGTAACTGACCTAGGTTCCTGGGACATAGTAAGAATACACCAAATACTTTCTTCGGTGCCATGAAGGGCCATTATTCAGTTCTGAAGAGTCAAGCTAAAGCCTGTAATTTCTTGAAACATTAAAGAGACTTCTTTTTGGAAATGCAGCTTCCTCCAGTAAGAGCGGATACATTATGTGTTCTAATCTGCAATTCATAATCAGTCAGCATAGGAGCCCACGGCAACTTCCAAAGAAACCACTCTTTGAAGGAGCAGTACTCCAAGTTTTCCTAAGACATTTCTGAAGGATTTCCAGGAGGTAGTGAGCTCAGCCTAGGGTCATGATTAATAACCTGTTTCCCAGAACTTTAGATTTTCCACCTCAGTCTCCACTTAGGAATTGCTTCTGGCCCCTCGTGAAAGCATTTGGCAGAGTTAATTGGGCCAGTTCAGCTTCTTGTCTGTCACAGCCAGCACCTGTTACCAGCTTCTTCCTTAAGTGGCTGGGCTAGGGTCCTCTGGTCCCAAGAGAATAGCACCCACTTCTGCTTTTGGCCTCAGCACTGGCTGGCTGATTTGAGGTTCAGCATCACTTGACTGGGTGACAGGAAATAATGCTGAGGCTTGGTTTGAAGAGCCAACATGGCAGCTCCAGGGTTCATCACAGGGGTTTCAAAATGATGAGTTCAAAGATAACTTCTGGTTCCTCATGCAAATGCCATCCTATGTCTGAGGGGGCAGATGCCTGTGTACATTGGCTGACATTCTCTTTCTGGAAATTGAGAGCAGCTAATCCTAAGCATGTATTTTTGTACTAACTAAGTGCTTTATGAGCCCTATCTCATTTCATCCGCATGGCACCCCTTTGAGGTCAGTATGACTGTGACCCCCCACTTGACAGAAAGAGAAGTAGGTTCTATAAAGTGAGGTGATCAGTCCAGGATCTCCCAGCTAGGAGGCGGTGAAAGCAGAGCTCTTACCTGCTATCCCCTTCCAATTTCTCACTGAACTCGAGAGCTCTCACCTGCTGTCCCTTTCCAATTTCTCACTGAACTCAAGAGCTCTCACCTGCTATCTCTTTCCAATTTGTCACTGAACTCTAGAGCTCTTACCTGCTATTCCTTTCCAATTTCTCACTGAACTCGAGAGCTCTTACCTGCTACCCCTTTCCAATTTCTCACTGCCCTCTAGATTGTCTAAATCGAAAGAAACGGTAGACACCAACCAGATGCAGGGCTGCAAATTCCCACAGGGGCCAGGGGCCAGGCAGGAGACTAGAGGGCACAGGGGAATGCGCAAATGGTAATGAACTGGAGAACACACCTGCCTAAAGGCATTCAAATTAAAAACAAAACACCACTCTGACTTCTGACTAGAGTTCACTTGTCATCATTTAACAGATGGAGCAACTGAGATCCAGGGAGGTGATATGAAAAAGGCACTGCAGTATGGTGAAATATTCAAGGGCTTCGGGGACAACCAGTTCTCATTGGGAACTCAAGCTCTAGCCCCTGCCAGCTGTGAGACTCTGGGCAATCCACTGCACCTCTCTGTGCCTTTCTTAGGTGTAAAATGGAGATGATCTCTGCCTCACATCATTGCTGTGAAGATTAAGAGAAGTCAGCATATGCAAGATGCCCAGCCCTGTGTGTGACATTTATTTCAGGAAGATACCAAAGCCAAATGAGATCTCTGGACACATCTTTTCCACAACCTACCTCCACTCCCAAGATGCCCTAAACTCACTGCCGGGAGTGACTGAGGTGGGAGAGATCAGCAAACACACACTGATAACAGGAGCAACTTTGACACACAAAACAAGAACTGAAAGCCACCCTCATCTGGTACATGAAGGCCTACCTAGTTGAGGAGTGTGAGGCATTCCACATTTCCACTCTCCACTTCCTGGCAGGGACCACAAAGTCTAGGTACCTTCCTTCCAGAACATCACCTCCTCACCACCACCTTAGGAAAAAGGATGCCTTTTTTGATTACCCCAAATCTCAAGATCCCAGCGGGGCTGGGATGAAGCAGAGGATGCCCTGGCCTTCCCACTGCCCATGCCCATGGGTGGGTCCATGGCAGCAACAGTCCACCTTCATGGGATGAAATGCTGGGGAAGACTGCAGCTTTAGAAGTGCCAAGAGACCCCATCTCTACTAAAAATACAAAAATTAGCTGGGCGTGGTGGCAGGCGCCTGTAATCCCAGCTATTCGAGGGGCTGAGGCAGGAGAATCCCTTGAACAAAAACGGGAGGTGGAAGCTGCAGTGAGCCAAGACTGCACCATTGCACTCCAGCCTGGGAGACAGAGTGAGACTCCGTCTCAAAAAAAAAAAAAAAGAAGTGCCAAGGGCCTTTGAGAACCCTCTTATTAACTAGGACCTTAATTCAAACAAATAGTTTCTAAATACCACAACTTCCTGAGGATTAGGGTCTCTGATGCCCTTAAAGAAAACAAAACAAACAAACAAAAACAAAACAAAACAAAGCAAAAACCTTAATTTGTCAAGACCCGGCACCTTGGAAACTCAAAATTCAAGATCTGACGTCTTTTGCTTTTTTTTTTTTTTTTTTGCACTCTGGCTGTGGCTATCCTTCCCTTGTGGCAGGAGAGGGTGGCTCTATGTTAAATGATGAAAGAGGGGCAAATAGAGGGATTTTCCCCCTTCTTCTCCCTCTTTCTTGCCAAATGAGGAACTAGGATGGCGGGCTTTAAGTTTAAATTAAGTTGTGTCTCCTTTGTACCTATGTGCCAGGCTTTCTACTAGGCAGTGGGGCATAGTGATGGGCTAGACAGACACGCAGAGAAGGTGCAGATGGTCTAGTGGAGACATGGGGAATTGAAGTTATGCCAGTAATTATGTAAATACAGTTTAGTTCAGGATAATATGAAAACATATAAGTAGATGGTTGTCCTCAGTCAATGGGGTTAGGGAATAATACTGACCATCTAGTGCTCTGTAAAGGGTTGAGCATAACATAGGGCCTAGTGCTTAAGAGATACTCAATAATGCCAATTCCTTCTTTCCTCTCTCCCCAAGTGTATGTGCTAGTGTATGCGTGTGCACATACAGTTACCACTGAGACTTTTTCTTTCTCTTTCTTCAAGAACACCTAATCTGAAAAAGACCCATAAAAACTCAGAAGTAACTTAATGTTGCCTGTTTTATGTCTTCTTTTAACTGTCCTACAGGCACCCGTTTTTAGCTACTCTGGGAAACTGAAAACCTAGGGTCCTTTGCTCCTAAAGCCATAAGGGCCCAATACAAAGGGAAAAGAAATATGGACAGTTCATTTCATACTGAATTTGGAAATACAGAGATCATCTAGTTTTGTCCCCTCATTAGGTACAAATAAAGAAACAAGACCCAGAGAGTGTGAAACACTTGCCCAAGGTGACAGTTTCCTTGGGTGACCCTTCTAATATATGGTAGCTTTTTGTTGAAGCTGAAATCTTCCCGTTAGCTGTAACTTTTCAAATATACTTAACCTGCTAAGAGGGGACACCTCCCCTGTTAGCACACTGCAAGCCATCTCAAGCCACCTAGGAATCCTCCTCAGTTCAGGGACCCACCAAGTAAGGGACCTGGGTACAGCAAGGGCCCCCTCTTTCCCTCTCTACAGAGTAGCTTGCTTAGTTTCAAACCCTGAAAACAGATACCAACAAATAAAATGCCTAAAGGCTTACATGTCCTGTTTATATTCCAGGCATAAACAGCAAATTTTTAAAAGGAAGCAATAAAAAGATCGCAAACCCAAGGTTAAAGATTTCCAACCCCTTTCCATCTTGGAGTTTTCCACACAGCTGCTGCAGCACTGGGTTTATATGTGGTAAATTCATGGAGTCTGACCATATCTGTAACTGAAATTTAACACAACAACCATGTTCCTGAGGGGGAAGATAATAGGGAATTTTCACTACTTTCGGAGACTTTTCTTTCTAGAATGTTTAAAAATTATTATACCACCTTTGTAATCAGAAAAAAAGAAAGGGTTTTACAAACACGAATTTCTTAGGGAAGATTTATTTCTTCACCTATATTTGGAGCAAGGAGCTGCTTTTAAAGCTCTGAATACTCTGTCAAAGTTCTTTGAGTAAAAATGAAACAGCATCTGAATGGAGCCCATTTGTGAGACTGGAGGCTCCGACTAGCCTTAGGCAGTTTCAGACAAGGCCATAATTTTCAGAGCAAGCTCACATATATCATTATATAAAAATAGACATTTTGTGGCCAACAGGCTGGAAAGCAAGCTCTCCAGAGAGCTCTGCCTCCAAGCTCTGCTTCTCCCTGGGGGTGTTGGGCAGGGGAGGAGAGTAAAGTTCTACTTACAAGACCAAAGTTTCCTCAAAATCCAGTGGTCCTCAGTCAGAAGCGGAGGCAGAATTTAAGAAACCAGGATTCAAGGTTAGCAGTCCAGACCTGTGGTGCGGGCAGGATTCTCACTTTACCCTCCTCTCTGTCTCTTCCCCGTGTCTCCTAAATGAAAAGCACTTTGAGGTTTTAGTGGGTGTTTCCCATGTCTCGGGCCAAGTAAGTCCCCATTTGTTGTAATCCAATGCTCAGCCTGATGATGTCAACCACACAACTCACTCACTCAGTTTCCACCTCTCTGTCCACAGGAGAGATCCATTTCCTTTGGACAATGAGCCAGGGGGCTGTAACTGCATCCCAGGCCACCACGCTTGCCTAATATCCTTCCTTCAATTTTCAACCCTGCAGCTTTAGTGACAAAAGGCTTCCTATCCACTCACTGAGCCAGGGTTCCTGGGTAAATTCCTTTGCTTCTTAGTGGGTTGTCTGCTTTCCTGTGTGTTTAATTCCTTTCTTTGGTATATAATATACTAGTTAGGGTGGAGATCTTCACCCCACCCCACACCCATCTCTTTCTTCCTGCCCAATTTTCCAAGTTGTTTCATTTCTCCCAGGTCTCCTAGGTACATGCTGGGCACAGTACATGAGTTTGTCCTTCATGTAGGGGAGGTGATGTGTGCCCCCGGGGAAGGCTTGGAAACAGCACTGGTGTGTCCCCTGGGAAACTGGGTTCCAGTCTTGGTCAGGCCTTCAACTGAATGAATGACCTCAAGCAAGTCACATCCCTCTCTGGACCTCAGTTTCCCTATCAACAAAATGCTGGCTTTGGTGCTTTCCACTTCTGAGATTCAATGAGTAAAAATCAGTGACTGGGGAACTTATAAACAAATGCATTATAGAGCATTTTACTACAAGCTACCCAACTACATGCTTGAGGGAAGGAAGAACCCTGGAGAAGTCAGAGGCCACTGCCCAAGATGCCAGGCTCAGCTGGGCACCTTTAACCCCCTTTATGAAGGAGATGAACAGATTCTCTGGGAGTAAAACCAAAAGAATTCACTGAACAAGTCCTTAGGGACATGAAAAGCAGC
This sequence comes from Homo sapiens, assembly GCF_000001405.40. Taxonomy (NCBI): domain Eukaryota; kingdom Metazoa; phylum Chordata; class Mammalia; order Primates; family Hominidae; genus Homo; species Homo sapiens. The sequence goes on along the minus strand of NC_000020.11, from coordinate 44,581,658 downwards.
AGCATAAACTACAAGATAAGACAAACAAGTAACAGGCTATAAGTGTCCTTAGGGACCAACATGGAACAGCAGTGGTTACGAGAGATCATTTCTTGCATTTGGAGAGTGCTTGATGGTAAAGACAAAGAACATCTCTCTACTTTCGTGTACAATGGGGAGCGAGTGACATGCATAGTGGTTAGGAACATCATTTGGGAGCCACAGATGTGGATCTGAGTCCTGTCTGACTTAATTTCTCTGAACTTCAGTTTTTTTAACTGTCAAGTGGGATACTAGTGCCTCTGTTTTAGGATTGTGAGAATTAAAAAACACATGTAAGGAAACTGAAAGTATTTGGTACATACTAAGTATTGAATAAATGTTTGCTCTCGTTGTACATAATCTCATTTGATTCTCATAACATCCTTAGGAGAATCAGATAAGTGCTATGAGGCTACATTATTAATCTCTCCTTCCTGGATAAGAAGACATATACAGAGAAGTTAGGTGACATGCCCAAGGTCACACAGCTCAAAACGAAAGGGACAGAATTAGAAATGAAGCCTCAACTCCTAACTAGGTCAGCACACATGCCACACACATGCCAATGCCAATGCCATTTCTCAAAGTGGTTGCCGCAGCCAGCCTGGGAAAGGAAACACTCAGGCCACTAGGTCAGAGAGGCTGCTTTCCTTGCTTTGCTACCCAAATCCTGTGTGGCCTGAAGCAAGACTGGGCTTCAACTAACTCCCTCAAAAGGAGCAGATCTGATCTGTTTCAATGCCACTTTGATGGTGATGGGAAGGTAGGACCGGAGCTTTACTGGGAAAGCGGCTCTCTATAGGTAAGGAAGAGGCTGTGGTAATTTGTGGTTTAACAAGAATTTTTATTAGTTCTCAGAAAACACAGATGCTTATCAGAAAACATCCAAGAAAACAGGCTATATTAGGAGGGAGTTTGTCAATCTGAAGGCTTTTCAACAATGTGACAATGTGACGTAGGACTGCTGTGGAATAAAAACCACACCAGCCTGGCCGGGCGCGGTGGCTCACACCTGTAATCCTAGCACTTTGGGAGGCCGAGGTGGGTGGATTGCCTGAGCTCAGGAGTTTGAGACCAGCTTGGGCAACACGGTGAAACTCCATCTCTACTAAAATACAAAAAAAATTAGTCAGGCGTGGTGGCGTGTTCCTGTAGTCCCAGCTACTTGGGAGGCTGAGACAGAAGAATTGCTTGAACCCAGGAGATGGAGGTTGCAGTGAGCCGAGATTGCACCACTGCACTCCAGCTTGGGCGACAGTGAGACTCTGTCTTTAAAAAAAAAACAAAAAACAAAAAACAAAACAAAACAAAAAAACACCAGCCTGGTAACCCACAGAGAGCAGCCGTTCACAGCTCAGAGAGATGTGGGCTTCCTTCTGGTCCCTAGACCTTCTTGCTGTGCTTTGGTTTCCCAGTGTAAAATGAGAAGAATAACAGCCTTACTCTCCAAGGTTCTTGTGTGGGTTATGTGCCTGGCACATACTATACATTGAAAAATATTTGAATACTTCTTGTCTAATTCTGACCATTTCATCATCCTTTGCCCTAATGGTGATGTGACAATGAAAGAAAGTCAGAGATTGGTCGGGAAGTCAAAAGGGTCCTGTATTTCTCCAGAATGTCACGATGAGTAATGAACAAAAGCCCACCCAGAGCTGTAAGGCCTGTTCTCAGCAGCAACACTCAGTTTGGAGGGACTGGAGGTCAGGGCTATTGTTTGGCTGAGCCTTTATTCCAGAAGACTGAGTAGGTGTCAGGAAATGAGGCTGGGCTCTTGAAGATGGGTGCTTTGAATCATGTTTTGTTACTTGAACAAAAATAATAGTAAGGAGCCCATTCATAAAAACAACATCATTTTCTTCAACAACATGTACTCTGTATCACTTCCCTTGTGAACGGAATAATTCTACGTCTGTGACAGAATCCCGGAAGACAGAACCATAGCAACACTGGCACATTCATTTCTTCTTATAACTGACAATACTGGACACACTTATGTGGGCTGGGGCCAAGCTGTGCACTGAGCACTCTATGAACACCACTTCATGTCATCCTCACAATAATCGGGTGCAGGAGACATTATTAATATTCACATCTTACAGCTGTAGCAACAGATGCATGGTGAGCCGACCAACCTGCTCAAAGGCTCACGGGAGCAAGGGGCAGAGCCTGCACTCTAACTAGGGACCATGTGGTGCCAGTCCTGAATCCACAACCCCCTTGCACTACCACCTCTTAAAGGGCTTCCCTTCAGGAAACTTGGCTGTTTTTCACAGACAGCAGCATCAGCTCCATTTGAGGATGAAGGAAACTTTGGCTGTTTAATTCCACCTTTTACCCCCAGTTTAGAAGGGGTCTCTCCTTCCTCTGAATTTCCTTAGTATGCTCTGTTTCTCTCTTAAGAAACATACCCTTTTCTCTGATGACACATATTTAGTTGGGGGCAGGTCTTTTTTCTCTGCCAGAATCCTAACTTTTTAAGGAAAAGATCTGTGTCTAATATAGCAGCATTTTGTACATATTATGAGATACTTATTAAAATAAGGAAATCCATAAACAAACCCCAAAACTATTATTGTATATTTACCATATGCCAGGTAATATTCTGTTTATTTTATTTATTTATGTTGTAGAGACGGGGGTCTCACCATACGCCCAGGCTGGTTTTGAACTCCTGAGCTCAAGTGATCTGCCTGCCTTGGCCTCCCAAAGTGTTGGGATTACAGGTGTGAGCCACCGTGCCTGGTTGTATTCTAACTGCTTTATATAAATTACCTCATTTAACCCCATAAGGATCTCTATGAGGTAGGTATAATTATTATCCCTGCTTGACACATGAGAAAATCACAGGCACAGATTGATTAATTTGTTACGCAGTGTTAGTCCGTTTGCACTGCTATAAAGGAATACCTGAGGCTGAATAATTTATGATGAAAAGAGGTTTATTTGGCTCACAGTTCTGCAGACTGTATAAGAAGCATGGCACTAGCATCTGCTTCTGGTGAGGCCTTAGGAAGCTTTTAGACATGGTAGAGGGAAAGGAGAGCCGGAATGTTGCATGGCAAGATGGAGAGCAAGTGTGAGAGGGAGAAGTGCCAGGTTCTTTTTAAACAACCAGGGCCAGGCACAGTGGCTGACGCCTGTAATCCCAGCACTTTGGGAGGCCAAGGCAGGCAGATCACCTGAGGTCAGGAGTTCAAGACAGCCTGGCCAACATGGTGAAACACCGTCTCTACTAAAAATACAAAAATTAGCTGGGCATGGTGGTGCACACATGTAGTCCCTTGCATTTTTTTTTTTTTTTTTTTTGAGATGGAGTCTCAGGCTGGAGTACAGTGGTGCAATCTCGGCTCACTGCAAGCTCCGCCTCCCAGGTTCACGCCATTCTCCTGCCTCAGCCTCCCGAGTAACTGGGACTACAGGCGCCCACCACCATGCCCGGCTAATTTTTTTGTATGCTTAGTAGAGATGGGGTTTCACCGTGTTAACCAGGATGGTCTCGATCTCCCGACCTCGTGATCCGCCCACCTTGGCCTCCCAAAGTGCTGGGATTACAGGCATGAGCCACCATGCCCGGCCAAAATAATTTTTTTTAATTAAAAAATAACCAGTTCTCACTTGAACTAACCGAACAAGAACTCACTCATTACAGCAGGGAGGGGATCACGCCATTCATGAGAGATCTGTACGCATAACCCACACACCTCCCACCAGGGCCCACTTCCAACACTGGGGTTCACATTTCAACATGACATCCAACAGCTATCCACCAATATAGTTAGACATCCAAACTATATCAGCTAGCAACTGACGGATATCTGTTGAAGGAGTATATGAATAAAGAAATTCTGGCCACCACTACCCACTTTCTAGTCCACACAGCTGCTGTACAGTGCAATCGCTCATCACCCATCAAAGGCAGGTTTCAGCTGTCATACCATTTCCAACTCACTTATTCACTGTGCCATGCAGTTAGAAGGTCCATGCTTTTTCTAGACAATTAATTGAGAAGTATATTGATTGAGATTTACGAATAAAAGTAGATTTTGTTTTCTTCCAATTATAATCATAATTGCTTATTGTAAAAAGATAAGAAAATACAGAAGAACAGGAAAAAAGAAAGGAGAACAATACATCGTCTCACCACAATCCTGGTGTAAGGCCCCAGAGAAGGAACCACACTTACACTTAAAACAATGTTCTTGGTCAAGCACGGTGGCTGACGCTTGTAATCCCAGCACTTTGGGAGGCTGAGGCGAGCAGGTCACTTGAGGTCAGGAGTTCGAGACCAGCCTGGCCAACATGGTGAAACCCTGTCTCTACTAAAAAAAACACAAAAAAATTAGCTGGGCGTGGTGGTGCACACCTGTAGTCCCAGCTACTCAGGAGGCTCCCAGCTACTCGGGAGGCTGAGGCAGGAGAATTGCTTGAACCTGGGAGGCAGAGGTTGCAGTGAGATGAGATCATGCCACAGCATTCCAGCCTGGGTGACAGAATGATAATCTGTCTCAAAAAAAAAACCACACACACATACACACAATGTTTTGAAATCAGAAACTTAAGTCATTTTTGGGGGATGGGGAATCAAACCCACAAAAGATGACTAAGACATTGCTCAACGTATTTTTTTGGTTTTGGAGTACACGTGGCTGCTTTTTCTTCAGGGTTCGATGTCCTGAGGATCCACTTTGTGGTCCCCTTTGGACTGCTGATTTGGTGTGTCTGAAGGAGAGCCAGAAGGAGAAGAGAAGCCTGACCCCAGTGATTATGTGGCTAGAAACTGGATAGGTTCGCAGGATATCACACTGTCCCCTCCCTGCCTTTTTTCAAACCACTTCCCACCAGCTTGAGATAAGTTTCCAACTACAGCTGTTTTGGGAGAGATGGACCTTCACTTAAACAGTGACCTTAACTTTAAACAGTCTTGGACTCATTGATTTTTGCAGCTGAAAGGAGCATGTGGTCTCCTCATTTTAGGGGTGAGGAATGCCAGATCCAGAGAAGGCAAGGGACTATCCTGAGGTAGTACAGCCTGGTGCTCCAACAGGAGAAGGTTTGAGGCTCTCACTTGCTACTCTCTATTGGTCTCAGACTCTCACTTGCTACTGCACTTTGACATACAAATTTGAAGGGCTCTTCCCTCTTATTTTGGTTAACTCCTACTCAGCCATCAGATTTCAGATTAAATATCACTTCCCTAGGGCGCCCTTTTCTCTGAGCCACGTTAGCTCCCCCTGCTGTACTGGTCTCATGGTACTCCTATGTCTCTTCTTATAACCCTTAACATATTTATAAGTACACGTTCCATGTGTTTCCCCACCAGACTGTAAGCTCCACAAAGTCAACAGTATGTCTCCTTGGTTCACTGAATACATCTATCCCAAGTGCCTAGAAGAGTGCCTGGCATAAAATAGGAAACTCAATAAATATTTTCTAAACACACACACACACACACACACACACACACACACACACACACTCTACTTAGTCCAGTCTATGGTAAAACATTAACATACTTTTTGTAAAAAGCACCACGTCTTCTGAACTACAAATTGGGCCTTTTTGCTGAAGGAAGGATCATTAGAGAACAAGGGATTTCATTTCAAATAATTTCCGGAAGATAGAAAAAGTTCAGAGAGGTATGACAACAGAAGCTGAAGTTTGGAGCACAAGGACAAGAAAGCACCATTGGAAATGAGAGACAAGGAATGGTGTGGGACCCCAGGGAGGCTCTGAACCTGAAGACAGCAGGCGTCGAGAAGATTCAGAAGGGCCAAAAAATTAAGGGATCCACTGAAGGTCCTGTGCCAGCCAGCTCCTCTATCCCATACCTGCAGCACACAGAGGGCCCAAAAGCTCTGCAGAACCACAGCCAAAGACAGGAGGCCTCTTTAAATAAATTGAATGAACTGCCTAGGATTGATCGAGGGCTTCTAGTAAGAGACTGGCCTCCTTATGCTAACACGTGAAGGGCCCTCAGTCTAACTGCTGCTCCTGCTCATGTGCCCTAAAGCATCTTCCACTTAGTACCTTAGTACCCTTCCAGTACCCAGCAGCTTCCCAGGCAGGGCAGAGGCCTATGGGACAAACAGATGAACTGAGACCTATCCCCTTAAAGAAGTCTTTTATTATTGATTGTGAATGGCCAAATAAAGCATGACAGGATGTCTGATCAAAACCAGCTGCATGACAGGAGTTTGAGACCAGCCTGGCCAACATGGCAAAACCCCATCTCTACTAAAAATACAAAAATTGGCTGGGCGTGGTGGCAGGTGCCTGTAATCTCAGCTACTCCGGAGGCAGAGGCAGGAGCATCGTTTGAACCCAGGATGCAGAAGTTGCAGTGAGCCGAGATCATGCCATTGCACTCCAGCGTGGGTGACGGCCAGCCTCCGTCTCAAAAATAAAAATACAAAAATTAGCCAGGCATGGTGGCGCATGCCTGTAATCCCAGCTACTTGGGAGGCTGAGGCAGGAGAACTACTTGAACCTTGGGAGGTGGAGGTTGCAGTGAGCTGAGATGGTGCCACTGCACTCCAGCCTGGGCAATAGAGCGAGACTGTCTCAAAAACAAACAAAAAACTGATGAGTCAAGAAAAAGCAGTATGGTAATGTGAGGTCCTTGTTTGGATCTGACTAGAACTAAAAAAATAACTTATGAGTTAAATGGAGACCACTGCTAATAATAAAGGATTATTAATTATTTTATGTGTGATAGTGTGGTTATATTTTTAAAAGGAGTCCTTATTCTCTTAAAAGTACATGCTAGGCTGGGCACGGTAGCTCACGCCTGTAATCTCAACACTTTGGGAGGCCAAGGCAGGTAGATCACCTGAGGTCAGGAGTTCGAGACCAGCCTAATATGGTGAAACCCTGTCTCTACTAAAAATAAAAAAATTAGCTGGGCATGGTGGCGTGTGCCTGTAGTCCCACCTGCCTGGGAGGCTGAGACAGGAGAACTGCTTGAACCAGGGAGGTGGAGGTAGCAGTGAGCCAAGATCGTACCACTGCACTCCAGCCTGGGTGACAGGCGACATTGCAAAAACAAAAACAAAAACAAAAACAAAAACAAAAAAAACATGCTGAAGTAATTACTGATAAAATGATGTCTAGAATTTACTCCAAAATAATCTAGTGGCAGGGGAAAATGGCTACCAGCACAGATGAAACAAAACTGGTCATGGGTTTTTGATTTTTGAAGCCGGGTAATGGGTGGTACATGAGGATTCATTATACTATTCTTTCTAGTTTTGTACATGTTTCAAAATTTCTGTAATACAGTTAAAAAAAACCATATCTCGATAAGCATATTATTTAGATATAGAGAGATAAATGCTAGATCAAACGCCTAAAAGGATCAAAAGTGTATGCCCTTGGGAGCAGGATAGGAGGAAGGGTAAAGAAAGGGTGGGGGCAGGGAACAGATGGTTTTTATTACAAATCTTTTATGATATTTGACCTTAAAAAGACTAAGGCAAACTATGTGCATGTACCTTTCTGACAAAAACAAAATTCATTTAAAAAAGGAAATGGGAGTAACATTATTTAGAGAAATAGAAGTAACCACCAAAAGAAGTAAAAGCAGAAAAATAAAATGGCTGCCTCAGGGTGAGGGGTAAGCAGGAGACAGATGCCTTTCTAGACTCAGAGACTTTTTAAAAAGTCATATTCATGTATTACTTGGATTTTTTAAAGTTAGCTATTATTATCAGTTGCTACTATCAGTTACTAGCAGGGCCTTTTGCTAATCTCTACATCTATAAACTGAATACTTCCTTAGGTTTAGAATCCTAAATCACCCAGAGTGAATATATCCACATTAAGTGTAATAATAACAATTATTGCTATTCAACTATTGTTTGCCATTTGTCAGTGCTTTACATATGTTATTTCTAATCCTTCTAACACTCCTGCAAGGCAAGTATAGATGTTCCCATTTTACAGATGAAAAGGTTGAGGCTGAGAGACATTAGCCACTTGCTTGAGGTCACAGTGTGGGCGAGGCCTGTGAGACTCAAACACCAAGCTCCTTCCATTACCCTACTTCTCCTTTGCATTCCATTTGTTCGGTATAGTCCAGAAAGTACCTTTACATAAATTTTCTCATCAACCCCAAGAAACAGGAGGGACATGACTATCTTTACTTGACAAATGAAGAAATCAAAGCTAGGAAAAGTTACGTAACTTGCGCAAGAATCCAGGCTCCTGATCCTTAATCTAGTACTCCTTCTACCATTCCTTATGTCCTCTCAACAACAAAATGTTAAATTAGTCATAATCTCCTCATAGGCATTTGACATAAGAGTCACTGCACATGAATGCAGCAATGCAGCTAAAGCAGGAATTTTAAAGAGAGAGAGAGGGGGAGACATTTTTTCCAAAGGAAATATACTAATAAACTATGGACTGTCCTCAGTTGCTCTAATGACAGCATGTTGCTGGAGTCCTCAAAGGGACTCTTGAAATGTCAGCAGCCTGCCTGCCTGGCACAGAGCAGATGAGTTGCTGGCACAGGCAGCCTGCAGCAGTTCTGACAACCAGTGCCACTCTACTTAGTTCCAAAGAAAGAAATGAGCCATGCGTGCCTCTGCCCTGAAAAAAGAACTTCTGTGCTTCCTAAATCTACTTCAGTCAACAGCCATGGGGCCCCAGGGCTTTTTAATAGTTGCCAGGAATCTTCTTAGATCAGCGCTACTCATCAGAGCAGAGGCATGTTTATGAAACTGTACATCAGGTTGCATAGGGGTGGGAGCCAAACGTGGGATAACTAAAGAGGGTGAACATGTGACCCTTGGTCATCTCAAGTCAGGGTAGCTGAAGCTCTCCCCACAAGAGAAGCAGCCCAAAATTTGGGCACAAGAGCCTTGAGCTTGGTGTGAGATGCTCCTCAGTCTGTGCTGGCATCTGAACAATGGCCAAGCAGCAGTTAGGGAGAAGAGGCTGTTTACTTGAGTTCAAACTATTTATAGCCCAGCAATCTGCACATATTTGGATGACAAATCTCTGGGCTTCAAGTAAGTGGTGCTTTGCTCCTGGACAATTTCATCAAACACACTCCCTCCCCACGCCACCCCCAGTCCCCCTCACTAACACATGTTGCCCTCAGGATGTTTTATTTAAGTTGCTGAATTTTAAAAGATTATAAAAAGAAACCACATTTTAAGAGCAAGTGACTTTTAATCCATTTATTTCCAAGTTTGAACTACATATTTTCTTTAAGGCTTGAATCAGAAATTAAATTATAATACATGTATATTCTATAAAAATATATATTTGCCCCATACATGAACAAAACAGTAACTGAGTGATGTCTATAATTTAACACGTATATTGACCTGGCGTGGTGGCTCACGCCTGTAATCCCAGCACTTTGGGAGTCTGAGGTGGGTGGATCACTTGAGGTCAGGAGTTGGAGACCAGCCTGACCAACATGGTGAAACCCTGTGTCTACTAAAAACACAAAAAAATTAGCCGGGTGTGGTGGTGGGCACCTGTAATCCCGGCTACTGGGGAGGCTGAGGCAGGAGAATTGCTTGAACCCGGGAGGCAGAGGTTGTAATGAGCTGAGATTGTGCCACTGCACCCCAGCCTGGGCAACAGAGCGAGACTCCGTCTCAAAACAAACAAACAAAAACATGTATATTGTCGTAAAGATGCTGAGGCCTGCTCAAGCCCTACAAAGAGAACGTTTCTACGATGATTAAAGGCTTTCAGAACAGATCCACAATATGTAATCATATACACGTTACAAACAAGAGGTCTTATTACCTGTGGAAGCAATGGTAGTGTACAGTGTTCACCAATGCCCATTGCCCCCATTGCATGCCATACAGGAAAAAGGCTCAACTGTAACAAACATATGTGCAGAGCCTTCTGCACAGTTTTAACTCACAGAACGTGTTACAGCCTTAACAATGAATTTGTTTGGAAAAACCAGTCTACCCTAAAAGCTGCCTTGTTTTTATAGCAAAAGCATTGCTGTTCTGAATCTTGCATCTCCCCTGACCCAGGCACTGCCTAATTCTAAAGACGAAAAAGTGCTTGTTAGTTAACATGCATGTTGGCAGCTTCCAGTCCTACAATGTAGGCAGGATGTGGTGTAAAGAAAAAGGCCAGTAAAGTGAAGACAACGGTTTATAGTATAATGGATGATGGTAGACAATTAACACAGGGAGAGGAAATAGAAGAGATTCCTAAAAGGGACTTACACATTTTCTTATCTTTTCCCTCTGCCAGTAAAGCTCATTAGAAGGTCCCTAAGACAATCTTTGAACAACCCCACTTTTTTTTTACATTAGGAAAAAAGTTCTGGTAATGGTAAAGAAAAAGAGGCATGTCTATACATAGAATGCAAATTATTTAAAAATTTTTTCAGGTCATTTTGTCATTATTATTATTATTATTATTATTATTTGAGTCTCTCTATCGCATAGGCTGTAGTGAGAGCACGATCTCAGCTCACTGCAACCTCCGCCTCCTGGGTTTAAGCAATTCTCCTGCCTCAGCCTCCCAAGTAGCTGGGATTACAGGCCTGCACCACCACATCCGGTTAATTTTTGTATTTTTAGTATAGACGGGGTTTCACCATGTTGGCCAGGCTGGTCTCGAACTCCTGGCTTCAAGTGATCCACTCGCCTCGGCCTCCCAAAGTGCTGGAATTACAGGCGTGAGCCACGGTGCCTGGCCTAATGCATGTAATGTTTGATCCCATGTTTTTATTTCTAGGAATTTTTGAATTATAAAACTATCCTTATCACTGAGACCTTAGCTGAGATGTCACTTCTTCAGAAAAACTTTCCCAAGCCACCCAACCTAAAATAACCACCCATCTACCTATCATGTCACTTTCTGTTAAGCGTCCATACAGCACCACTTTTTTTTGTTGTTCATTCATTTCTTTACTGCCTTTCACTGCTGCCTCCTCCTGTCCCACATTAAAATATCAGTTCTATGAGATGAGGGGCCTGGTCTGTCTTGGACACCATTCTTCCTAGGTGCTGCACACTAGCCAGGGACATTGCAGCAGCATCTCATTTAATCTTCACAGCCATATGAGGCTTCTGTTATCCTTCCATTTTAGAGATAGGTAAACTGATGTACAGTTTCATTTTAGTGAGTGGCCAGTAAGTGGCAGTCAGAATCTAAATACTGGTATGTATGACGACAAAGTCCACACTCTAAACTACCTCCCTCAGGATGATACAAAAGTTTAAATAGTTTAAATGTGCACACTTTTTAAACCAAACCATCCTAGTTGTGGAAATGTATTAAATGGAGATGATCACACAAGAACACATAATTAGATACATCTTATTTATTGCATACAACTTATCATAGGAAATACTGGAAATGTTTAGGCAAGTCACCAGTTAGCCATAAGGTTCAAGTTTACGTTTTGGTAAACAAGGGCCCCCATCTCAGACACTATGAGGATTTAATGAGACTATGCATAGTACCTGGCTCACAGTCCATGTTTTGTTGTTACTGATATATTTATTGATTCATTCGAGACAGGGTCTTGCACTGTAACTCAGGCAGGAGTGCAGTGATATCATCATAGCTCGCTGTAACCTCAAACTCCTAGTCTCAAGTGATTCTCCCACAACTCAGCCTCTGGAATAACTAGGACTACAGGCATGCACCACCATTCCTGGCTAATTTTTTTCATTTCCTGTGGAGACAGGGTCTCACTGTGTCGCCAGGCTGGTCTCAAACTTCTGGTCTCAAGTAATCCTCATGCCTTGGCCTCCCACAGTGCTGGGATTACAGGCGTGAGCCACTGAGCCCAGCCTACATTTAAATCTCTAAAAGGATATACAATACACCAAATTGTATATCTCTGGACAGCAGGATTACACGGGGAGTGTGCGATATGGCAAGGCTCACACCTGTAATCCCAGCTACTTGGGAGGCTGAAGCAGGAGAATCTCTTGAACTCGGGAGGCCGAGGTTGCAGTGAGCCGAGATCGCGCCACTGCACTGCAGCCTGGGCAACAAGAGTAAAACTCCACCTCAAAAAAAAATAAATAAAATGACAAAATAAAATAACAAAAAAAATAAAAATTACATGTTTATGTATATTTTATTTACAGTTTTGGAAGTAACCACCACAATTACAAAAAAGCATTAAAGTAAAAAACAAACCGCTTTCAGAAGGCCTGGCTAAAGCAAGTGGGGATTTTTTTTACTTTCATCGCTATATCTTTCTGTTCTGAATGTTTATTTTTGTGTCTATGTATTAGTTTTATAATTTTTGTTAAATTGGCCAAAGAAGGAAGGTTGGTGGAACTGTGTGATCACTAACCACAATAAATAATAATGGACTGAATAATGTAAATATAAATTTCAGGAGAGAGAAAATTTAGTCTTAGCTTGACTGGAATAGGTATTCTACTAGACATGTGCCTTATCAAAGATTTCTTTTAAATGATATTTCTCAGTGTTGCAGAGATATGAGAAAATGTAGGTGAAAATGGAAAACGGTACAACATTCCTAAAGGGCAATTTGACGATATGTGCTGAAATCCTTAAAAATGTAGGGGGGACATGGGACCTCTCTGTACTTGCTGTGCAGTTTCACTGGGAACCTACAACTGGTCTAAAAAATAAAGTTTCTTAATTAAAAAATGTAAATGCTCTCTGACCCACTCATCTTACATCTAAGAATCTATCCAAGAGAAACCACTATAGATGTGTGTGCAAAGACTTGACTTAAAGTTGTTCACTTCAGCACTGTTCAGAAAACTGTAAAACTGAAAATCCTTAAAGTCCACTATTAGGCAGTGGTTAAATAAACTTTGGTAAATCTACAGAATGGAATATTACACAGTCACAATAAATGATACTATCGAAGAATATCTGATGACATTAAAAAAAATAGTCACATAAGAGCCAGGTGCAGTGGCTCACGACTGTAATCCCAGCAATTTGGGAGGCTGAGGCAGGTGGATCACAAGGTCAGGAGTTCAAGACCAGCCTGGCCAAGATGGTGAAACGCCGTCTCTACTAAAATTACAAAAATTAGCCAGGCGCGGTGGCAGGTGCCTGTAATCTCAGCTACTCGTGAGGCTGAGGCAGGAGAATCACTTGAAACCAGGCGGCAGAGGTTGTGCCACTGTACCCCAGCCCAGGCGACAGAGTAAGACTTTGTCTCAAAAAAAAAAAAGTCTCACTTTAATGTTAAGGTGAGCCCCTATATGTAGAAGGGGCTCATGTCTGTAAAACGGAAAGTAGAAAAAAATGGAAGAAACTATTAATCAGTAGCATATCAGGATGATGACACTGTGGGTAATTTTTATTTTCTTATTGGTATTTTAAATTTTTTCTATAAAATAGTATTTTACACTAAAATATAGCATTACTTCTACAAAAAGAAAAAATACGAAAAGTTATTTTTAAGTTCCTTTGGAAAATACATACCAAGTGCTACAAAATGTGCATACACTGACTTATAAATGAGAGAGACATTTATATCAGAGTTATTTATTTATTTATTTTCAGACAGGGTCTCATTCTGTCACCCAGGCTCGAGTGCAGTGGCATGATCATGGTGCAGCCTCGACCTCCCAGACTCAGGTGATCCTCCCACTTCAGCTTCCTGAATAGCTGGGACTACAGGCATGCGCCACCATGCCTAGCTCATTTTGTATTTTTTTTGTGAGACGGGGGTTCACCATGTTGCCCAGGCTGATCTCAAACACCTGGGCTCAGGCGATCTGCCAGCCTCAGCCTCCCAAAGTGCTGGGATTACAGGCAGAGTTATTTATAATAGTGAAATAATAGAAATAATCAAAATATCAAACACATTGTCTGGCCATTAAAAATGGTGAAGAGAGACATAAGCCACACTCTGTCAGCCGGGAACAGTCTCAGTCTCTAGGGCCCTGCTCCTGTTCTTAATCCTGGGCCTGGCCCAGAAGGTGTGCTGCCCAGCCTGTGCCCGGCACTGGAAGGTGCACAAGAAACACAAGCTGGACAACCTCAATGAGGAGTAGCTAGAAAAGCCGTTGAAGGTACACTGAAAGTGGGAAGAAATGAGCTCTAAGCTCTGTTCAGGGACCTCAGCCTTGAGTTACGCCACCTGATGATAGGAATGGCCAAGATGAGTATGAGGATAAAGGAAAAGGAGAAGGAAAGGAGCAAAGTAGATAGCTGAAGAAAAGGAAAATAAAATAGGAGAAGAAAAATTAGGAGTTTTAGAACAGCGAGATGAAAATGAAGCAGGATTCCAAAAGGTAGAAATGCCCTGAGCAGCCTCTGAGCTCCTGAGCCAGGAGAGCCCTCCTTCAAGGAGCTTTGGTGAGACAATCACAGAGACTGAGTTCTTACGGGGCTGACCTTGCAGGATATCTGGTAGCCAGACCCTAGGGTCACAGGTGCTGCGCAATGGCAGGAATAGGGTTTTCTCTAGGGAAGTCTCATGGTGTAGTTAGATGGCTTTCCCCAGCCTGCATTTCATTTGCTGCTTAACTGCCATCTAGGTAGCACTAGGATCTGTTATCTGGCCCTCTATAAGATTCTGTAAGATCCCTACTTTTTTTTAAGAAATGCTTTTCTGCTTAAACCAGCTGGAGCAGACACTTATTGTTAGTAGCACCTGAGAATCCTGACAGATTGAGTAATGGAAACCAGAAGGGAATGCAGACAAAACTCCTAAGGAAATGAAACAGATCTTGGATAATTCATGAATGGAACATGCCTATTCATGTACCTATGGGTTACAACTGATTTGTGGAACATGAAATCAATTTAGTAGACTGGGACTAGCATATTTTTATTTTTATTTATTTATTTAGAGACAGTCTTGGTCTGTCACCCAGGCTGAAGTACAGTAGTACAATCTTGGCTCACTGTAACCTCTACCTTCTGGGTTCAAGCAATTCTCCTGCCAAAGCCTCCCGAGTAGCTGGGATTACAAGTGTGCACCACCACATCCAGCTAATTTTTGTATTTTTAGTAGAGACGGGATTTCGCCATGTTGGCCAGGCTGGTCTCGAACCCCTGGCCTTAAGTGATCTGCCTGCCTCGGCCTCCCAAAGTGCTGGAATTACAGGCATGAGCCACCATGCCCAGCTGGGACTAGCATACTTTTCAAAACATGAAACGGTATAGAATAGAATGAAAAGAAGAAAATGTTTCATTTACATATAATATATGATATGCATGCATGAGTCATAATATAAATTGTGCATCTTATTTTCAAAGTCAAAAAGTTTGAAAGAAACTGATTTACCTCACCTGCTGGACTTAAAAGGCAGAGAGAATTTAATAAGCATTACAACAGCGGCTAGTAAACTTTTTCTGCTTTTTCTGTAAGTGGATAGACAGTAAGTACTTCAGGCTTTGTGGTCTCTGTGGTAACTACTCAACTCTGCCACTATAGTGCAAAAGCAGCCACACACAATGTGTAAACAAAATGAACATAGCTGTATTCCAATAAAACTAATTATTTACAAAAACAAGTGGCAGGCTGGATTTTGCCTGCAGGCCATAGTTTCCCAATCTCTGTCTTAGAGAATGAGATGCGGGTAGTTAGTGGCATGCAATGTTGTAAGAGTTTTAAAATAATCACCTATTGGCTGGGTGTGGTGGCTCACGCCTGTAATCCCAGTGCTTTGGGAGGCCAAGGTGGGCAGATCACCTGAGGTCAGGAGTTCGAGACCAGCCTAGCCAACATGGTGAAACCCCATCTCTACAAAAATACAAAAATTAGCCGAGCATGAAGGCGGGTGCCTATAATCCCAGCTACGCGAGAGGCTGAGGAGGGAGAATTGCTTGAACCCGGGAGGCGGAGGTTGTAGTGAGCCGAGATCGTGCCACTGCACTCCAGCCTGGGCGACAGAGCAATACTCTGTCTCTAAATAAATAATAAAATAATCACCTATGATTGCCTGAGGTAAAGTCCATATTAAAGTCAGGGCTATTTCAAACCCAGTAGTAGTTGCTATAGACCAATGAAGGGCATGAAGGATATAAAGATTATGAATGGGCTAACTGCATCTAACTGCACTAGAAAACGTAAAGAAAATTATAAGCCCATGTTCTAGGACTGTTATGGGACAGTTTCTGATGTCCAGTATCTGATGTCACCAGTGCTGGTAAAGGCAGCAGTGGTGTTTTCTCTAGAAGAGTCCCCCTTAGTGGGGTTGACCATTTCTCATGGAAATATTGTCTGTGATTGCTTCACTTTCATCTGTGTAACATCCAAGCACAGATGTTAAAACTACCTTTCTGCTTATGCCAACTACAGTGAATTTTGTTGTTTGCTACTAAGAATCCTGACCAATACATGCCCCCAATAACACTTCTATTATAGTTCACAGCACTGTACATTATAACTACTTGTTATATTCTATCTCCCTTAGTAGATGGAAAATTTTATATTTTATTCAACTCTATAGTCCCAGCACTAGCAGAAGGCCTGACAAACAGAAGGCGCTTAATAAATGAACATAAGTAGACATTAGAAAAAAACCCACTAACACACAAAACCTATTGCTTTAGTTAGAATGGTGAGAAAGGTAATTTTTAAGTGATGCTTTAAAATATTTTCATAAGCGCCCAGGTCAAAGTTGGTATCATTCATCCAAGAACAAGTAGCATAGTAGTATTCGTATCAAGGTCAACACGTCCTAATGAAGAAAAAGAATTGCTGATTTTCTTTATTTTTATTAATGATTTTTACTGGTTGTTCAAAGGACTTATCTTAGACTAAGCCTCAAAGGTCTGAGAGGTTTATACATGTCTGGAACAATGATAGGAATGTGAAATCATGATCATGAAGGTCTGTTTTCTCCTATATTCACAGCCTATCTTATAATATAATAAATGAATGGAGTGTTATAGAAAGTTACAGAAAGACCACTGCCTGAGATGGACTTGGGATCAAACAACAAAACAAGAAAGGAGAGCCCTCCAAAACTGATCCTAGAAATAATGGCTAAAGCCGGGAACACCTGTAGTCCCAGATACTCAAGAGGCTGAGGCAGGAGGCTTGAGCCCAGGAGCTCTGATTCTCGCTGTGGAAAACACAGCAAGACCCCATCTCTAAAAAAAATAATAATAACAACGGCTAGAATTCACAGTAACTCAACACTATATCACAATTTAGAGAGAGCTTATACATAAAATGAAGCTGTGTCCTTTCATGACATCAGAAAAAAAAAACACTAAAATAGTACAAAAACGAGATCAAAATCATAACATGTCATGAGGCCAGTGATACCACGGTAGCAGAAAGTCTTAGGAAATGAGAAGGAACAGTGAAAAAGGATTCAGTTTAAAACAATTTTTCCCACCTGCTGTAGAGGAGAGGCAGTTTTGACTTCAGATGCTCATTCCAATTCCTTTGGGTGAAAAGAGAGTAATTCCTCACAATCCCATACCCTAAGAGATGATCAAGATACTTTACCAGAGCCCCCTTCTCCACAGTCAAAATTAATCTCTCCATCTGACTGAGAAAAGCGAGGTTAATAAGTAGTCTTTTACCTCACCCCAAAAATAGCTCCTGGAGGATCCACAAATCCAAATGTAAAAATATGAAACCATAAAAGCACTGGAAAAACACATGGCATATTTTATGACCTCACAATGGAGAAGGTATTTCCAAGTACTATGATATAAAATCCAGAAGTCATTAAAGGAAATATTAATAAATTTGACTATGTATAAAAATATTCTGCATGGCAAAAAGCATGATCAGCAAAATAAAAATCAAATGTCAGGCTAGAGGAAATTATATTTCCTATCAATATAAATAGCTTATTTCCTTAACCCATAAAGAGATTTTAGAAACTGGTAAGACAGACAGCCAGGTGCAGTGGCTCATGCCTGTAATCCCAGCACTTTGGGAGGCTGAGGTGGAAGGATCACGTGAGTCCAGGAGTTTTAGACCAGTCTGGGCAACACAGTAAGACCTCATCTCTACAAAAAAATACAAAAATTAGCAAGGTGTGGTGGCATGTGCCTGTAGTCACAGCCACTCAGGAGGCTGCGGTAGGAGGATCGCTTGAGCCCAGGAGGCTGAGGCTACAATGAGCTATGATTATGCCACTGTACTCTAGCCTGGGCAAGAGAGCAAGATCCTGTCTCAGAAAAAAGAAAAACAAGAAATTGACACGACAAAGATCAACAAGCCAAGGGCTTGATTCCAAGCCCTCCTATGAGTCTTCCCAGCTGGGAACCTAGACAAAAACAGAAACAAACCATCCTTGTTGTGCCCAGTCCAAACTTCCGACCCACAGAATCTCTGGAAAAAAAAAAAATCAGTTGTTCTAAGCCACAAAACTTTGGTAGTTTGTTATACTACAATAATAAGTAAAATATTGGATTGTGCTCTGCTAATATATAGTTGGGAATTTTTCATAGTAAAATGTAGAAATTTTCCTGAGTAAAAGGGCTTATGATTTTTCCTTTCTCATAATGTCACTGTCAGGTTTTTTGTTTTGCTAATCTCTTTCTATTCTCAGGAAGCATTTGTGTAATATTAATTCTTTCTCTTAAGTGCTTGGTAGACTCCTAGTGATGGGCTAGTAGTCTTCTTTAAGGGAAGAGTTTAACTGCTGATTCCATTTGGTTTCTGTTTTTTTTTAAATGGAGTCTCATTCTTTCAACCAGACTGGAGTGCAATGGCACGATCTCCACTCACTGCAACCTCCGCCTCCTGGGTTCAAGCGATTCTCCTGCTTCAGTCTCCCAAGCAGCTGGCACAGGCCACCACGCCCAGCTAATTTTTGTATTTTTAGTAGAGATGGGGTTTCGCCATGTTGGCCAGACTGGTCTCGAACTTCTGACCTTAGGTGATCCTCCTGCCTTGGCCTCCCAAAGTGGTGGGATTACAGGCGTGAGCCACCATGCCCAGATGACTCCATTTTTATTAATAGTTATATTACTAATAAATTTATCCATTCATCTAAATTTTCAAAATTTTGGTTTAAAATTATTCATAGTATTCATAGTATCATTATTTTGTTAATGAGTATACTATCTCCCTTTTTCACTCTTTTTTTTTAAGCACTCTTTTTTTTTTTTTTTTTTTGAGACAGGGTCTCACTGTGTCCCCTAGGCTGGAGTGCAGTGGCACGATCTAGGCTCACTGCAGCCTCCCCCTCCAAGACTCAAGCCATCCTCCCACCTCAGCATCCTGAGTGGCTGGGACTACAGGCACACACCACCACACCTGGCTAATTTTTGTAGAGATGGCGTTTGGCCATGTTGCCCAGGCTGGTCTCAAACTCCGGAGCTCAAGTGATTTGCCCGCCTCGGTCCCCCAAAGTACTGGGATTAAAGGCTGGGCCCAGCCCCCTCTTTTTCATTCTTGATTTTGGTTATTTGTGCTCCTTTCTTTATTTCTGTCTTCCTTTTCTTGATCAACCTAATCAGAGTATTATCATTTTTATTAATCTTTTCTAAGAATCATACTTTGGCTTCATTGATTTTCCCTGCTATACATTTGCTTTATACTTCATAACTTCTACTCTTTTCATTCTTTCTTTCCCTTTATTTTCTTTCTTTTAGAGACAGGGTAGGTGGGGTCTCACTATGCTGCCCAGGCTGGCCTCCAACTCAAGCAATCTTCCCATTGCAGCCTTCCAAGCAGCTTGGACTACAGGCATGCACCACCATGCCTAGCTTCTCTTTATCTTCTTCAGAATTATTTTGCTGTGTTTTCTCTGACTTACAAAATGTGATCTGACTTACAAGATGGATGCTTGCTCAGTTTTTAGCTTTTAGCTTTTCTTTAAGGCTATACACTTTTGAATCTGCAAATTCATCTTTCTGCAGTTCTAGAAAATGATCATCAATTATCTCTTCAAATATTGCTTCTGCACCATTCTTGCTCCACTCATTTTGTAATTCTAATTAAATGTATATTAAAGCTGGGCGCAGTCCCACCTATTTACCTGAGGTGGGAGGATCACTTGAGGCCAGAAGTTTGAGGCCACAGTGTGCCATGATCTCACCTGGGAATAGCCACTGCACTTCAGCCTGGACACTGCAGCAAGAAAAAACTTGAAAAAAAAATTTTTTTAAATGCATATTAGAACTTGTCACTGGATCGTTTTAATTCTCTAATCATCTTTTCTATATTTTACATTTTTTAAATCTCTTGAAGGTTTATTCTGGAGAATTTTCTTCTATCTTCTAGTTCACTAGTTCTCTCTTGCTAGGTAATCTACTTTAAATACATCCACTGCATTCTTGTTTTTGATTATTATATGTTTTGGTTCTAGAATGTCTATTTGGATTTTTTCAAATCTGCTGTCACTTTTGACAGTGTCTACTTACTGACTTTTTTTTTTTGAGACGGAGTCTCGCACTGTCACCCAGGCTGGAATACACTGGTGCGATCTCGGCTCACTGCAACTTCTGCCTCCCGGGTTCAAGCGATTCTCCTGCCTCAGCCTCTCAAGTAGCTGAGATCACAGGCGCCCGCCACCACATCCAGCTAATTTTTTGTATTTTTAGTAGAGATGGGGTTTCACTATGTTGGTCAGGCTGGTCTTGAATTCCTGACCTGGTGATCCACCTGCCTAGGCCTCCCAAAGGGCTGGGATTACAGGCGTGAGCCATCACACCCGGCCCATTGTGACGTTTTTATCTTGGCTTCTATTTCTTTTTGCATAGTAAATACAGTGTTTTACATTCTGCATCTGAAATTCCAGTATCTCATGGCTTTGATACTTTTGTTGTATATGGCTTTTGCTAATTCTTTTCATGGTATCTTATTTCTTTGTGAACCTGGTTTTAATCCCATGTGCTAGTGATTACATAAAAAATTATTTAGAGGACTATTTTGATGTCCGGGATGATAACATCTTCCTCGAGAGAAAATTTGCATTTGCTTCTGCCAGCTGCCTGATGGCATTATTACTTGAGAACCATAATGATGAAAGATCTTGGTCTACATTCCCTACACCTAGAAGCTTGGTGGCAAGGCTATTGTGAGGGTTGGCTTAGTTCAAGTTCCCTCTTATGCCCTTAGGGGTTCCATTCAAACTAAAAAAGTGGTTTATCTGATTCCCCATCCTTGACGGACAACAAGCTAAGAATTCTGTCCTCATATATGAAGACACCAAAAATACAGCTTAACCTAAAAAATGCTTTCTCGGGATCAGCAAATGCTTCCAGAACAAAAATGGCTTTGGTAGCTATGCTTACCTGATAAATACTGAAACTCTATACCTCAGAAACTTGGACTTCCCTTTTCACCTGGTGTGACACTTTGTGGCTTTTGCTGAATATATGGCCATAAATAACTTTGTATCTTGTAAGTTAAAAGCCAGTTCACTTTGTAGATGGGAGTGTAAACCAGTGAAAGCTTCTAAGCATGAATTACAATATACATCACAATGGTATTTATTTATTTATTTATTTATTTATTTATTTAGAGACAAGGTCTGGCTCTATCACCTAGGCTCCTGTGCAGTGGCACAATCTCTGGTCACTGCAACCTCCGCCTCCCCAGCTCAAACCATCCTCCCACCTCAGCCTCCTGAGTAGCTGGAACTACAGGTGTGCAACACCATGCCCAGCTAATTTTCTTTTTTCTTTCCTTCTTTCTTTTTTTTTTTGTATTTTTTTCATATTTTCTTCTCCGGGTTTTGCCCATGAAAAAAATGTTGCCCAGGCTGGTCTGGAACTCATGAGCTCAAGTGATCCGCCCACCTCAGCCTCTCAGTTTTGGAATTACAGGCATGAGCCACCATGCCCGGCGCTACATCAAAATGTTAAATATACATACTCTCTGATCCAGCACAGTCTTCTTGAAATTAATCTCACAGATATACTTACAAAAATGCACAAAGACATAAATAATTTTCTTTGCAGCAGTGGTTTTTGCTAGTAAAAAATTGAATATGACAATCTGAATATTCACCAAGAAGTGGCTAGTTATTAATACATAAATTATGGCATGTTTATACAATAGAATACCAATGTAATGGAAATGTATCATTTTTTAAGTTTTCCAACATCCAGTCACTTCTTTCTATTTGGGGGTACTTCCCCATTGTGCATAGTCTCACTGGGACTCTGAACCTTAAAAAATGACACTATGACAAAGGAACAGTTGGAATTTATTCCTGACAGTGTCCAAGGGCAGTGATGGCAACATACTGGCCTGGCTGCTTCAGCTAAAACAGGATGATGATTCCCTGGCCTGCCTTGGTTCTGATAATTTGGAAGCCTTGTCTGACACCCCTTCTGTACATTCCCTGCTTCTGTTACTCAAAGCCAAAAGGTTTGTAAGTGATACAACCATGAAGTCATTTAAAAGAATAAAATGTATCTATGTGAACAATAGCAGTAGAATAGTTTGTATAATATGATCTCATTTATAGATTTTTTAAGCAACCAATAGATTTTATATTTATGTTTGGACATGCATAATTTCTGGAAGAATTATCCAGGAAATTGTTAAGAATGGTTTACTTCTACGAAATGAGAATGGAGATTTAGGGGAAAGGGGAGAAGAAATCTTACTTAAATATTCTGCACCTTTTAAAAACTTTAATTATTTTTTAAAAGTTTATTTTAAGAAGAAAAACAGGCAGATGAGATGGACTGCTCTGAAGCTGAGATAAACTGAAATCTTTAGGTGCTTATACATACTGAGGGCCATTCAAAGCCAAAGCCCCCTGTCATTCTTTAGGTGATAAGTGATAAGGAATGACATGTGCAAAGAAGGGTTTAGGCATAACTTCAGCAGAAGGAGCTTTATTAGCTGGGCACAGTGGCACGCATTTATAGTCCCAGCTACTTGGGAGACTGAGGCAGGAGCATCACTTGAGCTGTGGAGGTGGAGGCTGCAGTGAGCTGTCATCATGCCACTGCACTCCAGCCTGGGCAACAGAGCAAGACCCTGTAAGAAAGAAAGAAAGAAAATGAAAAGAAAGGAAGGAAGGGAAGGAAGGGAAAGAAGGGAAGAAAGAAAGAGAAGAGAGAGAAAAAGAGAAAGAAAGAAAGAGAGAGAGGAAGGAAGGAAGGAGAAAGAAAAAAAGAAAGAATGAAAAAGAAAGAATGAGAAAGAAAGAAAGAAAGAAAGAAAGAAAGAAAGAAAGAAAAAAGAAAAAAAGAAAGAAAAAGAAATGTGAGGTTGGACTGGAGTGTTGGCAGTAGGAATGGAATAGAAGGGAATAGTCCAAAAGATAAGATGATTTTCTCTCTCTTACAATTATTTGTTACCCAAATACTTACTATTTTAGAGTGTCAAGCACAGGACAAAAGATATCTGAACTTTACCAAAATCAACCAATCGATCAATCATATAGTCCACATATCAAGTCTCAGTTCTCCCACCCACAAAATGGAGAGAATAAAATGCCTAACTCATAGGATTATTATAAGGGTTAAAGGAAGCTATGTATGTAAAATATATGAAGTGTTCCATAAATGTTAACTACCAGTACTACTAATATTACTATTACTACCACAATGATGAGGACAATTTAAAAAGCAACCTCTCCGTATATTAGAATAGGACTCAAGTATATCTAAATAGCATACCTTTCAGAAACACATTTACAGTATGGAAAGGGATGGCATAGAGTACATATTCATTGTCCTTTTTAAAAATATTATAGTCATTTAAAGACAAAGTTTTATTACTAATGACTAGTGATTTTATGGGGGTTATCTTATAGAAAGCTAGTCAACTTTGGAGAAATAGTGAGGTTCCTAGTCCCTCTGCTATGCAAAGGCTGCCTCCTGAGTTCTCAGACATGGAAAAGCCTTAGGAATCCAAAAGAGCACCAAGTCTCATGTTTGTACCATATACTCCACCACAGCTTTTTTTTTTATTATTTTTTATTTTTTGAGATGGAGTCTTGCTCTGCCACCCAGGCTGGAGTGCAGTGGCGTGATCTTCACTCACTGCAAGCTCCACCTGCCAGGTTCACGCCATTCTCCTGCCTCAGCCTCCTGAGCAGCTGGGACTACAGGTGCCCGCCACCACGGCTGGCTAATTTTTTTTTTTTTTTTTTAGTAGAGACAGTGTTTCATTGTGTTAGCCAGGATGGTCTCTATCTCCTGACCTTGTGATCCACCCACCTCAGCCTCCCAAAGTGTTGGGATTACAGGCGTAAGCCACCGCACCTGGCCTTTTTTTTTTTTTTTTTTGTCACCTGTCACCTGTCACCCAGCTGGAGTGCAGTGGTGCGATCTCGGCTCACAGCAACCTCTGCCTCCCAGGTTCACGCAATTCCCCTGCAGCAACCTCCCGAGTAGCTGGGACTACAGGCGCTCGCCACCACACCAGCTAATTTTTGTCTTTTTAGTGGAGACGAGGTTCCACCACGTTGGCCAGGCTGGTCTCCAACTCCTGACCTTGTCAAGTGACCCACCTTCCTTTGCCTCCCGAAGTGCTGGGATTACAGGGGTGAGCCACCGCGCCCAGCCCACCACAGTTCTTAGAGACCAAGGAATAAGGGTATAGTTTTTTTTAAAACATTTACTGTTCAGGAAAGGCTGAAAAATAGTACAAAGAAATGAAAAGTACAAGTCCCTCTCATTAAGTATAGATTACTCTAAATACACTGAAAATCCCAATAAAATCATTTATTTATATACGACCTTAATAGAATAGATAGATGCATGGCCCCCTTTTTAATTTTAATTAAGTACTCATATTGCAAGATGCATAAAACCCCCAGCAGTTTATTTTAAAACTGCAAACAATCCTGGAAGGCTTGAATAATGAGCTTGACAAATTGGAGACTTTTATTCCACTATCATAAAAATAATGAGTGGGGCTTTTTGAAAAGCATGGCATATTCCAAAGGTTTAGAAGAAAGAAAATCTTATGAAGGAGACTTAAACCTATATATCTAGTATTATTTTTACATACCAATTTGAGAAAACTAATAAAGCCAACAAATATCTATCAACCCTCTACTCTGCCATAAATAAAAAAGAAAAAAAGAAATGTTTCACTTGGAATCCAAATTTAGTACAGATCTTCATTAACTTACTACTATTGGCCAGGCGCGGTGGCTCATGCCTGTAATCCCAGCACTTTGAGAGGACAAGGGGGGCAGATCACCTGAGGTCAGGAGTTCAAGACCAGCGTGGCCAACATGGTGAAACCCCGTCTCTACTAAAAATACAAAAATTAGCCAGGCATGGTGGCACACGCTTGTAATCCCAGCTACTCAGAAGGCTGAGACAGGAGAATCACTTGAACCCAGGAGGCAGAGGTTGCAGTGAGCCGAGATCGCGCCACTGCATTCCAGCCTGGGTGACAGAACCAGACTCCATCTCAAAAAACAAACAAACAAACAAAAATCTTACTACTAATATTAGCCAAAAGACACTATTATGGCTAATAATTAAGTTTTGGTTGTAACATATGTGGGATAATGTGATATATAAGCCAAACACACTTTTTTTAAGCTCAGAGATTCAGCTAAATGAGAACAGAAAATAAAAAGATTATTTTAGGTAATAAATGATGTAGTTGTTCAGAGTAATAAAGCAGCAATAAACTTTAAATTAGGTCTCTAGGCTGGGTGTGGTGGCTCATGCCTGTAATCCCAGCACTTTGGGAGGCCAAGGCGGGTGAATCATGAGTTCAGGAGATCGAGACCATCCTGGCTAACAGGGTGAAACCCTGCCTCTACTAAAAATACAAAAATTAGCCAGGCATGGTGGCACGCACCTGTAGTCCCAGCTACTTGGGAGGCTGAGGCAGGAGAATCGCCTGAACCTGGGAGGCAGAAGTTGCCGTGAGCAGAGATCACGCCATTGCACTATTCCAGCCTGGGTGACACAGCGAGACTCCGTCTCAAAAAAATAAAATAAAATAAAATAAATAAAGTAGGTCTCTAATATTCCTCCCAACTCTTGGGTTTTATGACCTTATCACACAAGTATTTTCTTGTTAAAAAAAATGAGGTTCCCTAGCAAGTGGACAAAAAATAAATATACATATATGTGGAACAATAAAATAATCTATACACATATACACACACAAAATGAGTGGGAGTACTAAGATGAAAGAAATATTTTCAGAGTATGAACAGGATGCTTTTCAGATGAAATCCTCAAGTATCAACAAAGAACTGTGGGTGAGCTTAAATCATGTGGGCCTAAACTACTCTGTAACTTATCTAAAGCCAACAGGATGGTATCTCTGAATTTAGACACAGAAAGATACATGGTAGTTTGGATATTTAGAAGGATTTAGTTTAAAGCCAATGTTTACAAGAATATTTATAAACTTACATAAAACCTATAGAATTTGGCAAGCTTTGGAGAGACAAACAAACAATTCTGGTCAGAAATGAACTTCCTGTAAATAGATGTCAGTGTTTTGACAGTACACTGTTAAGCACTATTCCTTATAGTTTTTGTAAAAGGAATAAAACAAAGGTAGAGAATACACACATCTCTCAATACATTTTCATGTTTGTTTACTTGTTTGTTTTCAATTGAAATTAAAACATTTCTTAATTTCTAATACTGACGATAATTCTATCGATAGTATCTTTTCTTTTTTCTTTAAGAATAACATCAACAAAAATAATAATGACAACATCAACAAAAATAGCACAGTAACATGTTAAATGATTTCTGGCAGTCTGTCAAAAATACAGATATTAAAACAGATATTAAAATAGGACACTTAAATGATATTAAGCTTCAACAAATCTGTAAAACCCAAAACCGTAACAATTTTTAATACCCTACTCTCAGAAAAGAAAAAATGTCACATTACTATAGAACAAAAGTAAATCAATAAGATGATTATTTTCCTGTATCTTATCGAGTTGGGGGAAATCCTGTCTCTGTAGGTGCCCCCACGCCCCCTGCCCTTTTCAGAAGACTTTCTTCAAACTGCAGGTAGCCTGGAAGTCTTCCCAGAAAATCTTTGAAAAAACACAGTCTGTTGTCTTCTGCATAGACACTTTGGATCTTACAAAGCACTTAGAGGTTTGTCCTCTGCTAAAAACAAGTTAGGAAAACCAAGAATCTGTTTTTTGCCCCCAAGCTGGAAGCTCCTGCCCACCAGCAAACTACTGCCTATTCCAGCTCTGTCCCCACTGGTACTTGCCACCCCCTCACCCCCTCACCCTTGTCCCAGTTCTTAGCTAGCAATTAGCATCAAGTCTGGACCCTGCTCAAAAACCCATCCTTCCCCTTGCTCTGACTACCAAGTTAAAAGTTCCTACTCAAAATGGGGTGTTGGTTACATAGGTATATGCATTTGTCATGAGCATTTCACTATATGTTAAATTTATCTGGATTAAAAAATTTTTTAGGCCTTGCACAGTGGCTCACACTTATAATCCTAGCACTTTGGGAGGCTGAGGTGGGTGAATCACTTGAGGCCGGAGTTCGAGACCAGCCTGACCAACATGGTGAAACCCTGTCTCTACTAAAAATACAAAAAAAAAATTAGCCAGGCATGGTGGTGTGTGCCTGTAATCCCAGGTACTGGGAAGGCTGAGGCACGAGAATTGCTTGAGCCTGCGAGGCAGAGGTTGCAGTGAACTGAGATTGAGATCATATCACAGCACTCCAGCCTGGGCGACAGAGCAAGATTCTGTCTCAAAAAAAAAAAAATTTTTTTTTAAATTAATAAACTGGTCTACAATGCTCTGCTGTCACTGTTAGCTTCTCTGAATTTATTTTGTGCCAAACTTCCCTCTCACTGTCCTTTGGTCACTTTTTTCAGCTTCTCCAAGGGCAAGCTCTTCTCTCGACCCCAAGACTCATAGCTCATTTCAGCATGTAATACTCTTCAGCCAACCCCACATTCCCCTAACTAACCCTTTTCTCCTAGTTAATGCCTACTCACCCCACCAGACTCAGCTTGGGTGCCTTTTCCTCCAAGGAGCCTTCCTTCCTCCCCTCACCCGTGTGCACAGGAACATGTTCACATATGCAGGCCAAGGCATCTCTCTGTTCCCTTAGCATTTACTATAAACGAGCATTAGAGTATAAGGTCCATGACAGCAGGCACTATGTTTTTATTAGTCACTGTCATAACCCTAGCACCAAGTATATCACAGATGATCAGTAAATGTTCATTTAATGAATGTTAAATGAAGGCACAAAGATATCAGTCATTCTGATCTATAAAGCTTCCTTCACCATTTTGCTGATCTAATGTGCTGTCTGGCCTCTCTGTTATCTGAAATCCATCTGTGAAGCTACCACAGCTCTGACTCTAATACTGCTTGGGTTTCCTATCTCAGAAGAGCAAACTTTCCAGGTTCAACTTAAGGCAACCATTTTCAAAGAGCAAAATGTGTTTACTCTTAACATGTACACTTCAGGCACTTGTCTAACCTCTCAGCCAACAGAAGTGGTTTGTCTAGACAAGGGTTTATGTGAGATATTCACTACATGGCGTTGGTCATACTGGCACTCCGAGGCAGCATAAACTTTAGCCTTTCCTGGGATGGAATTAATGACCTGATACCTTCAAGCTTTCAACTTTGGAAAATCACAAAAAAGTAAGTCAACTGATTCCCTAAAAATTCTCTCTCTTGCAAGGTTGTTATGAGGCGGTGGGAAGAAAAATGAGAAAGATGAGTCAGTGTGAGTCAGTGTTAAGAAAAAAGCTCTGCTTCTGGTAAACAGTTTGCTCTTTTACTGACAGGACTAGGATTACCCGACTCCCACTTCTAAAAATACACAAATAACAGGTGGTATACATTATATAAGTGGTTCCAAAACACAGACTCAGATCATTGACTCTAAAAAGGGAACAGTTAATCAGCAATGAGCCAGACCTTCCCCAGAGCCTGCTTCTCGGAGAAGCCCCCAGACTAAGTAAGCATTTCCCTAAAGACAATTAAGATCCTAAATGCTTCCACTGCCCACTCAAGTGACCTAAAGGAATGACTGAACCTCCCTTACAATAACAACTACTTCATGAGCACCTACTACGTGCCAATAACTCTGCTAGGCTTCATACAATTCATCTTTAAACTTTACAACAATCCTGTAAGATGGTTGTTATTATCCATGTTTTACAGATAAGGAACCTGGCGCACAGGGGTTGGGTTAGATTTATATACAGTTGCATAGTGGCAGCACCAGATTTGATTCAAAAGTGCCTGCTTGTCTCCTTTCATTCCAAACTGAATTCAGAAATATATATGAATTACCCTGAGCAAGGCAATGCATCAGGTACTGCAGGGGATACAAGCTAGAAAAGGCTACTCCAATTATCAAGAAAGCAAAATTGGAAGTAAATGAGACTATGTAGGAGAGCTTCATCTCTCTATTTCCAAGATCCCAAACAAGGCCCGCCACACATAAGTTGCCCAGGAAATTACTACTGAAACATATGTGGAAGAAAAGGGAAACACACAATCAAATGTAACACAGGCAGTCTGTGCTTAGTGTCACAAGACAGAATGTGCTGTGATGATTTAGATTGTATCCTGATGGATGGCTTTGAGAAATACGCGCAAACAACGTGGCATTTGAGATAAGTCTGACAAACAGACTGACAGACAACAGAGAAAAGTAAAGAGATCAATGGAATATGTCAGGGGTAGTAACAGTTGAGACAAACCCTTTGGTACCTCTAGCAGCACAGGGAGAAATAAAGCTAGAAGAAACAGATTCTACATTGTGTTGGCCCTGAGTCTGCTTCAAGTCCCTTTTTATATAGAAAAGTGTAGCAATTACGAATATTTCCTAGCCGATTCCAATACACGGGGAGACACTCTTAATGGTTAAATAAATAAAAATCTGCTGTATAACCTTTTGTGGAACAAAGTGGTGGTGGTAGAATACAACAGAATAAATGAATATTTGTTTACAAATCTAGAGCATATGTGGTTGTAGAACTAAAGGAGAATTACAGATAAGTTCTACCACCTTTATTACCTCAACTCTGAATCATGATGATAAGGATTCTGTGACAGCACATTTTATTTTAATTTAACCTATAGCTCCTTCAGCAGAAGACCAGTCAAGTCAATGACACTCAACAGGCACAGCTGGCTAGAGGACTTTCTGGAAACGGAGGGGATGGGAGGCATTTTTTGGTTGACACAACAGTCAATTGTCTCCTCATTCAAATGGGCATTTAGTAGGTAGAGACCAAGATGTTAAACATCCAGCAAATTGAGGGGCTGTCTTATAGAAACAAAAATTGTCCCTTTACTCTGCTTGATTTTTAAATATCAAGATACTCATGTAAAGCTCTTTACAGTTATCTGAACCTAGAACTCCACTCCTTTTTGTCTGTAGCAAAGTACTTTTGCATGATTTTAGAGGCAATGTATTTTCCAAGAATGCATTTACCAAGTAAAAGGAAAATGTTGGGCCGGGCGCGGTGGCTCACGCCTGTAATCCCAGCACTTTGGGAGGCCGAGGTGGGCAGATCACAAGGTCAGGAGATCAAGACTATCCTGGCTAACACGGTGAAACCCCGTCTCTACTAAAAATACAAAAAAATTAGCCAGGCGTGGCGGCGTGTGCCTGTAGTCCCAGCTGCTGGGGAGGCTGAGGCAGGAGAGTGGTGTGAACCCGGGAGGCGAAGCTTGCAGTGAGCATCACTGCACTCCAGCCTGGGCGACAGAGCAAGACTCCGTCTCAAAAAAAAAACAGGAAAATGTTGCTTTGTTTTGTATTTAAGGAGTGAATTATAATGTCCATAATATATTTTCAAATAGTTCAGCAAAAAATTGAAATACACACATGCAGATAAACTATATGCAGCAAAATGTTAACAATTGTTTGGGCTAGGTTTTTGATACAGGTGCTCATTGTACTCTTGTTAATTTTTTTCCACATTTGAAATTTTTCATAATAAAAAGCTAGAGGGGAAATCTGGCCCTCATTAAGTGAGAGGTCATAATAGAGGTTAAGACCACTGACTCTAGAGCTCTGGGACCTTAGGCAGGTTACTGTCCCGCTCTCTGCCTCAGTTTCTCCATCTGTAACATAAGGATAATAATAGTACCTATTTCATGGAGCAGTTGTAAGGATTAGATGACTTAACAAAATGAAAGTTGTGGCTGGGCACAGTGGCCAAAGCTTTAGCACAAAAACGCCTGGGAAAGCTTCACCAGAGTCCTTCTCCACCATGACAACACTCCTCCTGCTCATTCCTTTTATCAAACAAGGGCAATTTTTGCGAGATTTCAATGGGAAATCACTGTGCACAGAAATCATTATGCATCCACCTTACAGTCCTGATTTGGCTCTTTCTGACTTCTTTTTGTTTCCTAATCTTAAGAAATCTTTAAAGGGAATCCATTTTTTTTTTCAGTTAATAATGTAAAAAAGACTGCATTAATATGGCTAAATTTCCAGAACCCTCAGTTCTTTAGGGACGGGCTAAATGGCCGGTATCATCACTACAATATTGCCTTGAACTTGATGGAGTTTATATTGAGAAATAAAGTTTATATTTTTCATTTTTATCTTTTAATTCAATTTTTTCCATGAATTTTTTGAAGTCCCCTTTTATGTATCTAACAACGCTTGTGTGAGAATTAAATGAGATAATATATATAAACACACAGCACAATGGTAAGCACATACTAGATGCTCACTACATATTTAAATGAAAGAATAAAACTGGTCCTAAAGATTCAATACATAAAAAACTAAGGTATACCTCAGGTGCTAGATAAAATTCCCCCAGGTCCTTCAGAAGTTAAAATTAGCTCCGAATTCCATTTTTAAATGATTAACAAGGAAGATCAAAGAGTACATTTAGATCTCTTCCTAACTCCCTTTTCACTGAAAGAGATATAATATTATCAAAGAAAAGTAAAGAATTCCTATAATTACAAAAATCCAAAACTTTTCTGTCACTTTCTCAAATGGAAGTTTGTTTTCTTTTGAGAAAAGATCTCATGCTGTTACCCAGGCTGGGGTGCAGTGGGGCAAACACAGCTCACTGCAGCTTCTACCTCCCGGGCTCAAGCCATCTTCGCACCTCAGCCTCCCAAGTAGCTGAGACTACAAGCATGTGATACCATGTCAGCTATTTTTTTCCATTTTTCGTAGAGATGGGGTTTTACTTTGTTGCCCAGGCTGGTCTTGAACTCCTGGGCTCAAGTGATCCTCCTGCCTTGGCCTCCCAAAGTGCTGCGATTATAGGTGTGAGCCACAGCGTCAAGCCTTAAATGGAAGTTTAAATTAGAAGTAACACATCTTCTAGTACAACACTGGCTGGATGACTACTGGAGATGATTTGTGCGGGAGCTTTTGAAAAGAAACATCAACAAAGTATAACGAAATCTCCAGAAAAATAATCCAGAAAAAAAGACTGTGTAATAGAACATTTACACAGAACAGTATATGGGGAAAAAAACGAACAGTTCATATGTCACTGGGACCAAATGATAGCTTCAGGATATTGCTCATTTTGAGATAAAACTGTATCTTGTACGTGTTTTTTTGTTATCTGGGCATAGAGTGGGGGTTTAGTTTGTTTGAATAAGTAAGTCTATAAAAGTACAAGATGCTATAAATCACAAATACTAAGAATGCCAAAAGTTTAGTATCTGAAAAAGCAAAAATCAAACTTTTAAAAAGTCAAATCCAAAAGGCAAGTGGTAGTTTTAAAAGTTTTAAAACTTCCTGAGAATTTAAGTCTGCAGCATTGACTTTCTGATCTGGGTTTATATAACTCTCATACCCAGGGGATGTGACAGCTGATTTTCTTGTCCAAACAAACACTGCAGAAAATTATTAAAACCATCAGGGATATTTCATTTCTCTTCCCACAGTATCTAATTATTATCTCAGACAGATATATGTGTGTGTGTGTGTGTGTGTGTGTGTGTGTGTGTGTGTGTGTGTGTGTGGTGGGAGGAGTGGCTGGATGAATGTCCTACATAATTAGAATTCTTTATAGTACTAAGGAGAAGGCAAAGTGTTTTGAAGTCTTAAAAGAAAACTGATTTTCTAAAGAAATTCTGGCTTTAGGAAAGTAGCTAAGTGATGTGTGGATGACAGAGCTATCTTTAATTAGGAGTTGAGCAAATTGTTATAAGCAAAATCTAGACAAATAAAGATGCTGTTTATATTTCAAAGACGGGGAAACAGACTGCTACAAAACTTGTCCAACACAAATCCCCAGCAAATAGTTTTCCTTAGGAAAACTATTTTTATCCCTTTATCAACTTGGTTGATAAGTATTTCATTTTCAGTGCATATATGGACAAGCTACATAAAGTAAAATTGTTTTCATTATTTAAAAAACATTTTGCAAACGGAAACAAAGCCTATTGTCCTGTAATGTTTATTTGCTAGGCTGACAAATGACTCTGCCACGAATATTATGAAGTCTCAGAATGAGAATACACAGAAGGAATTGGCTTGACTCCCGAAAAAACCTCCAGAAACATGGTCCCTCCCTCCAGACTAGAAAACCACTCTGGAAAATTGTGATTAATGTTAATTAACCCAGAACATATTTACATATATTATTCCACTGCCTGTGTGGGATAAGATGCTACCTTTTTTGGGTTTTTTTGTTTTTCTAGACAGTCTTGCTCTATCATCCAGGCTGGAGTGCAGTTGTGCGATCTCGGCTCACTGCAACCTCCACCTCCCAAGTTCAAGTAATTCTCCTGCCCCAGCATCCTGAGTAGCTGGGATTACAGGTGCACAACACCACACCCGGCTAATTTTTTGTATTTTTAGTAGAGACGAGGTTTCACCATGTTGGCCAGGCTGATCTCGAACTCCTGATCTCCAGTGATCCGCCTGCCTCAGCCTCTCAAAGTGCTGGAATTACAAGTCATGAGCCACCATGCCCAGCCTATTTTTAATGGAGAACAGGGTTCTCCATTAAAACCAACACCATGTTGGTTAGGCTGGTCTCAAATTCCTGAATTGAAATGATCCGCCCACCTTGGCCTCCCAAACTGCTGGGATTACAGGAATGAGCAACCGCGCCCCGCCAATGCTATGTTTAAGATGTTATTACTATTCCCATTTTTTCCGACGAAGAAACTGCAGCTCAGAAAGGTCGGTGTCCAAAGTCACCAAGTTAGTAAGTGCCACAGCTCCCACATTCAGCTCCCACAAACTACGCAGGAGTGATAGTAATGGTGGTGGGAGCACTTAGGCTGTACTCACCATGTGTGAGGCATTGTTCTTCCCACTTTCCTATGTCAACTCAAGTGATCCTCAAGACAACTCCTATGAGGCAGGTTTGTATTTGGGCCACCAGCCTCCTCTTTCTCTACCCTGCTCACCACACATGGCCTGCTTCTCTCCCCACAAAATCAAAATCAGCATCCTGATGTCATCATATTCTCTCTACCCTTATCCTAAATCAAAATTTGCTCTAAAATGCTGGTAATTGTTGAAGCTTGATTATAGATAATGGAGGTTTCTTTATACCATTCTCTCTACTTTTGCTTATATTTGAAATTACCTTATAAACATTTAACATTTTTTGCTCCAACACGGAATGTAAGCTATTGAAAAGGCTACAAGACTAGCTCCACTGACAATGAATTCAAAGGAAGTGTTACTGAAGATGTCTATGCAATAATAGAAGACAGTGACATTGATTCATTCTCTCATTCCATGAACATAAATTGAGCACCCATTGTATGTTAGGATGTACAGAGGTCCAAGGAAGGACTCCTGTCCTCAACAAGCTAAGAGTTTAGTAGCAGACACAAAATAAACACAAAGGTAATTATGGAGGAGGACTATTTATGAGAAATGTTATAAAAAGAAAAGTTTGAAGTGCTATGTGATTTGGAAAAAGAAATAACATCAGGACAAATTCCATTACATTGAACTCCCTGAGACATTCCAAACTTCACATTATTTAAAATCAGTGAGGGGCCTGGGTGCAGTGGCTCATATCTGTAATCCCAGCACTTTGGGACGCTGAGACGGGTGGAATTACCTGAGGTCAGGAGCTCGAGACCAACCTGGTCAACATGGTGAAACCCCGTTTCTACTAAAAATACAAAAATTAGCCGGGAGTGGTGGTGCATGCCTGTAGTCCCAGCTACCCGGGGGGCTGAGGCAGGAGAATCGCCTGAACTGGGAAGGTAGAGGCTACAGTGATCCAAGATTGTACCATTGCACTCCAGCATAAGCAACAAAGTAAGACTCTGTCTCAAAAAAAAAAGAACTCAAAAAAACAAAAAATATACTAGAGAAGATGTCTCTGGAAAGAAGTTCACCAGGGCACAATTTATAATGACCAACAATAAGGCCTGGTGATATTCATTTCAATTGATACACAGTAACCCATACATAACAACTTAAGAAACAAAGTAGAAGTTCTCTCCTTGATGGAATCAGAACTAATAATGGTATAACTCATTTTTTAAAAAATACAGTTAAAGAGAGGAATCATTAAAAATGCATGTTTATTTTCCAAATACTGGCTAAGGGATGAAAGCCTCTCCTCTCCTCTCTCCTCTCCTTCTCTTCTCTGAGACAGGGTCTCTCCCTGTCACCCATGCTGGACTGCAATGGCATGATCATGGCTCACTGCAGCCTCAACCTCCCTGGGCTCAGGTGATTCTCCCACCTCAGCCTCCGAGTAGTTGGGAGTACAGGCATGCACCACCACAACCTGCTAATTTTTGTATTTTTTGTAGAGACAGGGTTTTGCTGTATTTCCCAGGCTTGTGTCTCGAACTCCTGGACTCAAGTAATCCACCTGCCTCAGCCTCCCAAAGTGCTGGGATTATAGACATGAGCCACTGTGCCCAGTGAAGGCCTTTTCTTGAGAGTAAGTTCAAGCAATTAAAGTTTCTGCATGAACTACACTCATGATGTACATCTATGATTTTCAGTTTTTACTGGAATGATACTTGTGAAGTGTTCTGAAGGCAGAAACATATATGTATATATATGTTTTGGAGACAGGGTCTTACTCTGTGTCCCAGGCTGGAGTAAGTACAGTGGCGTGATGATAGTTCACTGTAACTTCAAACTCCTGGGCTTAAGTGATCCTCCCACTTCAGCCTCCCAAGTAGCTAGGACTACAGGGACACACCACCACATCTGGCTAATTTTCTTTTTGTAGAGACGGGGTCTCACTGTTGCCCAGATTGGTCTCAAACTCCTGGCCTCAAGTAATCTTCCTGCCTCAGCCTCCCAGTGCTAGGATTACAGGTGAGAGTTACCCTATCTGTCAGAATCTCCATATTTTTATAATTTTTTTCTTCAATCTTTTCAGAGGTCTCTTCCACCCCTAATTTGACAAAAATATTTTTTCTTAGCCATTTGCCTTTATCAGGTAAGCACATTCAACTTATTTTTCATAAAAGCAGTATCTTTTTTCCTTTTTCCCTTTACATTTCATTGGTTAACATAATATTTAATTATTTTGTAATCACAATAATAAAACTAAACAGGCTGGGGAACAAACCCAGTTGATTCTTATTGATTGTCACTGTTAGCAACACATTATGAACAAATATTTATAATGCAGGCCGGGCATTGCAGGCGCAGTGGCTCACACCTGTAACCCCAGCACTTTGGGAGGCCAAGGTGGGTGGATCACCTGAGGTCAGGAGTTCGAGACTGGCCTGGCCAACATGGCAAAACCCTGTCTCTACTAAAAATACAAAAATTAGCTGGGCATGGTGGGGCACGCCTGTAATCCTAGCTACTCCAGAAGCTGAGGCAGGGGAATTGCTTGAACCCAGGAGGTGGAGGTTGTAGTGAACCAAGATTGTGCCACCGTACTCCAGCTCAGGCCACAGAGCAAGATTCCATCTCAAAAAAAAAAAAAAAAAAAAAAAAAAAAGAAAGAAGGAAGGAAAGAAAGAAAGAAAAGAAAAGAAAAGAAAGAGGAAAGTCAATGTAAAAACTGCAATTTTCTCCAAATACAGGGTATAGCTGACATTGTTGGCCGCCTCCTGTGGTGGGCACTGCCCACTTCCAGGCTTGTATCTATTTCTCATTCTTCCACAGCTGCAGAATCCCTGTTTTGGGGAATGGCAATGTGTACAGCTAAGAAACTGCATTTACCAGCCTTCTTCACAAGTAAGAATGGACAATGAGATGTAAACTGAACATGGTGGTTGGGACTTAGGGTACTTTAAAGGGTGTCCTCTGCCCTCCCCTTTCCTACTTCTTCCTGCCTCAAAGACCGTTTGGCTAGAGAGCCAGAGCCAACACGTGCGACCACTTGGTGACTGCAAGCTGTGTGATAAGCATGGTGAAACAGAAAGAGAGAAAGATCTAGGCTGCCTGATGGCACTGTGGAACTGCCATGCCAGGAACAGACTATCTACTTTGGACTTAATATTTTTTGAGAGAAAAATAACCTGTCTTCTTTAAAGCACTGTTATCAGCAGCCAACACAATTCCTCTTCGACCAATCTACTCAGCGTCCATTCACCTACTCATAGAAAAAAAAAAATTTTCCTAACAGAAACACAATTCTGTTTCTGAATGGTCTAGAGATAATTTCATCCCTCTTGTAAATGGCTTGTTCAAGAACCAGGCCTAAGCCCATCAGGGCATCACATTGCCCTACTAACAAAAATTGGCTCAGGAATGAGCATATGACCCAGTCCAGGCCAATGAGATTCTAGGGTAGTTCTCTGGAGGCTTCTGAGAAAAATTCTCACTCTAAGGAACAATCTTTTTTTTTTTTTTTTTTGAGGCGGAGTTTTGCTCTTGTTGCCCAGGTCGGAGTGCAGTGGTGTGACCTCAGCTCACTGCAACCTCCACCTCCCAGGTTCAAGCGATTCTCCTGCCTCAGCCTCCCGAGTAGCTGGGACTACAGGCGTCTACCATCACACACGGCTAATTTTTTGTATTTTTAGTAGAGACGGGGTTTCACCATGTTGGTCAGGCTGGTCTCGAATTCCTGACCTCAGGTGATCCACCCGCCTCGGCTTCCCACAGTGCTGGGATTACAGGTATTTTACGGGTGTAAGCCACCGCGCCCAGCCAAGACAATCTTTCTATTCCTTAGGTGGGTGCCATACATAAATCTGGGGCCTAGGCCTACTGCAGCTATTTTGCTGCTAGCCTGAGGAAGAAGCCAATACTCTAGGGAGGGCACAACCAAGAAAATCTTAGGGAAAGAAGCCTGTGACAGTAGATTAAGTGAACCTTGAAGTCTGTCCAGGACAAGTTTGGCTGTATCAGCCAAAACATATACACGTTGCAGAGGTCATCTCAGAAGCAATGGAGTAGGTGCTGAGAGTTATGCAAATATTTTGAGAAGGCCAAAGTCAGTCAGGTCTTCCCAGTGGGCATGCAAGACAGGGCATGCGGTCTTCAAAATATTTCTGTGCCCTTTCTGTACGAGGCCTGATAAAGAACTTACTATAGAGTAAGTTTGCAAATATTGAGTTATTTTAGAAGTGCTTTTTGAACAGGTTTTTGCAAAAAAAAAAAAAGTTTACTGTATAAGTGTGCACGTATCAAAGGCTTTACAGTAATAAACATAACAGCTGACATTTACATGTTAAGTTCTATCTGCCAAGACTGTGCTGAGCCCTTTATTTCATGCAATCCTCACAAGAAACAAGGAACTCTCATAATATCCACTTTACAAGTGAGGAAGCTCTGAAGCTTAGAAAGGTTAAGTATATTGTGCAGTAAGTAGAAAGTGCCTGGGCCAAGATGTGAATTCATGTCCAAAGGACTCTAGGGCCTCATTCCTAACCACAACTTTGTACTGCTTCCTTATGAATACATAAAAGCACAGCGACCATTTCTCTGAGAGTGCACTTCTTCAAAATATTCTGTTCTCCTAACCTTCCTAAGTATACTATACTTATCACACCACAAGTCCCAATTTTTTGGTTTATAAAATATAGCTGCTGGGCACAGTGGCTCACGCCTGTAATCCCAGCACTTTGGGAGGGTGAGGTGGGCCTATCACTTGAGGTCAGGAGTTCGAGACCAGTCTGGCCAACGTGGTGAAACCCTGTCTCTACTAAAAATACAAAAATTAGCTGGGTATTGTGGCGCATGCCTGTAGTCCCAGATACTGGGGAGGCTGAGGCAGGAGAATTGCTTGAACCCAGGAGGCGGAGGCTGAGGCTGCAGTGAGCCAAGATTACGCCACTGCACTCCAGCCTGGGAGACAGAGCTAGACTCCATCTCGAAAAAAATATTATAAAAGAAATTAAAAAAAAATATGGCCACTATATTTAATATGTACCATATATAACATGCAGAGATCATCAAAAACCAATGAAAGTTAAGCCTTATGCACATAAGAAAACAATAGAATTATTTTATGCTTAACTGACACTGAAAATCAAGATTAAACCATCAGCTTTTTCTTTTTTTTTTTAAGTTTCATTCTGGTGATTAGCAGAAACACGGAGTAGGTAGGTTTGCAAAATCAGGACTGGGAGAAAGGAAGATAACTCACATTCATTAAGCCCCTTCGAGTGGCCAAGCTTTATAACAATTAACTCTCACATGACTTCATGAGACATTTTACAGATAAGGGAACCTAGACTCAGAGACCTTGCCCAAGGTTACCCTGATCTCCCTGAAACCCAAGTTCTTGTTCTTCTCATCATACAACTCTGCATTCCTATGAGTTCTAGCAATTTCTAAGGATTGGCTAACAGAGAACAATGACCCTGAGGCCACAGGAAAGCTCCGTAAGTTATTAGCCTCCCCGGAAATATCATTTTCATTTTCAGTTGCTTTCAATCTTGGTGTCTTTGGCTTTAATAAATTACAAATAAGAAAATAAGCTATACTTGGCCGGGAGTGGTGGCTTATGCCTATAATCCCAGCACTTTGGGAAGCCGAGGGGGGTGGATCATTTGAGGTCAAGAGTTCAAGACCAGCCTGACCAACATGGTGAAACTCTGTCTCTACTAAAAATGCAAAAATTAGCCGGGCATGGTGGCACACCTCTGTAGTCCCAGCTACTCGGGAGGCTGAGGCAGGAGAATCGCTTGAACCTGGGAGGCGAGGCTGCAGTGAGCCGTGATCCATTGCACTCCAGCCTGAGTAACAAGAGCAAAACCCCGTCTCAAAAAAAAAAAAAAAGAACCTAAAGAACCTACACTTAAAAATCTAATGCTTCAAATTTTACTTAAAAGCTACAAGAAAACAGGTATTATGTTTTATATAAGCCAATTAAAAATAATACATATTTATTTTCTTAGGTAGTAAAATATAATCAATAAGCAGCAGAATGTTAAGTTTTGGTACAAATATTCAAATAAAAACACAGTCTACCAGCCAGGCCAACATACAGAGATCCCGTATCCACAAAAAATTTTAAAATTAGCTGGATGTGGTGGCACACACCTGTAGTCCCAGCTACTCAAGAGGCTGAGGTGAGAGGATCACTTGAGTCCCAGAGTTTGAAGTGGCAATGAACTATGGTTGCACCACAGTAACTCCAGCCTGGGTGACAGAATGAGACCCAGTCTCAAAAACAAAACAAAACAAAAAAACCCATAGTCTAGTCTTAAAAGCACACAGCTGATGGAGAATCACTTAAAAAATAAATCAAAGTCTGTATTTCCTAGTCCTTCATTGCCGATGTCACTAAACATCCCACTGCTCATGTCCTAAGCCTATCCTGATTAGAAAGGGCAGGAATAAAATGAGGGCTACTCTTGCTACCATCATATGCATAGGAGGTCTGGCTCCCTCCGCTGAATTCCCATGCCTAGAAGCCAACCAAACGGCTGAGTCAGTTTCTCCACCCACTCATTCCTGCCTGGTCCTAACTTCCTTCCCCTCTCCAACCAACTAATACTGACGAGGCCCTACATTCCTTTAATGGTTCCAGTGCTGGTTAGAATCATTTACTCTACCTCAAGTATAACCAGAGAATCAAAAACATCAGTACGGCCAGGCGCAGTGGCTCATGCCTGTAATCCCAGTACTTGGGGAGGCCGAGGCAGGTGGATCACCTGAGGTCAAGAGTTCAAGATCAGCCTGGCCAACATGGTGAAATCCTGTCTCTACTAAAAATATTTTTAAAAATTAGCCGGGTATGGTGGTGGGCAGCTGTAATCCCAGCTACTCAGGAGGCCGAGGCAGGAGAATCTTTGAACCCAGGAGGTAGAGGTTGCAGTGAGTCGACATCATGCCATTGCATTCCAGCCTGGGAAACTGGAGTTTTGTTTGAGACTCCATCTCAAACAAAAACAAAAACAAAAAAAAACAAAACAAAAACATCAGTACATGTGAAAACCCCTGGAAGGTTTTTCACATAACTCATGTATCCAGTTCAATTTGACCAGGGGATTAATTTGGTCATTGGGATAACGTAATTAATTTTGGTTAATTGGTAGTCACCCAAGAAAGCCTTTAAAGGAAATTCTAAAATGAATCAATATATTGCATAATTTTATAAATGGATCAATATACTGTATTATTTTATAAGTAGCATGCTTGAACATAAATGAATCCTTGACTGGGAAACTTGCTATAGCACAGGTTGGTTGTTTAAATATTGGAAAAACTGGGCCAGGCACAGTGGCTCATGCCTGTAATCCCAGCACTTTGGGAGGCTGAGGCAGGTTGATCACTGGAGGTCAGGAGTTCAAGACCAGCCTGGCCAACATGGTGAAACCCCATCTCTACTAAAAATACGAAAATTAGCCAGGCGTGGTGGCATGCGCCTGTAGTCCCAGCTACTCAGGAGGCTGAGGCAGGAGAATAGCTTGAACCCTGGAGGTGGACGTTGCAGTGAGCCAAGATCACACCACTGCACTCCAGCAGCCTGGGCAACAGAACGAGACTCCATCTAAGAAAAGTAAATAAATAAATAAATAGATGTAATCAGTCAAATGCAGAATATGAGAAGTTGTATAGGGCAAATGATATGACTTTTTTAAACAAATAAATGGCAAAGGGGGAAAAAAGAAGAGGAGAAATGGCTATAGATTAAGAAGATTTTAAACAGGGGTATCCATTCTTTTGGCTTCCCTGGGCCACATTGGAAGAAGAAAAAAAATCACACACACAAAAAATCTCATAATGTTTTAAGAAAGTTTACAAATTTGAGGCTGGGCATGGTGGCTCATGCCTGTAATCCCAGCACTTTGGGAGGCCGAGGCAGGTGGATCACCTGAGGTCAGAAGTTCAAGACCAGCCTGGTCAACATGGTGAAACCCTGTTACTACTAAATATACAAAAATCAGCCGGGCGTGGTGGTGGGCGCCTGTAATCCCAGCTACTCAGGAGGCTGAGGCAGAAGAATCGCTTGAACATGGGAGGCAAGGTTGCAGTGAGCCGAGATCACGCCACTGCGCTCCAGCCTGGGCAACAAGAGCAAAACTTCGTTCAAAAAAAAAAAAAACAAAGAAAGAAAGTTTACAAATTTGTGTTGGGCCTCATTCAAAGCTGTCCTGGGCTGCATTTGGCCCACAGGCTGCGGATTGGACAAGCTTGATTTAAGAGATCATCAATCAGGTCTAATACAGGCACCTTGTTTGGATCCCAGTGAACACAGACCAACTGTAAAAAGACATTTATGAAAGTTGGGCAGGCCGGGCATGATGGCTCACGCCTGTAGTAATCCCAACACTTTGGGAGGCTGAGGTGGGCGGGCAGATCACCTGAGGTCAGGAGTTCGAGACCAGCCCGGCCAAAATAGTGAAACCCTGTCTCTACTAAAAATACAAAAATTAGTGGGGTATGGTGGTACGTGCCTGTAATCTCAGCTTCTCAGGTGGCTGAAGCAGGATAATTGCTTGAACCCAGGAGGCAGAGGTTGCAGTGAGTGAGTGGAGATCACGCCACTGCATTCCAGCCTGGGCAAAAGAGTGAGGCTCTGTGTCAAAAAGAAAGAAAAAAAAAAAGCTAGGTACACTGACACACATCTGTATTTCCAGATACTGATGAGGCTGAGATAGGAGGATCACTTGAACCTAGGAGTTCAAGTACAGCATGAGCAACATAGCGAGACTCCATCTTGAAAAAAACATTTTTTTAGAAAGACATTTATAAAATTGTTGAGGAAACTGAATACCAAATGGATATTATGTAATATTTAGGACTGACTACTGTTTATTTCCTTAGGTGTAATAATGAAACTGTGACTACAGGGGGGAAAGGAGGAGGAAAAAATCCTTCTCTCTTAGATGTGTATATTGAAGTACAGTATTCATGGATGAAATATGATGACTAGGATTTGCTTTATGATAATTTAAGGTGGGATGGAAGTAGGCAGTATAGATAAAATAAAAGTGACCATATGTTGGCAATTGCTAAAGCTCAGTATATTAGGTGTCTTTTATTATCTTTTCTACTTTTGTATGTTTAAACTTTTCCATAATAAAATGCTAAAATATAAGAAGAAAATAAAACCTGGATTCAAACTCCAGGACTTATTAGATATAGTATCTGAGAGGGATCTGTCACATCCTCTGATCTTCAATTTTCTCATTTGAAAATGGGAATGATAATCCCTACCCCACAGAATTGTTAGGAGGACTAAAATGATATCATGGATTTACATCTTTTGGAAATCCAGCTCTTCTAAACTGCAGAGCTATTTACAAATGTTAGCACAACAGTTAGCTCCCTCTGTCTGTAATGCTCTGGAAGTAGACAGAGACTACAGGTTTGTGGGAGTGGAGCTAAGTGACGGGCTGAATCCATCTGGACCCTCCAAATTTTCATTTTGTAAGAGTTCCTTAATATGACACTGTATACCTTATATTGTCCTTTTTCTCTCAAAAGGAGGCTGTCAGAATTCAGTAAAATGTGAAAAATTTTAAATTTTAAAATTTTAACAGAATTGTGACATACTCTACCTTGAATTATTTTTGTTTCATTTATTTTCCCAATTATTCATACTTCTCCTACTAAAGTCAGAAAGTATATTTACAGGATGGCTGGGTGCAGTGGCTCACACCTATAATCCCAGCACTTTGGGAGGCCAAGATGGGTGGATCATCTGAGTTCAGGAGTTTGAGACCAGCCTGGCCAATATGGTGAAACCCTGTCTCTACTAAAAATGAAAAAAAAAAAAAAAATAGCCGGTGTGGTGGTGTGTGCCTGTAATCCCAGCTACTTGGGACGCTGAGGCAGGAGAATCACTTGAACCTCAAAGGCGAAGGGTGCAGTGAGCCAAAATCGCACCACTGCACTCCAGCCTGAGGGACAG
Source organism: Homo sapiens (assembly GCF_000001405.40). Taxonomy (NCBI): domain Eukaryota; kingdom Metazoa; phylum Chordata; class Mammalia; order Primates; family Hominidae; genus Homo; species Homo sapiens. The sequence goes on along the minus strand of NC_000020.11, from coordinate 44,537,611 downwards.
AGTGAGACTCTGTCTCAAAAAAAAAAAAAAGTAAGTATATTTACAGGAGACTGTGTTATTGAGATAAAACTGAACACAGGCAGGGCACGGTGGCTCACGCCTGTAATCCCAGCACTTTGGGAGGCCGAGGCAGGCAGATCACTTGAGGTCAGGAGTCAAGACCAGCCTGGCCAACATGGTGAAACCCCATTTCTATAAAAATACAAAAATGCCAGGAGCAGTGGCTCACACCTGTAATCACAGCACTTTGGGAGGCCAAGGCGAGTGGATCACCTGAGGTTGGGAGTTCAAGACCAGCCTGACCAACATGGAGAATGCTGTCTCTACTAAAAATACAAAATTAGCCGGGCGTGGTGGCGCGTGCCTGTAATCCCAGCTACTCAGGAGGCTGAGGCATGAGAATCGCTTGAACCCAGGAGGTGGCAGTTGCGGTGAGCCAAGATCGTACCATTGTACTCCAGCCTGGGCGATAAGAGTGAAACTCCATCTCAAAAAAAATAATAATAATACAAAAATTAGCCGGGCATAATGGCAAGTGCTTGTAATCCCAGCTACTTGGGAGGCTGAGGCAGGAGAATTGCTTGAACCTGGGAGGCGGAGGCTGCAGTGAACTGAGATGGTGCCATTGCACTCCAGCCTGCACAACAGAGCGAGACTCCGTCTCAAAAAACACACACAAAAAAACAAAAAACAAAAAAACACACACTAAAACATTGTTTAAAATATTCCAGGTGCTTTTAGAATAATAGATATGTGTACTTCAGTACTAAAGGTTCATCTCAAATAAAAGGAAATTAACAGAAGTTCAAGTATAAGCAACACAAAGGGATACCTGGCACTATCTGCCTTCAGTTTAAAGAATGGTTGGAAAGAGCCAGTGTCATCTCTCTATGTGCAAATCAGATCAAGTCATTTCACTTCCTTTCAATGGTTTCTCTCCACCTTCTAGAAGTCCAAACTGCTAAACAAAGGCTTGGGTGGCTCTCCAGCCTTATTTCCTCCCTCCTCCCCTAGTCAAAGCCCCACCAGGACTGATGCCCCTTCCCACCAGAGGCCAGGAAAGCTTCATCTTCCACTCCTCTCTCCCTTACCTCTTGTTGGTCAAGTCCTGTTGATTCTCCTTCTGAAATGTCTCTCAAATCTGCCCTCTCCTTTCCCTTTCCGCTGCCACTGCCCTTTTTTACCCTTATTTCCCCAGCCTCCTAAAGAAGATACTTCCTCATTTTTTTTCTGATTATGAAGGCAATTCATGCTCATAAAAAAGGAAAATTAGGGCAATGAGGAACAGAATAAAAGTTTCCCCATGATCTCATAAACAGCTTACCTTTCTAGTACACTTATGTTTCACTGCAGTATTATTCACAATAGCCAAAAGATGGAAGCAACTCAAAGTGACCATCGATGAATGGATAAACAAAGTGCGGTATAAACATGCAATGGAATATTATTCAGCCTTACAAAAAGAATGAAATTCTGACACATGCTACACAACAAGGATGAACCTTGAGGACACTATGCTAGTGAAATAAGCCCGTCACAGAAAGACAAATAATGCAAGATTCCACTAACACGATGTATCCAGAGTAACCAAACACATAGAAAACAAAAGTAGAATGGGTGCTGCCAAGGGCTGGTGGGGAGGCGGAAATGGGGAGCTAAACCTATTAAAGGTATAGTTTGGCTTTTGCACTTTTGCAAGATGAAAAAGTCATGCAGATTGGTTGCACAGCATGAATACACTTAATACTACAAAACTGTAAACTTAAAAATCGTTAAGATGGTAAATTTTATCACAATTAAAGATTTAACATTTTTAAAAAGAACTAGTATTTCCAGACATTTTTATTATAAACATGTATACATTTAAGAAAACAGTAACATACTGTACCGTAATCTGCTTTTTACACCTAACCACATAATGTAAACATCTTTCTAATATATATAGCTCCCACCTAACTGTCCTTTTTTTTGAGATGGAGTTTTGCTCTTGTCACCCAGGCTGGAGTGCAATGGTACAATCTCAGCTCACTGCAACCTCTGCCTCCCAGGTTGAAGAGAATCTCCTGCCTCAGTTTCCCAAGTAGCTGGGACTACAGGCGTGCACCACTACACCCAGCTAATTTTTGTATTTTTAGCAGAGATGGGGTTTCACCATGTTGACCAGGCTAGTCTCAAACTCCTCACCTCAGATAATCTGCCCGCCTTGGCCTCCCAAAGTGCTGGGATTACAGGCGTAAGCCACCGTGCCAGGCCAATTTTTCAATTTTATAAAAACATGATAGTCAATATCTCATGATGTCTTATGATAGACACCTGTTTTTTTTTTAACCTACCCCTTCTCCAGTATCAATACTCTGATGTTCCCATGGGAAAACTACTTTACCTTACTCATCCTGTCATCCCATCCCCATGCCCAGCCAACTCTTACTCTGTGTGGCTAAGCTGGGTACATGTATTTTTAAGTTTATTTCTAAGTATTTATTTTTCATGTTGCTATTGTCAGTTCTCCTACAATTACATTTTCTATTTTTGTTTGCATAAAGCTATTGCTTTTTGTCTATCTTATAACTGCTGTTCACTTAGCCTTATTATATCTAAGTATTTTTAGTTTAATTCTCTTGAATTTTCTCAGCAGACAATCATATCACAGGTAGAGATTTATATCATCCAGGTAGTGGTTAAGAGTAAAAGCTCTGGGTTCAGGTAAACCTAGATTCAAATACTGTGTGACCCTGAGTGAGCATGTTACCTCAGTTTCTTTATCCATAAATTTGCAATTATTAGAGGGCCTATCTCACAGGGTTGTTGTAAACATCACATTATTCATTAAGAACGGTGCATGAGGCCGGGCGCAGTGGCTCATGCCTGTAATCCTAGCATCTTGGGAGGCCGATGCGGGTGGATCACTTGAGGTCTGGAGTTCGAGACCAGCCTGGTCAACATGGCAAAACCTCATCTCTACTAAAAATACAAAAATTAGCTGAGTGTGGTGGCTCGCACCTGTATTCCCAGCTACTTGGGGGGCTGAGGCAGGTGGATCGCTTGAGCACAGGAGGCAGAGGCTGCAGTGAGCCAAGATTGCACCACTACACTCCAGCATGGGCGACAGAGTGATACCCTGTCCCAAAAAAAAAAAAAAGAATGGTGCATGAAAAGTACTTAACACAATACTAGTTCAATAAATGCCTGCTATCTGCCGACAATGAAAATTGTGACTTTCCTTCCACACTTATACCTTTATTTATTTTTGTTGCATTACACTGGTGCACTCCTTTCAGGAATAACCTGGCTTCCCACGTCTCCAAAAAGTAACAGGCATCAGACTCCTATTGAAGGATCTGTACTGTGGAGCTCCTCCACTCCCACCTTCTCAGGAAAGTTATACTATCAATTCTCCCTTTCATATCCTGTGTCTTCTCAGCCTTTCTCTCTCTCCACTGGCTCTTTGCCAACAGCATTTAATCTCTCTCATGCTCAAAAAAACTTCACCTATTCCCCAATCGCTCCTCAGCCTTCTCTCTACCTCCCTTCGCAGCCAAACTTCTCTGAGCTGCCTACACTTTGTCTTTCTCACATCCCACTCTTAACTCATCCCACTGATATATTATATTGAACCTTTGAAAGCTGCTGATATTATAGATTCCGCCCCAACCATTTCACCAAATCTGCTCAATGAGGTCCCAACCGACCTCCATATTTATTTACCCAAAAGGACACATTTTAATTTTTAACTTGTATTACTCGACATCTCAGCAACATCTACAAAGGCCAACCAACCTCTCCCTTTGGCCTTCATTACTATACTTTGCTGGTTTCTCTCCTGTTCCTGTTTCTCTAGCCATTTCTTTTAGTGTAGACTAAGTGCATGGCTCATTCTTCCAAGAGTATGCAATGCAGTAGCCCTGAATAATCTCAGCCTTTTTTTTTTTGTCAACCTCTCTGGATGGATCTCTTTCAATATTGATCTTTAAGTTCCAGTTGTAGTGGACTGCTTTTGGCTCCATGAATGTACTTTTGAAAATGTTTGGAACATCCCCACGATAGCTAACTCAGACTACACCCTCCATACATTTTATCAAAACTCTACCTGAATCTCCAAACTATGCTAGATTGATCTTAACATGCGCCCCCTTTCACAATTCTCATCACAATTATAATCACTTGTTTGATGAATATTTTCTCCACCAATCTGTGATCTCCTTGAGGGCAGGGACCTGCTTCCTTACTACCTACACAGTGCCTTGCACATAGAAGAAGATGCTCATTAAATATTTTTTGAATTAGCCAGGTGCAGTGGTGTGCACCTGCAGTCCCAGCTGCTTGGGAGGCTGAGACAGGAGGATCACTTGAGCCCAGGAATCTGAGACCAGCCTGGGCAACATAGTGAGACCTCATCTCAACAATAAATACATACACGCACACACTGTCACACACACACATATATATGAATCACCACAAATGAATGCCTGCAAAGTGAAAAACAGATGGGAGGAATGATAAGACCAAGAGAGAAACACAAAAAACTGATCTTTCTGAAACTATACCTCTGATCAAAGACACACACCTCCGGCTTAAAACCCTTTGATGGCTTCCCACTGCCCCCAACACAAAGCCCAAACTCCTCCACACTTACAGTCTTTCAGGAGGAGCACCTGCTTGTCTCTCAAACACCATCTAGCCAGACCCCCTCCAACTCTCATAATCTGCTCTCCAGCTAGCCTGAAATCCTTGCAGATTCCCAAGAAGTCTGCACTCTCTCCCCAAGGCTTTTCTCTACCTACTTTCTCTACCTGCTTTATCTACCCACAGCAAGGTACACTCCACCAGCCTCATCTTCTGGCCAACATAAAGACAGCCTTCATGTCTCATTTTGGAAGTCACCTTCTTTTGGCATCTCTCCCTGATCATCCACACTAACCTCACCTCCAGAAATCCAGGTTAACTGTTTTCTCTGTGCATTCACAGCCCCCCTGTATGTCCAAAATCATAACCGGAATCACTGTGAATTCTTGTTTACGAGTCTGTCTCCTCCGGAAAACTGTGGAGTTCCCTCAGGACACGATGTCTCTCGTTCACTTTTTTACCCTGGCTATCAGCCCGGGCCGTGGCTCACAATAAATGCTCAGTGATGGTCCTCCTTGTAGTAGTAGTAATAATAAAAGCTCCCATGTATTGAGGGCTTACCTCCACGAATTTTAAATATAAATTTACCTTGTAATAACGTCATCAGACAGGTGCTACCATGATTCCCATTTTGCAGACGATAAAACTGACGCACAAAGAAGTCAATCCTCTCTGGCCCCAGAAGAGTCACACACACAAATAAATTTTCTGCACAGTTTTGAGTTATTTTCTGGCCCCCAAACAAGAAGGGATTTTTTTTTTAAGAAACTTTCGAATGAGGTCGACCAATGGCTACAAATATAATAAACAGCCGAAAACGGACTCTCCCTGAACGCGGGGCGGGGTCAAAGGGCGTCGGGGGCGCCGTCCCCGGCGCGGCTGAGGGACAAAGATCGGGCCGCAGCCTCCCTCCCCGGGATCCCCGGCGGCTCAGCCCCTCGCCCCCTGCGACGTGTCGACGCCAGGCCCGGAGCGTTGGGGCCGCAACCGGCCGCCCGGCTCCTGCTCACCTGCGGTCTCGCCGCCTCTCCGTGCCTGGGCCGCCGGTCCGCAGCGCCTCCCCGGGGCAGCCTAGCGCCCGCAGCCCGCAACCCGCAGCGGAGCCCGTTGCCTTGGCGACCTGGGCTGCCGAACTCCCGCGGCACTCGCGCTACGGCGGCTCGGATGGGACCAGGACGGTTCGCGTCCCCTTCCGCAGCCGCGGAGGGGGCAGAGGAGGGACGAAGTGGGAGTCGAGGGCTGAGCTGCGAAGGAGGGATCCGGGTTGGAACTTGGCCCGGGGAAGATACGGAAAGGGGGACAGTGAGGCCAAGGGGAGGTCTTGGGCCGCGGGTGCTGCTTGTGCCTCAGTTTATCTCTCTGTAACCTCAAATGGGGACCGTGCGAGGAGGAGACAGGGCCTCAGGTGGTGGCTTGGTAGACTGGGTTTTTGTTATTTTGTTTTTGTTTTTGTTTTGAGACAGAATCTCACTCTGTCGCCCAGGCTGGAGTGCAGTGGCGCAATCTCGGTTCACTGCAACCTCTGCCCCCTGGGTTTGAGCGATTCTCATGCCTCAGCCTCCCGAGTAGCTGGGATTACCGGAAGGTGCCACCACGCCTGGCTAATTTTTGTATTTTTAGTAGAGACGAGGTTTCGCCATGTTGACCAGGCTGGTCTCGAACTCCGACCTCAGCTGATCCATCCGCCTGGGCCTACCAGCATGGTGGGATTACAGGCGTGAGCCACCACTCCCTGCCAAGACTGGGAATATTTAAAGACAAGAAAACTGATGTGGGAAGGGTGGCAGATTCCTCTCTTTTATAGTCTCTGAAGGGGTGGTGTGGCAAAGAGTGAATAAATTGGTTTCTTTGATGGAGAATTAGATCACCAGATTTAATTTCAATATGAGGAATAATTTATTTTTCCTTGTGTCTAGCAACTACACTTCTTGGAATAACTCTGCAGATATGCTGAAACCTGAGCACAAAGGATATATTCATTAATTCATTTTTGTAAAAGCAAAAGGGTTGCGACCAGTCTAAATATCTATCAGGGGCTGGGCGCAATGGCTCACACCTGTCATCCTGAAACCACCTTTGCAAAAAATCATAACTGAGATATCAGACCTAACTGACCCCATCTTGCTTCTAACCTCTAAAGTGTCCTGTTCATTCCTGGGTATAGGCTAAACCAGTTTTTTTTGTTTTTTTGTTTTTTGTTTTTTTTTTTGAGACGGAGTTTCGCTCTTGTTGCCCAGGCTGGAGTGCAATGGCGCCAACTTGGCTCACCACAATGTCCGCCTCCTGAGTTCAAGTGATTCTCCTGCCTCAGCCTCCTGAGTAGCTGGGATTACAGGCATGCACCACCACGCCCAGCTAATTTTTTGTATTTTTAGTAGAGACAGGGTTTCTCCATGTTGGTCAGGTGATCCTCCCGCCTCGGCCTCCCAAAGTGCTGGGATTGTAGGTGTGAGCCACCATGCCAAGCCAGGCCAAACTAGCCTTGGGAAGGAATTTAGTGTATCATTTAAACAATAGCCCTTTCCAGAAAGCTAAACTGTTCTTGTAAAACAAATGAAAGGCCACAGGCCACCAGCCACCAAGCCAAGATGAGAAGGGCTGGAGTTCTAAATAGTACCCACCATTATTCTTATTCTAGAGGTCATAAGATTTTTTTGTTTTGTTTTTTTGAGACAGAGTCTTGCTCTGTCACCCAGGCTGGAGTGCAGTGGCACAATCTTGGCTTATTGCAACCTCTGCCTCACAGGTTCAAGCAATTATCATGCCTCAGCCTCCACAGTAGCTGGGATTACAGGGACCTGCCACCACGCCAGCTAATTTTTGTATTTTTAGTAGAGACGGGGTTTTGCCATGTTGGCCAGGCTGGTCTTGAACTCCTGACCTCAAGTGATCTGCCTGCCTCAGCTTCCCAAAGTGCTGGGATCACAGACGTAAGCCACTGTGCCTGGCCCCCAATTACTCTTGAGGTAAAATCGCTATTGTGAACCTAAGATCAGCCTTTTGAGATGTCTTTTCAGGTTTTTGCATTTCTAACAACCAGATGGCCCCACTGGACCTGCCAACCAGTTCTGTGGCCCTCATCCAGGAACTGACTCAGCAGAAGAAAACAGCTTTGACTCTCTGCAATTTCTGGTTTTTTTGTTTGTTTGTTTTGTTTTTTTGAGAAGGAATCTCGCTCTGTCACCCAGGCTGGAGTGCAGTGGCGCGATCTTGGCTCACTGCAAGCTCCACCTCCTGGGGTCACGCCATTCTCTTGCCTCAGCCTCCCGAGTAGCTGGGACTACAGGCACCCGCCACCACGCCCAGCTAGTTTTTTTGTATTTTTAGTAGAGATGAGGTTTCACCGTGTTAGCCAGGATGGTCTCCATCTCCTGACCTCGTGATCCACCCGCCTCGGCCTCCCAAAGTGCTGGGATTACAGGCATGAGCCACCGCGCCCAGCGACTCTCTGCAATTTCATCCCCCAGCCAAGCAATCAGCACTCCCAATTCATTGGCCCCCTACCCACCAAATTATCCTTAAAAACTCTGATCCTTGAGTTTTCGGGAGGATGATTTGAGTAATAACAAAACTCTGGGCTCCCGCACAGCAGGCTTTGTGTGAATTACTTTCTCTGTCGCAATTCCCCCTTCTTGATTAATCAGCTCTGTCTAGGCAGCGTGCAAGGTGAACCCCTTGGGCAGTCCAGCACTTTGGTAGGCTGAGGCAGGCAGATTGCTTGAGCCCAGGAGTTCAAGACCAGCCTGGGCAACATAGTGAGACCTCACTTCTACAAAAAATTAAAAAATTAGCCAGGTGTGGTGGTGTGCACCTGTATGTAGTCCCAGCTACTCAGGAGGCTGAGGTGGGAGGATCCCTTGAGCCCGACAGGCGGAGGTTGAAGTCAGCAGAGACTGTGCCATTGCACTCCAGCCTGAGTGACAGAGGGACACCCTGTCTCAAAAAAAAAAAAAAAAGCCAGCCACGGTGGCTCACGCCTGTAATCCCAGCACTTTGGGAGGCCGAGGCAGGCGGATCATGAGGTCAGGAGACCAAGACCGTCCTGGCCAACGTGGTGAAACACCATCTCTACTAAAAATACAAAAATTAGCCAGACGTGGCAGCGCGCTCCTGTAGTCCCAGCTACTTGGGAGGCTGAGGCAGGAGAATTGCTTAAACCCGAGAGGCAGAGGCTGCAGTGAGCGGAGATCACGCCCCTGCACCCCAGCCTGGACGACAGAGCGAGACTCTGTCTCAAACGAAAAAAAAAGTCTATCCTTAGGGAACTGAGGAAATAAATTATGATACATCCATAAAATAAAATAGATTACCGTAGCAAGAATTAAGAGGGACCAAGGTAGATATAGACGTAGATACAGTTTAGATACAGAGCTGTCTTCAAGCTGTGTAACCAGCCAGGGGGTTTACCTCGCCTGCTACCTAGACAGAGCTGACTTATCAAGACAGGGGAGTTGCAACAGAGAAAGAGTAATTCACACAGAGCCGGCTGTGTGGGAGACCGGAGCTTTATTATTGCTCAAATCAGCCTCCCTGAGCATTTGGGGATCAGAGTTTTTTGTTTGTTTGTTTGTTTGTTTTGAGACGGAGTCTGTTGCCCAGGCTGGAGTGCAATGGCACAATCTCCACTCCCTGCAGCCTCTGCCTCCCCAGTTCAAGTGATTCTCCTGCCTCAGTCTCCAGAGTAGCTGGGACTACAAGGCATGCACCACCATGCCTGGCTAATTTTTTGTATTTTTTTTAGTACAGACGGGGGTTTCACCATATTGGCCAGGCTGGACTAGAACTCCTGGCCTCAAGTGATCCACCCGCCTCAGCCTCCCAAGGTACCAGGATTACAGGCATGAGCCACCGCTCCAGGCTGGGGATCAGAGTTTTTAAGGTTAACTTGGTGGGTGGGGGGAAGCCAGTGAGCAAGGAGTGCTGATTGGTCAGGTAGGAGATGAAATCATGGGAAGCTGAAGCTGTCCTCTTGCACTGAGTTCCTGGGTGCGGGCCACAAGATCAGATGAGCCACTTTATCAATCTGTGTGGTGCCAGCTGATCCATCAAGTTCAGGGTCTGGAAAATATCTCAAGCGCTGATCTTAGCAGAAGTTCAGGGAGGGTCAGAATCTTGTAGCCTCCAGCTGCATGACTCCTAAGCCATAATTTCTAATCTTGTGGCTAATTTGTTAGTCCTACAAAGGCAGTCTAGTACCCAGGCAAGAGGAAGGTTTGTTTTGGGAAGGGGCTGTTATCATCTTTGTTTTAAACTATAAACTAAGTTCCTCCCAAAGTTAGTTCAGCCTACACCCAGGAAGGAACAAGGACAGGTTAAAGGTTAGAACGAAGATGAAGTTAGATCTTTTTCACTGTCTCCGTCATAATTTTGCAAAGGCAGTTTCAGCTATGTATACGGCAACAGTCTCCGAACTAGTCCCGCCATTGCTTCTACTATAACCCTCAACCCTAACCCATCCCTGCTCCAGTCTTTATTCCAACCAGCAGCCAGAATGATCCTTTTGAAAGGTAAACACGGCCGGGCGCAGTGGCTTATGCCTGTAATCCCAACACTTTGGGAGGCCAAGGCACGTGGATCACGAGGTCAAGAGTACAAGACCATCCTGGCCAACATAGTGAAACCATGTCTCCACTAAAAATACAAAAATTAGCTGGGCGTGGTGGCGTGCGCCTGTAGTCCAGCTACTCGGGAGGCTGAGGCAGGAGAATTGCTTGAACCTGGGAGGCCGAGGTTGCAGTGAGCCGAGATCACGCCACTGCACTCCAGCCTGGTGACAGAGTGAGACTCCGTCTCAAAACAATAAATAAAATAAAATGTAAACATGATTGGCGCGGTGGCTGAAGGCTTTTTTTTGAAACTCCAGCTTAAAAAAAAAAAAGTAAGCATGACCATGTCCCTCACCTGCTCAAAAGCTTTCAACTGTTTCCCCATTACATTTAGAATAAGATGTAGAGTTGTTGTCACCATCAACAAGGCTGGAAGTGAACTGCCCCCTGAATACTTGTCCAGCCTCATCTCTCACCATTTTCCCTCTCAGCTGTCACCATTGGAGGGTGTCCAGGTTCTTGGCATCTTGAACAAAGAATTGGACACAACACACAAAGCAAGAAGGAATGAAGGAATTTATTGAAAATGAAAGTATGGGCTGGGCGCGGTGGTTCACGCCTGTAATCCCAGCACTTTGGGAGGCCGAGGCGCGCGGATCACGAGGTCAGGAGTTCGAGACCAGCCTGGCCAACATGGTGAAACCCCGTCTCCACTAAAAATACAAAAAGTGGCTGGGCATGGTGGTGCACACCTGTAATCCTAGCTACTCAGGAGGCTGAGGCAGGAGAATTGCTTGAACCTGGGAGGTGGAGGTTGCAGTGAGCCGAGTTTGAGCCAGTGTACTCCAGCCCGGGCCACAGAGCAAGACTCCATCTCACCAATTCACTCCGCAGTGTGGGAGGGGGCCCAAGCATAGGAGCTCAAGGGCCCCTGTTACAGAATTTTTGGGAGTTTAAATACCCTCTACTTGGGACACGCCCTATGTAAATGAAAAGGATGAAGTAAAGTTACAAAGTCATTTACTTGGCCTACACCCTATGGAGAGGATATTTCCTGTCATAGCTGAAGTGTGAATCAGCCTTTTGTTCCCCGACTCCAGACTCTGTTTTCCTGCCTTAAAGCATGCTTTCATCTCAGGGCATTTTCTCCTGCTCTTCCTCCAGGTATCTTTATGGCTTGCTTCCTCGGTTCCCTCATGTCTGTGCTCCAGTGTCAAGCCCTCTAAAAGACCTGCCCAGACTACTCTTGAAAATAGTAGGGCCGGGCGCAGTGGCTCGTTCCTGTAATCCCAGCACTTTGGGAGGCCTAGGTGCGCGGATCACTTGAGGTCAGGTGTTCAAGACCAGCCTGGCTAACATGGCGAAACCCTGTCTCTACTAAAAATACAAAAATTGGCCAGGCATGGTGGTATGTGCCTGTAATTCCAGCTACTGGGGAGGCTGAAGCATGAGTATTGCTTCAACCCAAGAGGCTGAGGTTGCAGCGAGGTGAGATCATGCCACTGCACTCCAGCCTGGGTGACAGAGTGAGACCCTGTCTCAAAAAAAAAAAAATAAATAAATAAAAGAAAAGAAAATAATGGACCCCCACCAACTCTGTATTCTCCTTTCTCTTTTTTCACAGCTCTTGTCAGTGTCTGAGTGTTATATTATATACGTGTGTGTTTGCTGCTTGTCTTTTTTCCCTACAGCATAAGGTCTTTTAAGGGTGGGCACTTTGTTTTGTTCTCTACTATTTTCTTATCACTGGCAACAGTGCCTGACACATAGTAATAGCATGGTAAATATTTATCGAATGAACTAATAAGTTAAGTGAAAAAAAAGCGGCGGGTGGATCACCTGAGGTCAGGAGTTCAAGACGAGCCTGGCCAACATGGTGAAACCCTGTCTCTACTATAAATACAAAAAAAAATTAGCCAGGCATGGTGGTGGGCACCTGTAATCCTAGCTACTCAGGAGGCTGAGGCAGGAGAATCGCTTGAACTCAGGAGGCGGACGTTGCAGTGAGCCAAGATTGTGCCACTGCACTCCAGCCTGGGCGACAGAGCGAGACTCTGTCTCAAAAAAAAAAAAAAAAAAAAAAGTGCCATAATGCTGGCATATGCATATTCCTGTAGGAACTCTGAAAGGAGATCTGGGAGATGGGGGTGGGGGAAGGGTGGGAAGGACACTTCATTTTCACCGTGTGCTCCTTTATGCAGTATGTTATAACCAAGTACATGTGTTATCTTTTCAACAACATATGGGGGGAAATAACCTAGGTTTTTTTACTCGCGTCCGTGTGAAGAGACCACCAAACAGGCTTTGTGTGAGCAACAGGGCTGTTTATTTCACCTGGGTGCAGGCGGGCTGAGTCCGAAAAGAGAGTCAGCGAAGGGAGATAGGGGTGGGGCCGTTTTATAGGATTTGGGTAGGTAAAGGAAAGTTACAGTCAAAGAGGGTTGTTCTCTGATGGTCAGGGGCGGGGGTCACAAGGTGCTCAGTGGGGGAGCTTTTGAGCCAGGATGAGCCAGGAGAAGGAATTTCACAAGGTAATGTCATCAGTTAAGGCAGGAACAGGGCATTTTCACTTCTTTCGTGGTGGAATGTCATCAGTTAAGGCAGGAACAGGCCATCTGGATGTGTATGTGAAGGTCACGGGGTTATGATGGCTTAGCTTGGGCTCAGAGGCCTGACAGGTTTGACAATGGATGTGTAAAGATGGGAGGAGCTGCCTTGGGTGGCAGTGAGCCCCCTACCCTAGAAGAGATGTTGCTAAGGGGTTTCTGCCTGAGGCGGGAAATTGGAGTAGATGATCACAAAGATCTGCTGTCCTCGCTTTGGCCAAGTAGAAGTGACACACTCAACCAGTTAGGGCCAGAAACACTAAGAGATGGGGGGATCCTACATGTGGGAGGACAAATGCTTACAGGTAAGAAAATGAAAAACTGTTCAGCTGACAGCTAGACCTAATGTTTCTAACTGAACAAAAACAGTGATCACAGAATATAAACAAAGATCAGACAAGACCACCATGTAGTTGGATCAAGATACAGACAAAGCCACTCTGGTACCGCAGATAGGACTCAACATCTTCCAATTCTGACTAATAAATGAGTGGATTTTGCTTCTTTTTTTGTAACCGAGCGAATTATAGAGAAACGCCACACTCTGAGACGAATTCAGGAGTCCTTTATTAGCCGGCAACTGAGAGATGGCTAGTGCTTAAAATTCTCTCGGCCCCGAAGAAGGGGCTAGATTTTCTTTTATACTTTGGTTTAGAAAGGGGAGGGGGAGCCTAGCTGAGGCAATCTTACAGAAGTAAAACAGGCAAAAAAGTTAAAAAGACAAATGGTTACAGGAAAACAAATAGTTCCAGGTGCAGGGGCTTTAAATCCATCACAAGGTGATAGATGTGGGGGCTTTGGGTACCATCAACCGGACAAAAATGCAGGGGCTTAGGGTACTATCAACCGGGTGAATTCCTGGAAACTGCAGCTATCGCTTGCCACAGTATCTTATCAGTTAATTGCATTCTTTGATGTGCTGGGAGTCAGCTTGCACAAGTTAAATCCTTGAGGAAGTGGGATGGGTAAGGAGCGGCAAGTGAAGGAGCCAAAATGGAGTTTGTCTGTCTCCCTCAGCTAAGAGAGAGTCAATTCAGGTTAAGACAAGGTAGGGTATCACACTTTTCCAAGGACTAATCTAGCCTTGTTTTAATCCTTCTTCCTTCTGGATAAAAATTTGTAAGATACCTAATCACTGAATTGCCTCTACTCCTTGACTGTGTCCAATCCAAAACTGTTCTCCTCCTCCTTAAACTCTCCTTAGATTTAGTTACCCAGCATAAACCCAAATCCTAAAATAAGTTCTCCCCAGTCACCTCTTACCAAGACACCTTATATTTTCTCTGATATGTGTTCTCCCTTTCTGAACAAGCTAAATAAACCTAATTCTTTTTGACTACAGGTATGTTTCTGGTAGAATTCGATCTGTAAAATTTATCACAGTCAGCTCTCTTAAGTCCAGACCAGCAATACTCAGACAGGAAGAAGCAAGAATGTTAAGGACTACCTGGAAAGTTCAGTGGTCCTGAAGCAACTTGACTTGAGCTGGTATTTGTGTATGTGTGGTGAGGAGAGGGATCTGGGAAAAGAGAGGTAGGAATTATTAAATGTGAGTAGTTCTCTTTCTTCTTTCATCAGCCCTTTTCATGGCCTTGGGCAAACTTTGAGCCTCATTCCATTTCTGTAAAAGATGAATTTGGAATACATTTTCAAGGAATCCAGGAAATAACATCCCCAAATATGCCACACTGGTATGATGATTGCTTGGGGAACAGCACATGGAGAGAGGGGCTTTTCATGAATTTCCCTTATCAGACTAAAGGCTGACAATCCAGAAGGAATTCAATTATGAATCCCCTTCCAGAGAGTTTTATCTATCAGGGAAGATTAACACACCACAGGAGAAGATATTGAAGTGTGACACCTTGTTGTCCGGACATCATCATTGTTTGCCACATTCCACCTAAACTATTATATGTGTAAGTAAAAAATGTTTTCATTTTCTTCTTTAAGTGAACTCTCAAATTTGACATGTATTTTGAAAGGAATATTTACATCACTGCTTAAATGGGAAATCAGCATTGCTCGGAAGAAATGAAAAGGTTATTGCTAACACACACCTCAAAACAAAACAATATTTTAAAACTGCAGGCATGGTTGCCTGTTTGAGAGATCTGGAAAATGAAGGCTTTACTCTGTTAGAAAGGGAGATAAATACTAGAAAAATGTTAAATACCATACTGGCCTCAAACAACTAGCCTGTTGGTTTGAAATGGGACGTTCTCACTCTGCTGTTTAATATCGCTTAATGTCCTTCATGCACCCTTAGAGCCATTCATTTTTCCCAAATGGGGTGCATCCCACATTTTAGGATACGATTTCCATCGTTTCTAGGTTAATTTGGACTCATCCTTTAGTTCGCAGATTAAAAAATAAATCCTTCAGAGAAGCCTTCCAAGACTACTGCCCAGCTAAATTACTTTCCCCTTACAATAGGAGGCACTAAATACACCTTTATTGAAAGCCTATTCCCCCATACTACTTCATCGTATTCATTACATTGGGGCACGGTGCATTTATGTTGTCAGATCTCCTATTAACTAGAGAATAAATTCTGAGCGTACTGTGCCTCTCTGTACACTTCTGTAACTTCCAGATCTTTGCACAATGAATACAAATGATGTAAGGAATGACACCTTCACAGTTCCTGCAACCCCAGGATGGTTTAGCCCCACCTTCCCCCTCAGCCAATGACAGGCGCCCCCCTCTGCCGCTCCGGTCGCGGACGGTGGGCGGGGCCACGCCGTGACGCATCCGTGCGTCTGTGGAAGGCTGCGTTTCCGGCCTGAGAAACCGTCATGTTTCTGGGGAGTCACCTCAGCTGGCAGTTACCACCGTGTTAGAAAGCAGCCTCAGGACCGGCCACCTCCATCACTGGCGTCACCATGGGGGCTGTGCTGGGTGTCTTCTCCCTCGCCAGCTGGGTGAGTTCGGGGTCCCGAGTCCTCGCCGGACCTGCGGTTTGCGGGGAAAGGCCTCGAGACCAGAGCTGCACGGGCCTTGGCTCCAGAGGCTCTCGGGATGTCAGCAGGCCCTGGGCTACAGAGGGTCTCCGGGGCCCCAGACGCAAATCCGCGATACCCTCAGGTCCAGCTTAGGCGGCTCGCCCTCCGGGTTCCTCGGGGAACGGAAGAGGCTAGGCCGCCATTGTTTACAATTCGGATGGCTCCGCCCTGCGAGGCTTCCTGACTAGGTTCCTCTGGAGCTGGAGAGGGACCAAGGAATGACAGCTCCCAGCGAGGGGCTCCGGTTCCTCCCGAAGCACCTCTTAAGGTGCCATCATTTAGTTCTAGGTGGCTCAAGTAATATTTTTATCCCCTAGCACGGGATTTGCCAAAACTACAGAGTGTGTGGCAAAGCTGGGGTTTTAGCGGAGGCTTGTCTGCAGTTCAGGTGCAAGGGAAAGAAGCCCTTGTGGATTGTTATTCAAAATTGGAAACCAGGGCCTGAATATTTTGGGACTGCTGTAAGTCATTTATCCGAGGATAATCACCCCAGCATTCCTCTCTTCGAGAACGATTGTGACAGTGAAGTGAAGGTTTAATCACCTTGTAAACTGTAAACATTTTAAAGAGAAAATTATAGGGCCTATAAAAGAATATGCTGAGTTCCCTCATTTACCCACTTCAGAGGAGCGTGATTCCTTGATTCCTCATTCTCCAGCTGATTTAATTGACCAAGTGTGTAGAAAAAGCACACTCAGTTTCTCCTGCTGTACTCACAACACACTTTTGACACCTGATGTGTGGTGTGTGGGGATTTTCCCCCAAACATCAGGCAAACAGTCAGCTCTGCAGGGGATGCCAACTTGGTGCCCTACAAGTCAATTCCGAAGCTCTCTACTTGGAGATAGCATCAAATCACACAAGTGGAGGGCTCAGTCTCACAAGACTGTGCCCACTTTCTGTGCCAATGGCAAGCCTCAGGTTGTTTTACCTGTGCTTCTGACCGGCCACCTATAAATCAAAGTTCCCGTGACCTCCCTCCTTGGCTTTGATTAATTTGGTCACAAAACTCAAGGAAACATGTTTACTGGTTTATTATAAAAGTATTTTATTTTGTGTATTTATGTATTTTTAATTTTAGATTCAGAGGGTACATATGCAGTTTTGTTACATGGGTATATTGCCTTATCGTGAGGTTTGGGTTTCTAATGATTCCGTTGCCCAAACAGTGAACACAGTATCCAACAGGTAGTTTTTCAACCCCTATCCCCCCACCGTCCTTCCCCACTCTTGGACTCTCCAGTGTTTATTGTTGCCATCTTCGTGTCTGTGTTCCCAGTGTTTAGCTCCCACTTGTAAGCGAGAATATGCTGTATTTGGTTTTCTGTTTCTGTATTAATTCACTTGGGATAGTGGCCTCCAGCTGCATCTTTGTTGCTGCAAAGGACATGATTTTCTTCTTTTTTTATGGCTACTATTAATATATTTTTAAAGATACAGATGAAGTGATATGTAAGACAAGGTGTAGAGGGAACGGGTCTGGAGCTTCCATGCTCTGTCTGGGGCAGTGGCGCCATCTCGGCTCTCTTCAACCTCCAAGGGATTCTCATGTTTCAGCCTCCCGGAGTAGCTGGGATTATAGTGTATGCCACCACGCCCAGCTAATTTTTGTATTTTCAATAAAGACGGGATTTCGCCATGTTGGCCAGGCTGGTCTCGAACTCCTGGGGTGTGAGCCACCATGCCCAGCCAAAAGTTCTTCTGAACTTTGTCCTTCTGAGCTTTTATGCAGGCTTCATTATGTAGTCAGCATTCATTAAATCATTGGCTTTTGGTTACTGACCTAACCTTCAGCCCCTCCTTGGAGGGTCAGGGGTGAGACTGAAAAGTCCCAACCTCCTACTATGACCCTCACCCATCATGAAGCCACCTAGGGGCTGCCAGTCACCAGTCATCTCATTAGCATACAAAAAGACGCTGGTTATTCCAAGGATTTTAGAAATTGTATGCCAGGAAATGGGAACCAAACATACATATATTTGACAGTATTACACCAAGGATTCTGTTTCAGCTCTTTCTACTATTTTTCTTTTTTTTTTTTGGAGGGGGACAGAGTTTTGCTCTGTCACCCAGGCTGGAGTGCAGTGGCTCAGTCATAGCTCACTGCAGCCTTGAACTCCTGGATTCAAGTGATCCTCCCACCTCAGCCTTCCCAGTACAGGTGTGTGACACCATGCCTGGCTTCATTCCACTATTTCTTAGGAACAGAATGTATTTTAAGGTTGTTGGTCCTAAATCAAAAGAGTGTTCCATTTTTAAGGGCTTTCTTGAGAGCAGTGGTTTTCTAATTATTCTGACCTTGACCTAAAGAAAGATTGTACATAGTTGATCTGTGATCTGATGCACCCATATAGAGACAAAGTTTTATGAAATAATCGTTTACTGTACAATTTTTCTTTTATCTTCTATCACATTAGAAAATCCTGGTGAGTTGAAGGCCAGGCATGGTGGCTCACGCCAGGATGGTCTCAATCTCCTGACCTCGTGATCCGCCGGCCTCCCAGAGTGCTTGGATTACAGGTGTGAGCCACCGCGTCTTGCCCGGCTTTTACTCTTAAGTTATATGGGAATCTATTACAGAGTTTGAAAAAAGGAGTGATGTGATCTGGGCCTGTGTTTTAACGAGGTGGTTTCTGGTTGCTGTGTGGAGAATAGATGGTAGAAAAGTAAAGGTAAAGCAGTGTAGGCTGGGAAGAATCTTCCTCCAGCCTTTTGGGTTCTGTTTCTGGGGGCTTGTGAATTAAACTGACAAAACAGATTATTTAGAGTTTATGCATGCAAGACATGTACACACAGGAGTGCTCAGTAATAGTAACTCAAAGGGGGCGGTTAGAACTTGAGGCTTTTTTTTTTTTTTTCGTTTTTGAGAAAACAAGTTCCACTCTTGTTGCCCAGGCTGGAGTGCAATGGTGGGATCTTGGCTCACTGCAATCTCCACCTCCCAGGTTCAAGCGATTCTCCTGCCTCAGCCTCCCAAGTAGCTGGGATTACAGGCATGTGCCACCACGCCTGGCTAATTTTGTATTTTTAGTAGAGATGGGGTTTCTCCATGTTGGTCAGGCCGGTCTTGAACTCCCGACCTCAGGTGATCTGCCCACCTCAGCTTCCCAAAGTGCTGGGATTACAGGTGTGAGCCACTGCACCCAGCCAAGGCTTTCTAATTTAGTAGGAAAAAGGAAGCTGGGAGAAAGGCTTCTATGAGAAGAACAAATAGGTTTCTTTAGGAAAGACAAGTTTTTTTAGGAGAATAAATAGGAAATACGTTTGTGGTAGTACTTGTTTATGCAGGTATGGTGGGTCTTTCCAGCTTCTTCATGATCTTAAAACTGCCCTGGAGAGGGACTTTATGGCAGCCTCGTTTCCCAGAAGTTGCTGCTTTTAGTCAGATAAGAGAAGCTCCCAGAAGGCTTTTTTTTTTCCTCTGCATCTGTTGAAGCTCAGATGCTTCAGCTTAAAAGCTTAAAATAATCTTTATAACAATTCAGGGCTTCTTTTTTTTTTTTTTTTTTTTTTGAGGCTAATTTTGCATTTTTAGTAGAGACAGGATTTCACTGTGTTGGCCTGGCGGGTCTTGAACTCCTGACCTCAGGTGATCTGCCTGCCTTGGCTTCCCAAAGTGCTGGGATTACAGGCGTGAGCCACTGTGCCGGCCAACTCAGAGCTTCTGAATGGGTCGCTACAGCTGTGAGATGGGAACTTTTGCGCTTAATCCAGATGAGAGATGATAGTTGTGGCTTGGACAAAGGTGATAGCTAAGGATACTGTGAAAATGGTCAGATTCTGGATATATTTTAAGGGTAGAGCTGATGTACTGACAGATTGGATGAGGATTTTGGGAAAAGGGAAGGCATTCGGGATGACTCCAGGTTTTGGGCCCAAGCAACAGGAAGAATGGAGTTGTCATTTACTGAAATAGAAAAATGACATAACATATAGTAGGACAGATTTGTCCCACAGATATTTACTGAGTACCTGCTCTGTAAAGATACAAAAGATATAACGTTGTAAAGATAGTCTCCCCTTCGAGATATTTACATTCTTAAGACAACTATAGGTAAGTAAGTTTATTAGTTTGCCAGGGCTTTATAACAAAGTACCACAGACCGAGTGGCTTAAACCCAGTGATTTCTTATCTCTGAATTCTAGAGGCTGGAAGTCTGGGATGAAGGTGTCAGCAGGGTTGGTTCCTTCTAAGGGTGGTGAGAGAGAATCTGTATCATGCCTCTCCCCTGGCTTTTTTTTTTTTTGGTTTGCTGGCAGTCTTTGATGTTCCTTGGCTTGTAGATCTCTGCCTTCACATGGCATGTGGAATTCTCCCTGTGTTGTAAGCCTTTGTCCAAGTTTCCCCTTTTTATAAGGACACAGTTATATTGAATTAGCTGCTCACTCTACTCCATATAACCTCATCTTAACTTACTACATCTGCAGTGACCAAGTAAGGATACATTTTGAGGAATTGGGCATTAGGACTTCAACATAAGAATTTGTGGAGGACATGCCTCTGCAGTGTTTGGCCTATACTGTAGTTAAGAATTGGAGACTGAGACTGGCTGGTCAATTTCCCATTGCTATTGCAATTACAAATAATAATGGCTACCACGATATATTGAGCCTGATAAATATGTCAGGCATTATACTAGGTTCTTTATATTCCTGACATCATCTCATTCTTTGCTCAATCACCCTGTTCGAGTAGGTGGTATTATGCTCATTTTTACAGATGAGAAAACTGAACTTTTTTAGAATGTTAGCACCCTGCTGCAAACCACACAAAATTATCATAAAGTGCACACAAGATACCATCTATAAAAAAATGAAGATTATTCCTGGGACCATATTTTAAGACCAGAGTTATCCATTGTTTACTTCTGCTAATTCTGAATTAGCTTGTCCTTGTAATATGACTTGATAATGTCACCCCCTCAGAGCAATTTCAAGCAGTTTCCTAATCAAGCATAATGACTCAAATTATATCCTCTCTTAGCTGGGCATGGTGGTGCTTGCTTGTACTCAGGAGGCTGAGGCCAGAGGATCGCTTGAGCCCAGGAGTTTGATGCTGCAGTGAGCTGTGATCACACAACTGTACTCCAGCTTGGGCAACAGAGTGACGCCTTGTCTTTTTAAAACAAAACAAAACAAAGGCCGGGTGCATTGGCTCATGCATGTAATCCCAGCCCTTTGGGAGGCGGAGGCGGGCAGATCACTTGAGGTCAGGAATTCGAGACCAGCCTGGCCAACATGGTGAAACCCTGTCTTTACACAAAAATTAGCTGAGCATGGTGGCACGTGTCTGTAATCCCTGTAATCCCAGCTACTTGGGAGGCTGAGGTAGAATTGCTTGATCCCAGGAGGGTGAGGTTGCAGTGAGCCGAGATGGCGTTACTGCACTCCAGCCTGGGAGACAGAGTGAGAACCTGTCTCAAAAAAAAAGAAAGAAAAGAAAAAAAGAAATAAAATTATATCTTCTTTCATGTAGTGTGGTCACTAACAGATTTTAGCAGACTAAAGATCTAGGTTACTCTTTTTTTTTGAGACGGAGTCTCAGTCTGTCGCCCAGGCTGGAGTGCAGTGGCACAATCTTGGCTCACTGCAACCTTGGCCACCCGGGTTCAAGCAGTTCTCCTGCCTCAGCCTCCTGAGTAGCTGGGATTACAGGTGCCTGCCACTGCACCCGGCTAATTTTTGTATTTTTAGTAGAGATGGGGTTTCACCATCTTGGCCAGGCTGGTCTTGAACTCCTGACCTTGTGGTCCACCTGCCTTGGCCTCCCAAAGTGCTGGGATTACAGGCGTGAGCCACCACGCCTGGCCCTAGGTTACTCTTTAAAAAAAAGGAGGTAAAGTTGACATAAAATTAACCATTTCAAAATGTTTAGTGGGCCGGGTGCAGTATCTCACGCCTGTAATCCAGCACTTTCGGTGGCCAGTGTGGGTGGATTGCCTGAGCTCAGGAATTCAAGACCAGCCTGGGCAACATGACAAAACCCTGTCTCTACTAAAAAATACAAAAAAAAATCAGCTGGGGGTGGCATTGCACACCTGTAGTCCCAGCTACTTGGGAGGCTAAAGCACAAGAATTGCTTGAACTCAGGAGGTGGAGGTTGCCGTGAGCCGAGATTGTGCCACTGCACTCCAGCCTGGGCAACAGAGTGAGACTGTCTCAAAAAAAAAAAAATAAAAAAGCGTATAGTGGCATTTAGTACATTCACAATGTTTTGCTGCCATCACATCTGTCTAGTTCGTCGCCCTAAAGGGAAATCCTTTACCCATTAAACCATCACTCCCATTTCCCTTCCCTTCAACCCCTAATCTTCTGTCTCTAGATTCACTTATTCTGGATATTTTATTATATAAATGCACTAATACAGTATGTGACCTTTCATGTCTGGCTTTTTAAATAACTTTGCATGATGTTTTCAGGGTTCACCTGTGTTCTATCATGTATCTATCTATTATGTCTGAATAAGCCATTGTATAGATAGACCAAGTCTCACTCTGTTGCCCAGGCTGGAGTGCAGTGGCATGATTTCAGCTCAATGCAACCTCCACCTCCTGGGTTCAAGCAATTCTCCTGCCTCAGCCTCCTGAGTAGTTGGGGCCACAGGCATGAGCCACCACGCCCGGATAATTTTTGTATTTTTAGTAGAGATGGGATTTCATCATGTTGGCCAGGCTGGTCTTGAACTCCTGACCTCAGGTGACCTGCCCACCTCAGCCTCCCAAAGTGCTGGGATTACAGGTGTGAGCTGCCGCACCCAGCCAGATATACCATATTTTTACTTAGGCCATATTTACTTATCAATTAATGGACAGTGGGTTGTTTCCACATTTTGGTGATTGTAAATAGTGGTGCTGTGAATATTCGTGTACAAGCTTTTGTTTTAATAGCAGTTTCAAACAAAACAGCTATTGGGGTCGGGTATATACTTTCTGGGTCATATGGTCATTCTGTATTTAACTTTCTGAGGAACCTGGTTCCTCTTGAATTGAGCTAAATGGCCCTTGCTGTTATTATTTGTCAGAGGGTTTCCATGTAGTGTTGCTTTATTTTTTTATTTTATTTTATTTTTTTGAGATGGAGTCTCGCTCTGTAGCCCAGGCTGGAGTGCAGTGGCGCAATCTCAGCTCAGTGTGAGCTCCGCCTCCTGGGTTCATGCCATTCTCCTGCCTCAGCCTCCTGAGTAGCTGGGACTACAGGCGTCCGCCACCACACCCGGCTAATTTTTTCTGTATTTTTAGTAGAGACAGGGTTTCACCGTGTTAGCCAGGATGGTCTCGATCTCCTGACCTTGTGATCCACCCGCCTCGGCCTCCCAAAGTGCTGGGATTACAGGCGTGAGCCACCACGCCCGGCATGTTGCTTTATGTTGTAATATCAGCTTTGGTAACTTGGATTCGCAGTAAGCAGCAAGTGGAGTTAGGTTTATATTTTTCTCATATTTTAAAACAAATGATGCTCTCAGAATATAATTAACATTTATTGAACTGTTAATGCATTTTAGGTAGTGTTGAGTGCTCATTTAATACAGCAGAGTCTGAGGGAGGAAAATTCCATTATTGAGCTCATTTTACAAATGGTCAAATGGGGTTAGAGTACGTAACTTGCTGGGGTAAAAAGCGGCAGAAATAATATTTACTCCAGAGCCCGTACTTTTAACCACTTCCTCCCAGCCATGATTCTCTGAGTTAAAACTATAAAGCCTGATTTGCCTCGCTTTCTCTTCTGCGACATCTGTGTCATAAAGGAGTATACTGAAGGCGGTCTCAGGTGACCATGGTGTGCTCATTCCAGGTTCCATGCCTCTGCAGCGGTGCCTCATGTTTGCTGTGTAGTTGCTGTCCTAACAGTAAGAATTCCACGGTGACTCGCCTCATTTATGCTTTCATTCTCCTCCTGAGCACTGTCGTATCCTATATCATGCAGAGAAAAGAGATGGAAACTTACTTGAAGAAGGTAAGAAGTAACAGTGCCCTTAAGGTATTGGTTATTTTTATTTTTATATTCTGCAAAATTCTAGTTTTATTTCGTCGTTGTTAATCAAGTTGGTTGTAATTTGGAGATTTTTTACTTATATGGGGGTGTGGTCAAAACACAGAAATATGAGGACATTAGTCCTTTTCCAGAAATACAGAATGAACATCTGGGCTCCAGTCGAACAACTGAGAGAAAACATTAAAAGGGTGGCTCCAAAACATTTTCTTTCCTTATGTGTTAAAGGTCGAAGCATCTAAACTGGACTAGTTCTTCACCTTTGGAAGGACTCAGTCGTAGCTGGAAAATCTCACAGGAAAGTGGCACACAGCCTCTTCATCCTAAAAGGGCAAAGAAGAGAGACCATATTTTTTTGAAACTAAGACTCACTCTGTTGCCCAGGCTGGAGTGCAGTGACATGATCTTGGCTCACTGCAACCTCCGCCTCCCTGGTTCAAGCAATTCTCCTGCCTCAGCCTCCCGAGTAGCTGGGATTATAAGCATGCACCACCATGCCCGGGTAATTTTTTGTATTTTTAGTAGAGATAGGGTTTTCACCATGCTGGCCAGGGTGGTCTCGAACTCCTGACCTCGTGATCCACCCACCTCGGTCCCCCAAAATACTGGGATTACAGATGTGAGCCACCGTGCCCAGCCGAGAGAGCATTTTTATTTTTAAAATGCATGTTATTTATACTGTTTGGTAACAAGATTGTAAATGAATTGGAAGACAAAGAGAAAAATTCCATAGTCAGTCTTGCAGTTGTTGAAGTAGTTAATTTTCTAAATCCAGGCTTTCCTGCAGTGGGTTAGAGTCTCTGTCTAAATGTAGATATTCTCGTAACATTGAAATTGCTTTTTTCCAGATTCCTGGATTTTGTGAAGGGGGATTTAAAATCCATGAGGCTGATATAAATGCAGATAAAGATTGTGATGTGCTGGTTGGTTATAAAGCTGTGTATCGGATCAGCTTTGCCATGGCCATCTTTTTCTTTGTCTTTTCTCTGCTCATGTTCAAAGTAAAAACAAGTAAAGATCTCCGAGCGGCAGTACACAATGGGTATGTTAGATTTATGATTAACTGGTTACATTATGGTGTGGCTCTTCCTTCCCTTCAGCAGTTAATATAGCCATTCTGATGAAATCAATGGAATATGTAAATGAGTGGCTCAGATGCATTTCTGATCTATTATGCATGTGAAATTGTTTTAATGTCATTTTCAGTTAGATTGCTGTAACATGGAGGGGATAGGGGGTCTTGTCTTTTTATTTTCTTCTATTAAATTCCTTTGCTTCATGTTCTTAGATTTTTATTGAACACCTGTTAAATAGTTGAAGCACTATGCTAGATACTACGTACACACACACTTTTTTCTTTCTGTTGTTTAAAGATAAACATGTACCTGATAAATTTAAACAGTGTACAAAAGTCAGTGAATATATATGTGCTACTGATTTACATATTCTATTGCTTCTGACTCCTGACCACCTTTTACCTATGTTTCTAATTCTCTCCTTTTTTTTTTTTTTTTTTTGTTTTGTTTTTGGAGATGGAGTTTCACTCTTGTCACCCAGGCTGGAGTGTAATGGCGTGATCTCGGCTCACTGCAACCTCCCCCTCCCGGGTTCAAGTGATTCTCCTGCCTCAGCCTCCCTAGTAGCTGGCATTATAGGCACCTGCCACCATGCCTGGCTAATTTTTGTATTTTTAGTAGAGATGGGGTTTCACCGTGTTGGCCAGGCTGGTCTAGAACTCGTGACCTCAGGTGGTCCGCCCGCCTTTGCCTCCTGAAGTGCTGGGCTTACAGGCGTGAGCCACTGTGCCCAGCCGTATTTCTAATTCTCAAAGACTGAATGGCGTTTTATAAACTTGATGTGTATTATAATCCCCTTTTTACAGATGTAGTAACTGAACTGCAGAGAGGTTAATAAATTGTCTGAGACCTGTTAACCAGTTGGAGGTTGGAGCTAAGATTGAAACTTAGATCTGTCCAGCTCCAAAGCCTGGTTCTTTCCACTCTGCCATACAAGGCAGTCATTAAAGATCATGAACTGAAAATCAGGTGCCAGTGATGAGCTGTGTCATTGTGGGCAAGGTATCTGTGCCCTGTGTTGTAAATATTTGTGATTACTTTTCATCCAGACCTTAACAGTTAATGGCTGTGTGTGTACCTAACACTGTTATTTTAGAACTCCCAGAATGCTAGAAAAATGCCTACCTTTAAGTGCTAAAAGTAGGGAGACTCTAAATTTTCAGTTTTCTCTGGTAATAAATGTGAGTGATTTATCTTCTAGGCTAATGTTGTCCTTTAATTGTGTGAAATATTAAATGAATTAGCCTATTAAATGAATAGTCAAATGAAGAAAATAGTCCAGACAATCATGTTGGGAAAAAAGCTATTAAGTTATTATTTTTGCATTTCAGAAATGAATTTTTCTCAGTATAAGGGTGAAACTTAGCATTTCATAAATGCATTTTTATATTTTAATAGGTTTTGGTTCTTCAAAATTGCTGCCCTTATTGGAATCATGGTTGGCTCTTTCTACATCCCTGGGGGCTATTTCAGCTCAGGTAGGGTTCACCATTGAGGGGGTTAATTTTAAACTATATAAACTCTATAGATGATTGAGTTAAAGCTACATTTTAGGCCGGGTGCAGTGGCTCACACCTGTAAGCTCAGCACTTTGGGAGGCCAAGACGGGCGGATCACCTGAGGTCAGGAGTTTGAGACCAACCTGGCCAATATGGTGAAGCCCTGTCTCTACTAAAAATACAAAAATTAGCCAGGCGTGGTGGTGCACGCCTGTGATTCCAGGTACTCAGAAGGCTGAGGCAGCAAAATTGCCTGAACCTGGGAGGCAGAGGTTGCAGTGTGCCAAGATCGTGCCACTGCACTCCAGCCTGGGCGACAGATCAAGACTCTGTCTCAAAAAACAAAACAAAACAAAACTACCTTTTAATTACTGTTTTTGTAGAACTGACAAGTAAATGAGATGGTATCCGATTAATATGACTTAGTACCTGCAACTCACTATATATATATATATATTTTAGACAGTCTCACTCTGTCTCCCAGGCTGGAGTGCCGTGGCACGATCTCAGCTCACTGCAACCTCCACCTCCTGGGTTCAAGCAGTTCTCTGCGTCAGTCTCCCGAGTAGCTGGGATTACAGGCGCCCACCACCACGCCCAGCTAATTTTTGTATTTTAGGCAGAGACGGGGTTTCACCATCTTGGCCAGGCTGGTCTTGAACTCTTGACCTCATGATCCACCTGCCTCAGCCTCCTGAAGTGCTGGGATTACAGGTGTGAGCCACCACGCCCGGCTGCAACTCATTATTAATATGTGGATTTAGGTCAGGAGGCATTCACTGCACCTCTCAGATTTTCTGGAACCATATGTTAATCTTTTGGCAATATCTTAATAGTTTGTGTTCTCACTTGATGGAATACAAAGCTAATCAGAGAGCCTGTCAAAATAAGGACTTACAACTCTTGTGCTCCCCTATCTCTGTCTTAACCTACTTCCTAAGCATGGCATCAGGTGACATCTTTAGATTTCTACTGTGATTTAAAAGAAAAGACTTATAGTATCATTTGGAACTCAGGTCCCAGGCTTCCCTTGGCACAAGCTAAAACATATTTTAAAAGGTCTGAAACCCAGTAGAAAGCTTTTAAGAATGCCGTTGAGTTTGGAATCTTGCTGTACTGCTGGAGACAGAATGTCTTTACCACCTCTGTCTTGTTTTAATTGAAATCCGTTCAGAATGTTGGATCTTCTGAAATGTTACTCTATGGTAGAGAATAACTTTGTTCTCTTGGTTCTTGTAGTCTGGTTTGTTGTTGGCATGATAGGGGCCGCCCTCTTCATCCTCATTCAGCTGGTGCTGCTGGTAGATTTTGCTCATTCTTGGAATGAATCATGGGTAAATCGAATGGAAGAAGGAAACCCAAGGTTGTGGTATGCTGGTAGGTATCTCTACTCACCTATGTTAGCCATACTGCTACATTAAGCACGGTGTACAATAAAAATCATCATTATAGTCCCAGCAGCTATAGTCCTCAGGGACAGAAGTCCAAGGTGGGAGAATGGCTTGAATCCAGGAGTTCAAGACCAGTCTAGGCAGCATATTGAGACTCCATCTTTACATTAGAAAAAAAAAATTTGCCAGGCATGGTGGCATATACCTATAGTCCTAGCTACTCAGCACGCTAAGGCAGGAGAATCTCTGGAATCCAGGAGTTCAAGGCTGCAGTAAGCTATCATCATGCCACTGTACTGCAGCCTGGGTGACAGAGCAAGACCCTGTCTCTAAAAATAATAATAACATTAAATAAAAGGAAAAAAATCCACAATTTCCAGAATTTGGCTCTGAATTATATGCATCACTGGAAGAAAGTAGCACAGATAATATAAATTGTTCGATTTTCCCAATTTATGTATTTTGAGAGTCATAATTTAATTACATGTGTTTAGATAAGGAAAAACAGTTATATTTAGTGACTTAGTTCTGGTTTTGATAACCTTGTTTCCATGGAGAGGAAACTCAGATGGGTTCAACATATGGGACAGCTGCCCACCTACTTTAGGCAGATAGGAGTGAGTAGTCCTTATGGCCTTATTCAGAGAGGGGCCCCATACCTGCTATGAAAAACTTTCTGGTGGGAAAGGGGCACTTACAATTTCTAGAGTGATAATGGGATTTAACAGTAGCTTGCGAATATATTTTGGCTATGTTAGAGCACTTACTACTTCATAATATACATTTGCACACATTTCTGATTATTTCCTTAGGACAGATTCCCAGAAATAGAAGAGTCAAAGTGTATGAATATTTTAAAATGCTTTCAGTACATACTATTGAATTGCGCAGTTTTATTTTCATTTGATTTAGTTTTTTAAAATATTTACATGTTTTTAAAAATACTATGTTTACCATAAAGACAAATGATAGAACTTTATAAAGACTAAAACATGCAAATCTCCACCTATCTGCAACCCATTTTCCTTTCCAGATGTAGCCACTCTTGTGAACCTTTATGTATTTATGCATTCACCTTGCTTTTGTATTTAAATGTAAACAGGATTGTACTGTATGTTGTTCCATGACTTGCTCTTTTCACTTCCTACATGATGAATATCCTTCCTTACCAGTGAGTGTAGGTATGTCTTACTCATTTAACCTGCATTCAAGCTCCTGGCATGGAGTTTACTGTAAGCTGCATGGTATTCCATTCCATACAATTCCATGGCATTCCATAGCGGAGTATACCATAATTTATTTAACCTTTACCCTAGTGTTGGTCATTTAAATTGTTTGTAATGACAATTTTATTTTTATCTATTTTTTTTCTTTTTTTTTGAGATTGGGTCTCACTCTCTCACCCAGGCTGGAGTACAGTGGCACAATCATGGCTCACTGCAACCTCTGCCTTCCTGGCTCAAGCTATCCACCTCAGCCTCCCAAGTAGCTGGGACTACAGGTGCACACCACCACACCCACACTACCACGCCTACACCACCACGACCGGCTAATTTTTGTGTTTTTTGTAGAGACAGGGTTTTGCCATGTTGCCGGAACTCCTGGACTCAATCGATCCACCTGCCTTGCCCTCCCAAAGTGTTAGGATTGCAGGCGTGAGCCACCACACCCGGCTGTTATTTTCTTTAATTCATTTTGGATCATACAACTCTAGAAGAATTTATTGAGTTGCAAATTGGTCATACTTTACAGTAACTAAGTGTAGAAAAATCTTGTATATTCAGAGGTGAAAACATTAAGTGTGCTAGTAACTTAATGTACATCATTTAATTTTAGACATGCAAAATTCATTGAGATAAGTAGAAACTAGTTTTCTTAATCTGGGCTTTGACTTGAATACAAGTTAGCTGAGCTCATCATTCTTGCAGTTGGTCTGAGTGTACTGTATGTGCTGTTTCATGTTTTCTAATTTTCAGAGCTACACAGCTAATTGTTTTGTTTGTTGTTTGAGATGGGGTTTTGTTCTGTTGTCCAGGCTGGAGTGCAGTGGCACCATCTCGGCTCACTGCAACCTCTATGTCTTGGGCTCAAGCAATCCCCCTGCCTCAGCTTCCCAAGTAGCTGGGGCTACAGCCTTATGCCACCATGCCTGGCTGATTTTTGTATTTTTTGTAGAGACAGGGTTTGGCCATGTTGCCTGGGCTGGTCTGGAACTCAGGCTCAAGCAATCCAGCCACCTTGGCCTCCCAAAGTGCTGGGATTACAGGCATGAGCCACCATGTTCAGCCAACACAGCTAATTGTTGATTTTTAGTGTGAATGGAAAAGACCATTACTTTAGATATTAAAAAATAGCAAATGAGCCACTTTTCCAGTTCAGGGACAGTCTTATTGTTTGTGATGGGAAATGGATTTAGATAGCCAATGGCTGCAGAGGAAAAAACTGTCATAAAAAGATACCAGTGTGTGTATTCTGTTTTCCTCTAACACCATCCTGGCATGGAGCTTGCTGTGAACTGGGTCATTTTGAGGGTAAAGGAATCATTTAGGTTCCTAAGAAAAGCTCACAATACACATTAATTAACATATAGGTAGCAGTAAACTCTAGCTGGAATGATCAAATGTCTGGTAATCAACCCATGAAATCAAATCAGGTAATTCAGGAAGTGAATTCAGTTGCTTGGTGGATTTTGGAATTTAACATCAAGCCAATTGAATACAATCTTGATACTTTAACCTTGAGACCTCTGTAATTTTACTGTAAATTACCCCAGAAAAGTGACATAATGTCTCCTCATTTTTATATGGAGTGGAAGAAAATTGGCCTTCATTATTAGTTTATTATAGTTGTGGTCATTCATATTGGTTTCCCTTTCTCCAGCTTTACTGTCTTTCACAAGCGCCTTTTATATCCTGTCAATCATCTGTGTCGGGCTGCTCTATACATATTACACCAAACCAGATGGCTGCACAGAAAACAAGTTCTTCATCAGTATTAACCTGATCCTTTGCGTTGTGGCTTCTATTATATCGATCCACCCAAAAATTCAGGTATGATTGTTTACTACTTCTTTCTCCTGTGAAAGGTTTTTAATTCTAAGCTTAAAATCTAGGTACCCTTTCTTATGAATTTATGTCTAAGTTTATCCACTTGAACATTTTTCCATATTATAAAGTCTTCATAATTCTATTTCATGCCTATATCATAATTAAATGAATTTCACTATCATTAAAAAAAAACCCAGGTAACTTGAAAATTTATAGTGCTTTTTTTTTTTTTTTTTTTTTTTTTTGAGATGGAGTCTCGCTCTGTCAACCAGGCTGGAGTGCAGTGGCACAATCTCGGCTCACTGCAACCTCTGCCTCCTGGGTTCAAGCAGTTCTCTGCCTCAGCCTCCCGAGTAGCTGGGATCACAGGCAGCCACCACCGGGCCTGGCCAGTTTTTGTATTTTTGGTAGAGATAGGGTTTCACCATCTTGGCCAGGCTGAACTCTTGACCTCGTGATCCACCCGCCTCGGCCTCCCAAGGTGCTGGGATTACAGGCGTGAGCCACCACGCCTGGCCGGGAATGAGTCTTTTTTTTTTTTTTTTTTTGAGACAAAGTCTCACTCTTGTCCCCTAGGCTGGAGTGCGATGGTGCAATCTCAGCTCACTACAACCTCCACCTCCTGGGTTCCAGTGATTCTCCAGCCTTGGCCAGGCGCCTGCCACCATGCCCGGCTAATTTTTGTATTTTTAGTTGAGACGGGGTTTCACCATGTTGGCAAGGCTGGTCTCGAACTCCTGACCTCAGGTGATCCACCCATCTCAGCCTCCCAAAGTGCTGGTTTTACAGTTGTGAGCCACCGCATGTGGCTGGGAATGATTCTTATGAGTCATTAGCCAAGATATTTTAGGGGAATTAAACTGAAAAATAATTGATTTTAATATTTCAAAACAAAACTCATGCTCTTGAGTTCTAAATACCATAGTTTAGGCTGGGTGTGGTGGCTTAACGCCTGTAATCCCAGCACTTTGGGAGGCCAAGGCGGGTGGATCACTTGAGGTCAGGAGTTCAAGACCAGCCTGACCAACATGGTGAAACGTCATCTCTACTAAAAATACAAAATTAGCTAGGCGTGGGGGCGCACACCTGTAATCCCAGCTACTTGGCAGGCTGAGGGGCAGGAGAATAGCCTGAACCCTGGAGGCGGAGGTAGCAGTGAGCTGAGATTGCGCCATTGCACTCCAGCCTGGGCAATAAGAGCGAAACTCCAGCTTGGCGTGATGGCTCATGCCTGTAATCCCAGCACTTTGGGAGGCCAAGGCGGGCAGATCACCTGAGGTCAGGAGTTCAAGACCAGCTTGGCCAACATGACGAAACCCCATCTCTACTAAAAGTACAAAAATTAGCCGGGTGTGGTGGCGGGCACTGTAATCCCAGCTACTCAGGAGGCTGAGGCAAGGAGAAATTTGAACCCAGGAGGAGGTTGCAGTGAGCTGAGATCGCACCACTGCACTCCAGCCGGGGTGACAAAAGCGAGACTCCGTCTCAGAAAAAAAAGAAAAAAAAACCGTTTAAAAAAATTCATGGAGTTATAGATATGAAATATGAAAATTCTATCTAGACATCACCTTTCCTTTTAAAAGTGAGAAAACAGAAGTCTCAAAGAAGTGATAGGCCTCTCCCAGCTACTAATTAGTTGCAGAGCTGATCTTAGATCTTTTCACTACACCAAGGGAGTGGAAAATCAAAGTCCTTGTGTGATGCACAGGAATTTCTAGGATTGTGAAATGCGTTGAGAACCAGTAGTACTTGCTTGGTCTTTCTGGGTTCTTTTGCGAGCTAACTGAACAGAAGGTTACTTGTCACCTTTCAACTCTCAAGAAGAATCCGAAAGTTCTCAGTTACTGATAGTTGAATTAACTCCAGAGAAGTGCACTGCATTTTGGAAAGTCAGCCCTTGGCAGTCCCTGTGCCACTGTTTTCCTTTTGATTCCATAGGAACACCAGCCTCGCTCCGGCCTCTTGCAGTCCTCCCTCATCACCCTCTACACTATGTACCTCACCTGGTCAGCCATGTCCAATGAACCTGGTAAGGGAATGTCAATAACACATTCATTTGATAAAAAGAAAGTAGGAAATCAGCCTTTACATAGTTGGTACAAAAACTAGAGCTAGAGCAAATGTGAAACAAGCAAACAAAACTTAAACGTACAGTGTTCACTGTAGGTTTGTAGGTATTTACCTTTCACATTTTAGTCCCCACATCTATTGATAGCTATTTATAACTGACAGTCTAAAGGGTCAGAGTCCTTTAGATGGTCTAGGCTTTACCTAACCTAGGCTGAGTCAAACTAGTTAAGAGCTGTGGTCAAGGGCTTTGGCCCTTTGTTGTGACTGAATTTTAGTTTGATGTCACAGGCTGTAGAAGAAACAGCTGTAGGAAATCTCCTTTTGTAGTTATTATAGGATTGTTTCTCAGTAGGATATTCTATGGGCTTCTTTTAAAGGAAAACAATGCAGACCCCCCTTCCACCAATGATAACTTATATTTTGTTCTTAAGTAACTATGTAAAAACCAAAATAGAGATAAACTTCTGTGCTTAAAACCTTGACACTTAAAGAATTAAAAAGATTTGTCAAACTACAAAACCAATAAAATCAATAATGATGTTTATGAAATTTGACAGATTCTGTTGTTGTTTTCTTTTTTTTTCCTAATTCTGTCATTGATTGTGACCAAACGTGTTACTACTGACTGCTAAGTTTCAGATTTTTTAAGTAAAGCATTCCCATGTTTCACATCATGACTGAATGATATGTAGGGAACTCCTCAAGTTCTTTCTTGGAACAAGATGAGCTGTAACCAAGGATAATACAAATTTTCTCATTTTCAGATCGTTCCTGCAATCCCAACCTGATGAGCTTTATTACACGCATAACTGCACCAACCCTGGCTCCTGGAAATTCAACTGCTGTGGTCCCTACCCCTACTCCACCATCAAAGAGTGGGTCTTTACTGGATTCAGATAATTTTATTGGACTGTTTGTCTTTGTTCTCTGCCTCTTGTATTCTAGGTAAGTTAAAAGGTACTTAGAACAAGATTTTCATGGAGGTTGATAATAAAGTGAAGAAGCTGTTTTGCTTTCAAAAAGCAGCATGAGAAATTTAAAAACTTCACTCTCTTTAATGAAAAGTTCTTTACTTGCTTCAGTTACAGAGCTGTGTACATATATATTTTTTTGAGACAGTGTCTTGCTCTGTCACCTAGGCTGGAGTGCAGTGGCAGGATCTCAGCTCACTGCAATCTCCACCTCCTGGGTTCAAGCAGTTCTTCTGCCTCAGGCTCCCAAGTAGCTGAGATTACAGGCACCTGCCACTATGCCTGGCTAATTTTTGTATTTTTAGTAGAGACAGTGTTTCACCATGTTGGCTAGGCTGGTCTCGAACTCCTGACCTCAGGTGATCCTCCTTTCTCAGCCTCCCAAAGTGCTGGGATTACAGGTGTGAGCCACCATGCCCAGCCTGTAGTAAGTTTTGAAATTAGGAAGTATGAGTCCTCCAAATTTGTTCTTTTTCAAAATTGTTTTGGCAGTTATGGGTCCTTTGCATTCCCATGTGAATTTCAGGATCAGCTTGTCAATTTCTGCAAAAAAATATGTAGCTGGGATTTTTATAGGGATTGAGTTGAATCTGTATAGACCAAATTGGGGAGTATTGTCATCTCAGCAATATTAAGGCTTCCAGTCTGTGACCATGAAGATACCTTACTGAAGTCTTCTTTACTTAAACCATTTATTTAGGTCTTTAATTTCTTTCAGTGGTTTATAGTTAGTTATTAGTATACAAATCTTAAACTTATTTTGTTTTTAAGTGTTTTATTCTAAATACAATTCTAAGTATTTTATTCTTTTCGATGGTATTATAAATGAATGTATGTTTTCTTAGCTTAACTTTTGGGTTGTTTATTGCTAGTGTATAGAGATATGATTGGTGACGAGGCATGGTGGCTCATGCCTGTATTTCCCACACGTTAGGAGGCTGAGGTGGGAGGATCGCTTGCATCCAGGAGTTTGAGACCAGTCAGAGCAAGATAGTAAGAGCCCGTCTCTATAAAAATTAGCCAGGTGTGGTGGTGCAATCTGTAGTCCCAGCTACTTGGGGAGGTGGGAGGACCAATTGAGCCCAGGAGGTCAAGTCTGCAGTGAGCTGTGATTGTACTACTACAGTCCACCTGGGTGACAGAGTGAGACCTCATCTCAAAAAGAAATACAATTGATTTTTGTGTTTTTTTTTTTTTTTTTTTGAAGAGAAGAAGTGTTGCTCTGTCATCCAGGCTGGAATGCAGTGGTGTGATCATAGCTCACTACAGCCTCAAGCTCCTGGTCTCAAGTGATCCTCCCACCTCAGCCTCCTGAGTAGCTGAAACTACAGGCACACACCATCATGCCCAGCTAATTTTTAATCTTTTTAGGAACAGTCTTGCTGTGTTGCACTGGCCAGTCTTGAGCTCCTGTCCTCTGGCGATCCTCCCACCTCAGCCTCTCAAGTAGTTGGGATTATAGGCGTGAGCCACCACACCCAGTCCTGATTTCTATATATTGATCTTGTATCCTGCAACTTTGGTGAACTTATTTATTGGTTCTAATAGTTTGCATGTGTATGTATTCCATAGGATTTCCTATAAACAAGATGAAGTCATCTACAGATAGAGATAGTTTTACTTCTTTTCTAGTCTGGATACCATTTATCTCTTCTATTTGCTCTGGCTAGAATTTTACTACATTGTTGGATAGAAATGGTGAGAGTAGGATCCTTGTCTTGTTCCTGATCTCAGGGGGAAAGTTTTTAGTCTTTCACTGTTAAGTATGATGTTAGCTCTGGGTTTTTTGTTCCTTTTGTCAGCCTGAGGAAGTTCTACTTTGACTGTTTTTATCATGGAAAGGTATTGGATTTGTGAGATGTTTTTTCTGTGTCTGTTGAAACGAGCATGTAATTTTTGTCCTGTTTTTGTATTTACATTTTTATTCAGTCATTTAACAAACTTTTAGTGAACATCTGTAGTGCTAGAATTACATAGACTAAGGTCACTGTTAAGGCATTCTTTGAATAGCAAGGAAGATAGGAGTGATATGTGCAGTGGCAGAAGGAAGCCTAGGAAGCTGTGGGAAGTCGGAGGAGTGTCTTGTAACCTAGCCAGTGAGGGGTGATGTCAGGGAAGGCCTTCCAGAGGACATGACAGCAAGTCAGAGAAGTGAAGGATGAGTAAGTTAGTTGGAAGGAGGTTGGCACGTGGTACCTTCCAATCATAGAAGCGGCACTTGTGAAGTCACGGAAACAGACACAGAGAGCATAGTGTGTTTTATGAAACTCCTAAGCAATTAAGCCATCACATCAAGTAGTAACTGATGACAGTGACGTCAGTCTTATGATGACAGGCAGCAGTTCAGAACTTTAAGCAGGATCTTCAGAAAGCTTTCAGTCTCCAAAGTAGGAACAGCTCAGCAGTAAGTGTCTTGTATACAGGCCAGTGGCAGCAGTTCA
Organism: Homo sapiens; assembly: GCF_000001405.40. Classification (NCBI taxonomy): domain Eukaryota; kingdom Metazoa; phylum Chordata; class Mammalia; order Primates; family Hominidae; genus Homo; species Homo sapiens. The sequence goes on along the minus strand of NC_000020.11, from coordinate 44,501,347 downwards.
TTGTCATGGCCCCTTTCTGATTTGTCTTCCTTGGGATCACTTTCCAGCATCCGCACTTCCACTAATAGCCAAGTAGACAAGCTGACCCTGTCAGGGAGTGACAGCGTCATCCTTGGTGATACAACTACCAGTGGTGCCAGTGATGAAGAAGATGGACAGCCTCGGCGGGCTGTGGACAACGAGAAAGAGGGAGTGCAGTATAGCTACTCCTTATTCCACCTCATGCTCTGCTTGGCTTCCTTGTACATCATGATGACCCTGACCAGCTGGTACAGGTAGGAGACACAGACAAAACAGACAGAAGACCATAAAACCCTTGGATGGCCTATAAAATCTCATCCATTGTCCTGACCTCAGAACCCTTGCTCTTACCCATATAATGAAGTTGGGTTAAATACTCTTGACTTTATCCCCTCTAGCATTTAAAACCCATTGGAATTCTTTGCAATGCAAATCATTGGGAGCTCTTACAGAGTTGAGTTAATTGAGAGAGAAAATCATGACATAAAGCAATCTGACCCATCTTTGTTCACTAATTTTCTGTGTATAGAGATGGCCATGTCAGAGCATTCTGGTTCCCGTAATAATGTACTAAGGAAGGAAAGTTTCAGGGAGGCTATCTCAATCTAGACCTTTGCCAGTAACTAGGAACATTTAAAGAACTTTGCCCTGATAGGGTCTTTCATGCTGGCAAGAAGAAAAGTCATTTGAGAGGCAGAGTCAATGAGCTGTTTAGTTCTTGGTCATAAGAACTAAAAATAGCAGCTTCCTCTGGTCCCCTTCAACCCTACTGGGGGGTAGTGCCAGCCAAGTTTCACTGGAGAATTTCTTGGCCTTGGCTGGGGGGCTGCAGGAGGCTGATAGAAGTCAGGTAGACCAGGCTTTTCTACCTGACTCTCTCTTGTTTTCTTAGCCCTGATGCAAAGTTTCAGAGCATGACCAGCAAGTGGCCAGCTGTGTGGGTCAAGATCAGCTCCAGCTGGGTCTGCCTCCTGCTTTACGTCTGGACCCTTGTGGCTCCACTTGTCCTCACCAGTCGGGACTTCAGCTGAACCTCTGAGTGCCAAGGACACCACTGGAACTCACAAAGGTCTCCTTCACCGAAAACCCATATACCTTTTAAGTTTGTTTCAACTAAAATATTAAGTGAATGCTTTGCAAGTTTGACTGTATGCAGGTTTATATCAGAAGGTGAGATTGAATAATGCTTGATGCAGAATCGAAACTTCTCATTTATCTGTATATTATGTTTACTTCTAAGGATATAGCACAAAGGGAACATTTTTTGTTTAAAGTGAACTACAGCTGTGCTGTGAAGAGAGTTCTTTATAAAGCCTGTAGGTTCTTTTAACTTTGGTTTAAAATGTAAGATAGGAAAATGTTGGATATTTGAGGCCATGCTTAATATATTTATATTGCAGTATCCTTTAAAAGCAAAAAAAAAAAAATGCATTTATATTACAGTTTTCCTCTATGAAAGTCCTTACTTATATGATACAAGCACTGTGTTTTGTGCTTAAACTCTTCAGCGGGGTAGCATCAAAGTTCTTGGGGAAGGATCGTATATGTGGGTCCCTTCCCTAGAAGAATGGTTGCTGATATGGCTACTGCTTCTACATCTTGAGTTTTTTAATTTACTTTTTTTACACTGTAGCATTGAGACTGCTTGATTCAAGTCTGGTGCTTTGCCAGATGTATTAATTTCCATAAATGCTTTGTGAGTTTGGTTAAAATGAAGATTCACTTGGGAAAACACTGCAGCTTTAGTCTGTGTTACTATCTTGTTATGAGTATGTAAAAGTAAAATGCATGTGAATTTATCATATTTGCACTATGAAGGTATTTGGTTAAAATACAAAGACTTTTAAGATTTTAAGGCCCTTTCTTCCAACAGCTTTTATAGTTAGCAGCCATTCTTTATTTTCTGGATAGCCAGGTTTTATCACGCTTCTAGTCAGGATGCTCCTATTCCTTCTAAAAATTACGGTCTGACTAGTGAGCAAAGTCTTGAATTTATTCAAAAGTCCTAAATACCTTCTCTAGGTAAGACACTTGGTAGATGAGAGACGGAAGGCATTGTCAAGAACCATTTTCATGAGAGGTGGTGTGCAAAAAGGTAGAATAAAAGAGTTCTTTCAACAAAGATTTACTGTCTATTCTGTACTAGACCCTGTAGGTTTTGGGGTACAGTGTTAAACATGATAGAGGCTCTGCCGTCTTGGACTTTAATAGCTTAGAGAAGAGAGCAAATGAGCTGACAGGTGGTTATAATGTGAATTAGTGCTGTGGTTTAGGAATTGGAGAGAACTCAAAGGAGAGGTATTTGGTGTAATGGTAGGCTTTCTGGAGAAAATGATATTTAAGCCAAGAACTCTTAGAAGTTAGCTAAGAGAGAGATGGGAAAATGAGACGACATTGCTGGAGTAGATAAAACTGCATGTTAAAGGCAGGAAGATGGGGAAAAAAAGTTCAGTAAAGCTGGAATGGGGAAATGTAGTCAGGGACTGAATTTTAAAGGGCTTTATCAACCTCAGTAAAGAGTTTGGACCTTATGTTGAGGGTGGCTGAAAACATATTCATAGTGTCATGAACAAATTTTATCTTCAGTCACTTGGGCTGATATATAGAGAATGGATTTAGAGAGATGAGACCAGGTGCAGTCCATATGAGATGTGAAATAGAGAAGTGGAATCGTAGGGACGGGGAGAAATTGACAGGTGAGGGCTACTTAGCAATTAGAATTTTTTTTTTTCAATTTTAATTTTTTTTTTTGAGACGGAGTCTTGCTCTGTCGCCCAGGCTGGAGTGCAATGGTGCGATCTCCGCTCACTGCAGGCTCCGCCTCCCGGGTTCACGCCATTCTCCCGCCTCAGCCTCCCTAGTAGCTGGGACTACAGGCACCCACCACCACGCCTGGCTAATTTTTTTTGTATTTTTAGTAGAGACAGGGTTTCACCATGTTAGCCAGGATGGTCTCGATCTCCTGACCTCGTGATCCACCTGCCGCGGCCTCCCAAAGTTCTAGGATTACTGGCATGAGCCACCGTGCCTGGCCAGCAATTAGAATTTTAACACTGGCAGTTATGAATAATATGAAGGAGAGGTAGATTTCTGAGTGATTCTGGTTTAACCAGCTGGGTGGATGGTGGTTCCACGTATTCAGGTGGCAAACAGGAAAAACATGTGTTCGAAGAAGAATGGAGGTAGGTGGTCTCTTAAGAATGGTTAAGAGGCTTGGGAGTCAGACTGCTTGGGTTTGCATCCCAGCTTTGCCGTTTTCTGGCTATCAAACTTGTCAGCTATTATTTGTTGAGTACGTACTATTTGATTTATGACCACAGGCAGCTGAGCCTCAGTGTTGGTGCCTAGTGTACAAGATTGTTAAAGAATAAAGTTATTTTGCAAAGTGTAACCCATTTTTAGCACTGACATAGCACTGACAGTAGCTGCTGATCTCATTATGGGCTAAAATAAGACAATATTCAAAGGTCAGAGATATCTAGCCAGAATCTGATGGAGGCTGGATTTCAGATTTTGTTACAGAATTAGACAGAGGAACACAGAGGGGACAGGCTCAGTTAGGGTGGAGGTGTGGGGTAGGGAAGCAGGACTTGATATAAATTATTGGAATCATTGTCTTTTAAACCAGTGGTTTATGTCAGGGTATAGCGTTTCAAGGGATTTGAGGGTCAGATGGGGAAATGTAGCCCCTTATTTTGCCAGTGTGAAGCAGATACCCTGCTTTTCTTTACAGTAGCGGAGTCAGCTTAAGAGCTTTAAAGGTCCTAAACTTCAAAAACATTACAGTGCCCCATCCTCCGCCTTAATGTAATTCAAAATACAAACAATACTAAACTGTAAAATAAATGTAACAAAGTCCAATAAAGTTTTTATTTTTTTCTCATGATGATAACTGATATTAATTTGAAGTAACAAATGCTCTTTAAAAGTCGGGAGGCAGTGTCCCTGCTTTGCTTGGTCCTACCTTAAGAAGTAGTGAAGTCTGCCTCTTAGTAGGAAAACCAGTAGTCTAATCAAGACTCAAGTGAATTATACATGTGAATGCTGAATTATATACAAGCATGAGTAAGACAGCATTCTGAATAAGGCCAGGATCATCATTTAAAGCAGGGGAGTATTTTGAGTCATCAGATCTCAGGGTGGCCTTTCATTCCAGATGAGTACCTTTATGTTTCATCACTATGAAAGGGCTTGCCTAGCCTTGGGGAATGCGGGTTGGGGCCCTGGCTTTCAGATCAGGGACATGCTCTAGGAACTCATCAAAGGCAATAGCAGTGGCTGCCACTTTTACCTCGTTAAAGCCGGGAGAAAGCTTCTAGGTCCATGCTGGACTCCTTTATTTTCTAGGTTGGTCTTGCGGGTTATCTGGTTGGGAAGTAAAACTTTCTCTTGGTAATCAAAGAAACTGCCTGCCAAAGAGTAGCCATGGACCTGGTTCTCAGTATAGAGGTTTTGTTCTTTTTCTTTTTGGCTAGCCAAGTGAGGAATGGAGAAGGAACAAAGAAATCTGTAACTGGTTCTTTTTTCTTTTTTTAGACAGAGTTTTGCTCTGTTGCCCAGGCTGGAGTGCAGTGGTGCCATCTTGGCTCACTGCAACCTCCACCTCCCATGTTCAAGCAATTCTCCTGCCTCAGTCTCCTGAGTAGCTGGGACTATAGGTGCGCGCCACCACACCTGGCTAATTTTTGTGTTTTTAGTAGAGATGGGATTTCACCATGTTGGCCAGGCTGGTCCCGAACTCCTGGCCTCAGGTGATCCACCTGCCTCAGCCTCCCAAAGTGTTGGGATT